>NC_000002.12:238904047-239231995 GCF_000001405.40 Homo sapiens
TTGTGTGTGATGTGGGTGTGTGTGATGTGGGGTGTGTGTGATGTGGGTGTGTGTGTGATGTGAGGTGTTTGTGATGTGAGGTGTGTGTGCGACGTAGTGTGTGTGATGTGGGGTGTGTGTGATGTGAGGTGTGTGTGATGTGGGGTGTGTGTGATGTGAGGTGTGTGATGTAGTGTGTGTGTGATGTGGGGTGTGTGTGATGGGTATGTGCATAATGTGAGGTGTGTTTGATGTAGTGTGTGTGTGATGGGGGTGTGTCTAATGTGAGGTGTGTGTGTGTGATATGGGATGTGTGATGTAGTGTGTGTGATGTGAGGTATGTTTGAGGTAGTGTGTGTGTGATGTAAGGTGTGTGTCTAATGTGAGGTGTGTGTGATGTGGGGTGTGTGTGATGTGGGGTATGTGTGGGATGGGTGTGTGTGTGTCTGTGTGCGTGTTCGTGTGTGTGTGTCTGACTAGAGATTTCACATGTGTGCTCACCTCCCACCCTTCTTCCCTGCCATGCTGGTTCTGACTGTCCAACGGTGTCCATGGTACTTTGCCCTTCCCTTTCTGTGGTAGAGTCTACCTGCACTCTAAAAAGTGATCCGTGTCTTCCCTGTGTTCTAGTTGCTTACAAACATGCTTCTGCCCTGCTAGATTTCTCTGATCCATCTCAGCTTTTTCAACAACTAGCAGCATTCTTGGCACATGATAGATGCTCAATTATGTCGCAGGAATGGAAGGAAGAAAGGGAGGAAAGAAAGAAGGGAGGAAGGGGGAAGGAAGCGGAAGGAAGGGAGGGAAAAATGAATGAATTGGTGAAAGGATAAATGGATAAAAGGAAGGAAGGATGGATAGATGAATGGATGGGTGGAGGGAATGAAGGACAGGTGGTACATCAATGAATGGATCAATGAAGAAATGGATGGATGGAAGGAAGGAAGAGAGAAAGAAAAAAAGAAGAAAGAAAGAAAAGAAAGGAAGGAAGGAAGAAAGAAGTAGGTAGGTGGGTGGCTAGGTGGGTGGCTGGCTGGGTGGGCAGGTGAGGAGATGGATAAATGGTCTTAGAGTAAAACGCCTTTCCCTTGGCCCACCCTGCCTCCCTAGCCTTTTCCGTAATGCTTCTGTCCCTTTGTTAGGCCTTGGGGATATAGAGTTGAATGGGGCCTCACCTGCTCATTAGGGCCCCGGTCTGGTGTGGAAGACACAACTGAGGCACTCTCTTGGTTCAGCCACAGCTTTGCAGCTCCACCCATCCCCCGACTCCTGGGCCAGGCAGGCAGATACAGGGAGGTAACTGCACGCAGCACGCATGCACACAGTTCCAGGTGGCCTGTGTATGCAGGAGGCGCTCCCCAGCCCCAGATGTTTTACATTTGTTGCAGAGAACACGGCCCATGTCAGCAGACATGGCTGGGGTCAGGGTGACATCAAGGGGGCCAGGCCCGGAGGCTCTCGGTCAAGAAGACTAATGAACCTGCCGCCCGTTTCTGCCTGAGCCTGGGTCCCCTCGGGCACGTGAAGCAAACCCTGAAACCCACCACTGGCCAGGGAACGGCCCCTGTCATTTTTGGCTTTTCATGGGTGATACGGTATTTCCCCTTGGAGGGTTGGTTCAGCTCATATATCAAAAGCTGTGGTAATTATTTCCTCCCACTGAGGAAGGCTTCCATTTAGCTTTCTCTACCCACCCCCCCTTATTAATTATCTAATTACAACCACATTCTCCAAGAGAGAGCAGCCTTTGACTTTCTGCCCAGGACCACTTAAAAAAGGCTTAAATATTTGGAGTGCTCTGAACTTTGAAAAAAGTGTGTGTGTGTGTGCGTGTGTGTGCGTGCGTGTGTGTGCATGTGCGCGCATGCGCGTGTGTGCGTGTGTGTGCGTGCAGGTGTGCGTGTGCGCGTGTGTGTGCGCGCGCGTGTGTACGTGTGCGTGTGTGTGCGCGCGCGTGTACGTGCGCGTGTGTGCGTGTGCGTGTGTGGTTTTCATACGCATGGGTTTCAGGGAAAATACGTCTTGGCTTTTTCAGACTGTTGCCTTGGTTCAACAAAGGTTCCTGGAGGTCTCTGAGGACCTGGGCTGCTGGGGTGAAGCCTGGGGCTGGGGGTTGGGAGAGGGCTGGGGGTGAAGGAGCGGAACCACACGTCCCCCCTGCACACTGCTGTGCGACATCAGACACCCACGCCCACAGGGACACACACGGACCCACGCACACAGATGCACACACCCACACAAAAACATGCACACTGACACTCCCACAGGGACACACACACAGACCCACTCAGGAGGATGTACATGCTTACACACACACACTGACACACGGACCCACTCACGTGGATGTACACACTTACAAACATGCACACCAGCACTTCCACGGGAAAACACATGCACTCACACGGATGCGCACACACACATACACATGCATACTGACACTCCCACAGGGACACACAGACCCACTCATGGATGCACATGCTCACACACATGCATGCACACTGGCACACACACGGGCCAACTTACACGATACACATGCTCACACAATTTACACAACTTGCACATGGACACACACTCACTCTGGACATTCTTTCATACTCACACTCACTCTCACACTAGTGGGCACACTCACAGACACACACACGGGATGTCACCGAGCACCACGTCACCCGTCCCTCCAGCTTCCACATCCTCCCCCCAGTGCCTGGGGCCTCCCTGGACCTCCTTCCCTGTGGCAGAATCCTCACGGTGACCCCTCTCCTGGCGGCCGCCTTGGGGAGCCCATGCCTGCCTCTGGGCTGACACCCACCCCTCCCACCACGCTCAGCCGCTCTGCGGGAGGAGGGTCTCGTTGCGCTGGTTTGCCCCTTGGCTCAGGGGAGTTCTCCAATAATTCTCGCTGAACACTCACCTCCCGCGAGCTCTGCAGGTCAACTGGCTGTTCTCATGTTTGTGCAAGAGGTGTGGGAGTGAGCACTTACACGGCCAGGCCCTGTGGTGAGCAGTAAAGGTCCCAGGTCGCAGGGCCAGTCTTCAGCGATCCCTGCTAGAGCTCAGGTCTCCTGGCAGGACAGCAACACAGCCTGGGGGCTGCTGCAGGCTGGCCTGGGTGTGTGGCAGAAGCGGCCCTGAGGCGCGGCGCGGGGCCCACCTGTGTTCGCCACACTCCCGACCAGGTGCTGATGCCAGTGGCGTGTCCCCTGCCCTGTGGGCCCCACTGAGGTGGCCCAAGACCTTGGGCTTATGACACCACATCCCTGTACACCCTGGGTCTCAGACGCTGGCCCCGGCCACCTCTCAGCACCTTCTCTTTGAGCTTGGCAGGCACAGAGGGAGGCGCGGGATTGGGGTCCCCACCCCGGCTTCCTGGAGGACCTGGACTTTCCTCCTGCCTGTGTCTCCTCCCCCTGCAGGTGGGAACCAGGCTCTGGGTAGCGCCTGAGCGGGTTCTTTCCCCAAGGCGCTCCCGGGACAGCTGGTTGCAGCCCCAGAGCTGCACCAAGCCTGGCACACCCACAGTTTGATTGGCCCACAAGTGCGCTTAGAAGTCACTTGTGTGGCATGAGGGGACCTTGTGGGGCTGGAAGAATTGTGTGTCTTGATCATAGTGGGGGGTGCAAGAAACAACACGCATGATGAAACTGCAGGAAGTACACATACACCACTCACACACACACACAAATGCACACAATACACACACAAACACACACATAAACGCACACAACACACACACAAAAACACACAAACACTCCACATACCCACTTACACACATAAACACACACCACGCGCCACACAAATATACCACACACTACACACACACCCCCACACTGTACATACACACCACATACACACACACCACACAAACACACTACACCCCCACTTACAAACACACACCACCTACACCACACACAAACACACATCACATGGCACACAAACATACCACACACTACACACACACCCCACATTGTACATACGCACCACATACACAAACACATACCACACAAACACACCACACCCCCACATACACACACAAAGTCACGCCACATACACCACACACCATACAAACATACCACACACACAGACATACCACATACACATACACATAGATACCATACCATACACACTACCCACTACATACCACATATACATACCCCACACCACACACACATACACACGCCACACTGTACACATATACCCCCCATACAAAATACAATCCCCCAAACACACACCACATACACCATGCACCATACATACCACACACTACACACACACTTCACACTGTACATAGACACCACATACACACACATACCACACACACAAACACACCACACCCCACATACACACAAACACAAACCACATGCACCACACACCACACAAACATACCACACACTGCACACACCACACATACCACATACACACACATGCACACACATACAACATACCATGTACACTACACACTATATACCACACATACATACCCCACACCACACACACCCACACGAGTGACATGTGAATAAGCTCTTGGTCCATACTGGTGCCAGATGCCTGGGTGTGACGTGACGACACCACTGTATGTGTGGCATATAATGTGGTATATAATATACCATATGGTATGTTGTCTGTGTGGATATGTATGTGGTATGTTTGTGCAGTGTGTGGGGTGTGTGTAGTATGCAGTGTGTTTGTGCTGTGCAGTGTGTGTGTGGGTATGTGGGGATGTGGTGTGTTTGTGTGTGGTATGTGTTTGTGTATGAGGTGTGTATGGACAGTGGGATGCGTGTGTAGTGTGCGGTATGTTTGTGTGGTGTGTGGTGTGTGTGATGTGTTTGTGTGTGGGAGGGTGTGGTGTGTTTGTGTGGTGTGTGGTGGTGTATGTAGTGTGTTTGTGTATGTGGCAGTGTGGTGTGTTTGTGTGTGTGGTATTTGTATGTGGTGTGTATGTACAGTGCGGGGTGTGTGTAGTGTGTAGTATGTTTGTGTGGTGTGTGTGTGTATGTGGAGGTGTGGTGTATTCGTGGTTGTGGTATGTGTATGTGGTGTGTATGTAGTGTGGGGTGTGTGTAGTGTGTGGTATGTTTGGTGTGTGTGTATGTGGGGTGGGGTGTGTTCGTGGGTGTGGTATGTGTATGTGGTGTGTAGTGTGGGGTGTGTGTAGTGTGTGGTATGTTTGGTGTGTGTGTGTATGTGGGGTGGGGTGTGTTCGTGGGTGTGGTATGTGTGGAAACTGGGTGAAAGGCACATGGGACATCTCTGTGTTGTCTTTGCAACTTCCCGTGTGTCTGCAATTGTTTTGAAAGCACGCATTTTAAAGCAAGAATCCGCCGTTGACAGCTCCCGCCAGCGGCTGACCCATTTCTCTGCGTCCTCCTCGCTGGAACCCAGCCCTCTGCTGCCCGAAACCCCACAGCTCCCTCGGGCCTGCACGGGGCCAACGTGCCGAGCCTCTCTTGTCCCCAGGCAGCCTGTTCTGAGGGGCTCACCCACAGCCAGACCGCATTCATGGCTGCGCTGAGCACGGGCCAGGGAGAGGCCCCGGGGTGGTGAGTGTGAGAAAGGGCACTCGGGGGCAGGAAAGGGCACTCGGGGGAGGGAAAGGGCTTGGCCTGGCCCAGGGGGCAGGGGTTGCGGAAGCCTGGGCTGGCCCCGTAGCAGTCACCTGCCCAGTGTCTTTTGGGAGGAACATGAGTAGAACAGAGCCAGCTCTCTCAGGGCCTGCCCCGTGTCCCGTCCCACCCAGCCTTGGGACAGTCTCAGGACGATCCTGCAGGAGGCCGAGCGAGGCGGCCGTAGCTCACGGTCCCCCTTCCGTATCTTCCAGGCTGTCCGTCGCGTCGGCGGCGCAAGTGGAATTGGGATGCATTCGAGTCTGTAACTTCTGAAACCTGAACAACCTCAGGAGGCCCCCACCTCTGCCCTCCACCAGCGTCGAGAGAAGGGACAGCAGTGACATCGGACAGAAGACCCGGGCTCCCGTCCTCCCCCAGGACGGTCCCCACATAGGAAGGGCACTCCCAGCCCTCTTGCTGGTGACATTGTCATGGTCATCTTGTTTCTGTTTGGATTTTTCTTCTGGGTCTTATGTTTGGGGGGAGGTTTATTCTTTCTGAAAATGTCTAGATTCAGGAACACATTTATGAGGATTTGGATTTTGAATTTGTATTTCCCTCTAAGTGCCTTTTTTAATGTCTATTTTTTTAATAAAACAGAAATGCATTCTTGTACAATTCTGTTGAAACTGGACCAAGGCTCTCAGAAGAGGACCCCCGAGTTCCTTCCCCTCCCCCGAGCCTCTGCATGATTGTTTCAAGTCAGCCTGGAATTCTTACTTTCACGCCGCTATTCTTTTCCTTTCTCCGTGATTGCTTGGCTAGCCATTTAAAAAAAAATATTCTCTGTTCAGTGTATATGTTGCTTGTTTGTTTTATTTATTGAGATATTTTTACAAGCTAAGTGACTGCAGTGTGGCTGTGTATCCTGCTCCCCACCCAGGAAAAATAAAGACGTCCGCGCAGCCATGGTCTCCCCATCTCTGTTCTCATCTCTACTTCGCAGCTCAGGGCTCTGCCTGAGAGAGTCAGAACAGGTTGCAAGAATCACTATTACTTCACTTTAAAAGGCACGAGAGAGGATGTGAGACATTTTATGCTGTGCATGTTTGTAGAAATTTCTAGAAACTACCAACTCTAACATGGTTGCCAGTGTGAACAGACCGAGGCCTGGGAGAGCAGAGGGGGCCTCAGCCCTTTCCCAGTGCCTAGTCCTCTGCTGCTCCCCAGCAGCCTCAGCACAAGAGACCATTGCTGTCACACCCACGCCCCGCTCTTGATACAGAAGCGTGCCCATTCTGTGAGCCACCCCTGCTGTCCAAAGTCCGGGCCAGCCTTCCCTGCTGCTCACCCTGGGTGGTATTCCCTGCTCTCCCAAGCATGGCATTCATTTGTGCCACCACCTCCCTGCTTCTCTGAACGAGTCACCGTCTGCTCCACATGCATCCGTGCCATGTTGACCATGAGCTCACCAGGCAGCTGGCTAAGAATGGAGCACCTGGGTGTGCAGGTTAGGTTGGCATCCTGCCCAGAAATCCCAGAAGGAACATGATCTGCCATCAAGGAGAGTCAGCCTGGGTCTGGTGCAGGCGGGCACCTCTGCATGAGGGCAAGGGCTCTATGCCCTGCCCGCTACCTCCTTACCATGCCAGCACCCATGAGCACTGGGGGCTGGGTGTTGCTTGTGGACCCCAGGGTGGAGGCTTCCAGCTCTGGAGACTGAGAGTCACCAGGTCACTACCCTGAGCCACCAAACGCATGTCTCCTGGGGGACATCTGGTACCGGGGTCTGCTGGGTGGAGCTGCCCACCAAGCAGTGGACACACAGAGCCCACCCAGCTCCTAGACAGAGGTTCTGGAAGTAGGGGTCTCTGGCAGGATGGTGGTGGCTTGCGAGCCTCATTTCCCACTCCCACCCTGTCCCCAGGTCCACCACGGCAAGGACAGGAGCTCCGGAAACACCAGCATGGCCTCAGCTTCCATCTGGCTCCTGTTGGTGACCTTGATGCAGCACTGGCTTCCACTGGGGCTGGCATCACCGGGAGCGCCTGTCTAGGTCACAGATCCTTGAAGCACAAGCGCCAGAACCCACTGCATGCAACAAGCACACAGACACACACACACACACGCCCAGATCGCACATGCACATGCCACACACATGCATGCACACACACCACACACACATGCACACCACACACACATGCATGCACACACACCACACACACGCACACATCACACACACATGCATGCACACCACACACACATGCATGCACACACACCACACACACGCACACATCACACACACATGCACACACACCACACACACGCACACACCACACACACGCATGCACACACCACACACACATGCACACATCACACACACACATGCAGGCGCACAGACCACACACACAATGCGTGTGAACACACTTGGCACACTTCAAACACACGCACACGTACCCAGGTCACATGAATGTATGCACATACAACCAGCATACACATGCACACATGTGCACACACGAGACTCTGGGGAGATAGAATGGGGCAGCTGTGGTCCCAGCAGTGAAAGGCCCTGCCCTCCCCAGTACTGTCTGGCATGCTCTGCTGAGGCCCGTGGAGGCCACGAAGACTATGAAGGCCACGGTGCCCTCCCTCCTGACGTGATTCAAATAGAAATAATCCCAAGTCATGTAATGCAAAGCTGGCGGACAGTGGGGCCAGAGGAGCCTCTTTCTTGGTTTCCAAGTTGAAAACTTCGTTATTCCTCTGCCCGGTGCCCTGAGCCTGGTTTCCTGGTGAGCAACAGCCTCTTGTCACCTCTGTGGGGGACCCAGCCCTGTGAGTGCTCACACCGAAGCCCCAGGCAGAAGGGGCAAGGAATGAAAGGGCCCCGTGCAAATGAGGGGGCACCCTGGCCCCACGTGGGAGGTCAGGGATGGAGTTCAGTGGGGGCCTCAGAGCAGTGACCAAGCCGGGGGGGTCATCCCAGGGCCTCCCTGCGGCGGCCGCCTCTCCGGGCATCACCGCCTGCTGCCTGTTCCCAGCCCAACTGCTGCACACTCTGGTAGCCACATCAGGGTGTCCTCCTCCCCCAGCCCTGGCCTCTCCTGGGGTCTCTCCTGGGGCTTTTGTCTCCAACTCTGGGCATCCAAGGAGCGGGTCACCGACACCTTAGGCTACGTGGAAATACGCGGCTGTGGACACGGGCTCACTTCCTGTTTTCACCCCCACACACACATTCCTGGAAGAGGTGCCGAAAGACGCTGGCTTCCGGAACACGTGTGTGTGTGTCTATGGTTCCATACGCACGCTGGCACGCGTGTATTTGCATGTGTGTGATGCATGTCTATGGACTATGGACGCAGGTACCTGCTCTCCCATAACCTGCTGCTGGCTCTCCTCCCCAGGCATGTCGTGGGGCCACTTCCCTGTGCTGGCTCCTGCTCTGGGGTCTCACAGCTTCTCTGGGGTCAACCAGAGCCCTCTGCAGTCACGGCCCTGAGAACAGACCTGAGTGAGCTGGTGTGCACATGTTTTCAGGGTCAGATGACTGGTGAGTCCGCAGAACAGGAGACTGTTCCGAGCCCCAGGGGCTGTCTAAAGGAAAACCTACCCCAAACCCATCTCACTTCCGCCTGTGTTCAAAGGCAGCCCGACGGAGTCCCCAGCTGTCAGGTGACCAGGTCAGCCTGAGGAGCCTGGGTGCAGACATGTGGGGTGAGGGGACCTGGAGGGGGCGGCAGCACTGCCGGGACCCCTGCACCCAGCCAGGCCCTGGCATCGCAGACCATCCTTGAGGGAGGGCCGCTGGCCAGGCAGGTGGGGGCCTTGAGTCTGAATTTCCCCGCAGGGCGAGACATGCTGGGGGCGGGGGCTCCTTTGCAGGTCCTCAGCCTCAGGTCTGAAACACAGCCTTGGGCCTGTGCAGTGGCCAAGACCAACACGTCTTGATGGAAAAGTCTCACTCTTTGATTTTGAAAGTGACTGCAGACAGAGGTGGGACTTCCAGGTTGTAGCTGATGGAACACAGGCCCCATGGGAGCCGGGAGTCATGCGGCAGCAAAGAGGCAACGGGAACTCAGCCCCAGGTCAGCCGTCTCCCTGCAGCCCCAGTGCCATCTGCAGGATGCTGTGTGGCTCTGAGTGACATAGTTTGGAGGGTTGCTGGCAGCCCTGAGCACCCCAGAAGAGGAGGTGGGGACCCTCACAGGAGACCAGACAGCCTCTGGGTAAGGCAGAGTGGGGATGGGCTGTCTGGAAGAGTGAGGCCTGGGTGGGCAGGGTGGGTCCTGGGGAGAGGCAGTATATTCCACGTGGCTACAGAGGCCAGGTGCAGCCTTGTGTTATCCTGCACCTGCAGGGCCATGAAAATGGCTGTCAGTCATAGAAACGGTGCCATCGGAGGCTCGTCGAACACCTCACTGTGTGTGGCATGGGTATGCCTGTGGGCCGCCACACGTAGGGGCCAACGTGTACAGAGGCAATCTGCCCCACAGATGCCTTCAACCCACAGGCTAAGATGCCACGTCGTCTGGGGCCAGGACCATCTGAAAGAGGGGGCACCCAGAGCAGTCACCACATGCAGAGGAAGAGTACGGGGCATGTGGCCTGCTCCTGTGTACCGTCCCTGCATCCTGCTTCTCTGTAGGCGGGGTCACCCACACTCTGTCTCCCTCTTAAGCCCTTTGGCTTGGGGTAAGACAGATCTAACCCTCCATCCACGGAGCACCGCCTCACTGCCCACACAGGACCGGAGCCACCTGAGCTGCAAAGTCCAGAGCAAGTGAAGGCCCAGAGAGTACAGTGATGACAGCCCTTATGGGATTGAATGTGGGCACCTCATAAACCGTAGTGCAGAGGTCCGTTCTGACCCCCAGCCCGTAGGAAGACTCAAAGTGTCCTTTCCCTCAAGGAACCCGACAGCTGCCTGGGAGTGTCAGGGCTCTTTAGAAACAGCCACGCCCTTTGCCTGCTCATGGCCACACTGGTTTGTACCCCGGTGGACTTGACTTTCCACCTCCAAGCACCAGTCTCCCTGAGATGAAGCCCCCAATATCTACTTCTGGGTCTGCTTGCTGCCGACTGCCAGTTCTGTCCTCCTGAATAAAGACTCTCATCCTGACCTGGGCTGGGCTCGGGGCTGCCTTTTTCCTGCCGCCCCATCCAAGGCTGAGTGGACTCGCCCATCCTCCACACATATTTCCAGCAGGTCTCATCACTCGCTGACTCAGTGACCCAGGAAACAGGCCCGACTGCCGAAAGAAAGTGGGGAGGGCATGAGTGGGAGCCAGAGGAGGAGAGAGGGATGGGAGAGGTGCTGGGGTGCATTGGCCAGGAAGGATGACCAGGCCATGCCCGGGTTCCGGGGGTCTAGGGATGAAGCGTGGGAGGGAGCAGGGAGGGCAGGAAGCTGTCCGGCAGCTCTGCATTGCAGGAAGCGTGTTTAGGTGTGACCGGTTACACATGCATGATTATCAGTGTTTCCCCCTGAAATCCTCCAAAAGATATGTTTACATCTAAACCCCTGGAACCTGTGAATGGACCCTACTTGGGAAAAGTCTTTGCAGATGTAATTAAGTTAAGGATCTGGAGATGAGACCATCTGGATTTGGGGTGGCTCCTAAATCAAGGACGGCCTTACAAGAGAAGGGCAGTGGGAGATTTCAGAGAACACTGGGAGATGACAGAGGCAGGGATGGGAGTGACGTGTCCACAAGCCAAGGAATGCTGGAGAGCAGCCTGGAACAGGCGCTCCCTCCGAGCCTCCAGAAAGAACCAGCCCCGCCCACACCTTGATTCAAATTTCTGCCCCCAGAACTCTGGGAGAATCCACTTCTGAAGCTATCAGTTTGTGGTTGTTTGGTGCAGCAGCCACAAGGAACAAATACAGCCCCCGAAAGTGACATCAAAGAAGGAATGACCTGTGAATGCGCAGGAGAGGGGGACAGGGGCAGCCTGCAGACAGGAGACCCTGTGAGGCTCATGGAAGATGAGTGGGGAAGGGTGGGCAGCCCCTCGGCTGAACCTCGAAAGAGGAAATGCAGCAGGGAGGCCTGAGTCGGGGAAGCTGGACCAGCAGGCTGGTCCCAGAAGGACTGGGGACTGGCAGGTGACAAAACCTCTAATTCTGAGGTACAGCATGGGGCTAAAGCTGCAGGACCGGCTGATGATCTGCAAGAGACACGGGGAGACCCTCTTCCTAGCTCAGAGTTGATGACCACTCTCCCCCACTCCTGCCAGCTGGAGGGGTCCAGGAAGGGTCTGAACCCCAGCACAGCCTTGTGGAGCAGGTGGGAATGGAGGACTCGGGGTGACTCTAGGAGGCTCCCCACTTCTCCCCTGCTCAATGCCAGCTGCTGGAAGCCCAGCCTTGCCTCTCCAGGCAGGAGGCTGGAGAACCCCTCTCAGCTTCCGTTATAAATGGACACCCGGGACAGACAGGCCAGAACAAACACACAGAAGAAGCACAGAGGAAGGGGGAGAAGCACGTCAGAGGTGCCGCCGGAGAGAAGCTCCCATACCTCCGAGATACAGCGACCGGCGAAAAAGAGAACTGAGAATTCCAGTGATCTCCTGTGAATTAGGAAAACCATTTCTTGAATGGAAACTTTAGTAGCAGTTTTGGAAGATGAAATGAGAGAAATCATACGCAGCAGGGCAAAAAGACAAAGAGAAGAAGAAAAACAAAACAAAACAAAACAAAACAAAACAAAACAAAAAGATTTGAGCACGAATCCAGGAAGTCCAATGAGGAGTCCCAGAAAGACAGAACAGAGAAAAGCAGGATTCAGAGCTGAGAGGCATGCGTTTCCGGGTTGAAAGGGCCATGGGAATGTCCTACACCGAGAAGGAAAGGAGGAGGGAGGGAAAGAAGGAGGAGGGAGGGAAAGAAAGAAGGAGGAGGAAGGGAAAGAAAGAAGGAGGAGGGAGGGAAAGAAGCACTGCAGGAGTGGCACACGCGGTGCTGATGTCGAAGCGCCAGTTCTAGGATGATCGAGGGGGCTAGTAGTTATCGTCCCTCTCCCCTGCCCAGGTTCTGGGCAATTTGGAAAAATAAAACAACAGAGAGGCGGGAGAGGGCTAAGTGTCACCTTTACAATCAGTGGAGGCTCAGCCAAGGTCAAGACCGTCTGTGGCAACCCAGTGGGCCTGCCCTGGGGTACCCAAGCCCACTGCCTTGCCCACCCACCCAGGCTCTGGGACTAGAAGGAAGGTGGGGTGGGCTGCAGGAGCCCCGTGATTCTTTCTGAATCTCCAGGGACATCACTGCTCCACGCTGGAACAGAGAGAGCCATGGCGGGGAGACAGGCTATGGGAGACCCCACTGTGGAAACAGGAGTGGGGAGAAGCCAGGCCCCCTGGCCTCAGCAAAGCCTTGGAACCGCATTGGACGGCCCCACCGCAGTGCTGGGACAGTGGGGTTGGGGTGATGCCTTCCACCCCCGGTGTGTGGACCCAGGTGTCCTGTCAGTTGTGAGTGCCGAGTAAAGACATCAGCAGCAGCCCCAGGCCTCCCCACCAGGGCCTGGCAGGACACCAGGCCCACGCCCAGATTCCGTGGTTTGAGGGAAGTTTGACCAGAGCTATGTGCGAGGTGTGGCAGAGTGTGGGGTGCTCACAGCCAGGGTGGCAGCAGGTGGTGAGCTGCCACTGGGGAGGCGTGGTCGATGGAGCCCAGGACACTCTGTGGAGGCTCCTGAGGGCTGTGCATGACAGAGAAGGACAGAGCCAGGGAAGAAACTCTGGCTTGCTCTCCTCCCACCCACCGGTCCCCTTCCACAGGCCCCCACTGAGCCCCAACCAGAGGGGAGGGAGCCCACAGACACAGCAGGTGGGCACAGAGCAGGGATCTCCGGGGCAAATGGGAGAAGGTCAGCTCCCCTCCCCGCTGTCCTGGCTCAACAAGCTCCCCCAAAACTAGGGCAAAAACCAGCAGATCTGGGGAGCAAACGATCCCACCTAGACAGCAACATCCCAAGCAGGGTTCCAGAGTGGCCTTGGGCAAACCAGCCCAGTGTTGGGTGCGTCACCAAAGAAATGTCTGCAAGGAAAGCAATGGCGCTGAGAGACCCCGGGGGTTTTGTGTGGGTTTTTTTGTTTGTTTGTTTGTTTGTTTTGTTTTGTTTTGTTTTAAGCAAAGTTTGGAGCTGAATTAGTGAAAAGTTCATAAAAAGCCACACACGCACCAAAAAAAGAAAAAGAAAAACAGGAAACAAACAATGATTAACTTTAAGAAAAACGAAAAGTTTGAAAAGGAAAGAAGTGGGATTACAGTGCAGTATGTGATTTCGTTTTGTGAACTGTGATTGATTGTATCACACAGCTATAACTATGGAAACAGTAAAACAGATTCAACTATTAATTAAGACTTAATTTTGAGAGGCACACGAGGAGCAGAAACAGGTGGGAAGGTGGATGTTAAAGAGCTGAGTCCTCAGCTCCAGGTGTAGAAAGACAGAAGATCATGTCTAGAACTGAAGAATTCATAAAGAACGTTCTAAGAATGTTATTATTATTATTATTAGTATTTGAGATGGAGTCTCGCTTTGTCACCCAGGCTGGACTGCAATGGTGCAATCTGGGCTTACTGTAGCCTCCGCCTCCCGGGTTCAAGAGATTCTCCTGCCTCAGCCTCCAAAGTAGCTGGGATTACAGGCACCCGCCACCACGTCTGGCTAATTTTTTGTATTTCTAAGTAGAGATGAGGTTTTGCCTTGCTGGCCAGGCAGGTCTTGAACTCCTGATCTCAGGTAATCCGCCTGCCTTGGCCTCCCAAAGTACTGGGATTACAGGTGTGAGCCACCCACCCCCCACAGCCTAAGCATGTTATTTTAAAATGTGGAGATAAATACCAGAAGAAATGGATAAAAACGCTGAAAGAGCCCTCCCAATGCTCGGGCTCTGGGATGTGAAAGGGAGGGAGAAAAGAGCTATTTTCCATTTTAAGCTTGTTAGTATTTTAGGATAGATAGATAATAGGTAGACAGATAACAGGTAGGTTGGTAGATAGATAGACAGACAGATAGATAGATAGATAGATTCATCTGAGATTAAAAGCTTAAACTTAAAAATTACACCATAGTGAAGAGGGAACCCTTCTACGCTGCTGGTGGGAATGTAAACTCATACAACCACTATCGAAAACAGTGTGGAGATTCTTTAAAGAACTAAAAGTAGAACTACCATTTGATCCAGCAATCCCACTGCCATATCTACCCAGAGGAAAAGAAGTCATTATACGAAAAAAATACTTACACATGCATGTTTCTAGCAGCACAATTCACAATTGCAAAATCGTGGAGTCAACCCAAATGCCTGTCAATCAACGAGTGGATAAAAAACTCTGATATATATATATATGGATGGATATATATATATGATGGAATACTATGCAGCAATAAAAAGGAATGAATCAACAGCATTTGCAGTGACCTGGATGAGATTGGAGACTATTATTCTAAGTGAAGTAACTCAGGAATGGAAAAACCAAACACAGTATGTTCTCACTGATATGTGGGGGCTAAGCTATGAGGACTCAAAGGCATAAGAACAATACAATGGACTTTGGGGATTTGGGGGGAAGAGTGGGGGCAGTGAGGGATTAGAAGACTACAAATATGGTGCAGTGTATACTGCTCAGGTGATGGGTGCACCAAGATCTCACAAATCACCACTAAAGAACGTACTCATGTAACCAGATACCACCAGTACCCCAATAATTTATGGAAAATAATTACACCATAGCAGAGAGATTTTAATGGTCGTTGTGTGGTAATAAAGAGGCCCATGTCTGCACACACATTTCAGGCTTTATCAGTTTTACCATGGGGCCCTTCTAGGGTTCAGTCTCGTCTGCCGGGACAATTTCCCAGCGCCACGTCCCCCTGGTGCTCAGTCGCAGCTGTGAAGTTGGATCCATCGGTCAGGAGAGACTGACTCCTTAGGTGTGCCTGAGAAGATGGGAGGAGTCAGGAGCAGGGATGTCTGAATGGGGACGATGCACTAAGCGGCCGGTGTCTATGCCACAGTCACCTTTGCTTTCTCACACACTCGTTGGACAGAGAGGACTAAGCCCATAAAAAAGCAAGTAACAGGGACTCTCTTCTTTATCCCCAATTCACAGAGAAGCACACAGAGTTCTGGAGAGGTGAGCTGACTTGCCTGGGAGTAGGGGGCTGTGATTCCAGTGGGGCCTGCCTGACTTCCAAGGCTCCAGAGCTTGGAGCCTCATGCCACCTCCTCCCCTGTCTGTGGGCACAGGCATGACTTGATGTGAAAAGCCTGGAAAGTAAAGTGGATCTGTCTTAAATGCACTGCGAGAGGGTCTAATTTAAAATATGTCTTCAATGCATTTTAATCAAGTATTTCTCTTGCAGTGAGAATGATCATACCCCAGTGTGACAGTTTCATATCAGATCTCTTCAAATTGTGTTATCTTAGAGTACTCACCCGTGTATGCCTCCCTTGGCCAAATGAGATAGTTCCTTAATGGACATTAAAACTGTGCTCTGAAAAGCTTGTTGAAAATATGGACAGAGGCACGTAACATGTGGGTCACTGGAAGCATTTTCCAAAAGGCACAATCTACATCCCTGTGGGTCTCCAGGACTGACAAAGCCAGGAGCCCCATTCCAGGAGGACATGCATCATAGAAAAGGCATCAAATAAGACATTTACATAGCAGGCCCGGCCTTTCATTTAGCAACAGCTGGGACGGCATTAGGCAGCCCATGCTCCCACAGTGGCCTCAGTCCTTATGAAAGAAATAGGACCTGTTGGATTAACTCCTCCTAAACTGAGCATGCCCAGCAAGCATTCATACTGGAGGACTCTCCACCAGGAACACTGGGGCCAAGGATTTATATTCCAACAGACAGACCCACCTTCCCATCTTCTTGGCTTAGCCCGTGGCAGCACGTACCTTCAACCTGCGTTTTAGTGACCCACCATCTGTACCACTCCATCTGCTTCAATATCCCCTTTGCTGACATCATCTCCACTTTGGACGGTGGTGCTGGAGAAGCAGAAACACTGTGACTCTCTCCTCCCTGATCTGAAGGGGAGCTGGGAGGGCTGGGCCTGCAGTCTTGAGGGGCTTGGGGGAGTCTTGTCTCCGTAAGCTACCAGCTCTCCAAGCTTCACGAGCAATGGGGTGGAGATGCCCAGGAAATGTGCAGAGGGAAGAGTGCCCTGTGCTCTCTGAGGGAAGAGTGCCCTGTGCTCTTTGAGGGAAGAGTGCCCTGTGCTCTCTGCTCCCCTTCCCTACCTGGGGGCGGTGGATTCTGCCTTTGCTGGCTCAGTGCCTGGACTTGCATGGTGAGGCCTCAGGGCTGGTGGAGAGACAAAGGTGGAGAAGTTGGGACAGGGTGAGGACTGGAAGTGGCTGGGAGTCATCTGCGGAGGAGAAGGAAGGACAGGACAGGAACAAAGTGGGAGGCGGAAGGAAGTGCAGGAGTGCTGGGGGCTGGGGTATTTCTGGGTTCAAGGCTGAGAATGAGGGGAGCAGTTTCAGGGGAGTCATAGCAAGCAATGTGGAGAGTGGCCAGGGAGAGAGAAATGTTAAGATTTTGCTGTGCGTTCGGAGTACACCTTCCTCCCACAAGCCTCTTGGGACTTCAGTAAAGATTTGAATTATTGGGGCTGCTCTGCCTATGGAGTAGCTATTCTTTTATTCCTTTACTTTCTTAATAAACTTGTTTTCACTTAAAAAAAGATTTGAATTATTTTGGCATTAGACGGTGTGATGATTAATTCTATAGTCAGCTTGGCTGGACCACGGTGCTAAGATAGCTCGTCAAACATTACTCTGGATGCACCTGTAAAGGTGTTTCTAGATGAGATTAGCCTTCGAGTAAAGCAGGTGGCTCTCGTCAAAAGGGGTGGGCCTCACCCAATCAGTTGAAGGCCTGACTAGAACAAAGAGATTGACCAGCCTTGAGCAAGAAGGAATTCCACCCCCAGACTGCCTTAGGCCTCGAACTGTGACATGAGCTCCTTCCCAGGTCTCCAGCCTGCCGGCCCACCCTGCAGAGTTTGAACTTGCCAGCGTCAGCCAGTTCCTTAAAATAGCTCTCTTCTGATGTGCACACCTTGAGTGGCTCTGCTCCTCTGGAGAACACGCACTAGTACAGTTAGTGTCTTCATGAAGATGTAAGTCCTGTATTAGAGGGGCCCCTGGAAGGGACAGGCAGGTGCTAAGCTCAAGGCACCCACAAGGGGACACGGTTGACGTCTATCCTGGGGCCTGGGAGGCACACAGGGGAGCCACAATCTGGGCTGGGACCAAGGGAAGGTGGCTTGGGGATCTGTAACCCACACAGAAAACAACCAGATAAGAATAAAAGCAAGCAATAAATGACGTGCAAGAAGAAAAAGACGAAGGCTCTTATAATAAGAAAAATACAAACACCCAATGATAAAAATATCCACCTCCTGAGACGGGTTTCAGCTCCCACCTGCCCTTGCCTGGGCCTCCGTCTTGATGATGCATGGGGGCTTACAGCACTCAGGAGGTGCCCAGACACGGGTGCAGTTGCTGCTGGCCGTGGAAAGGGTCGCCCGACCACCTCCCCGTCTCCACTTGTCTTCTTCCTCCATAAGCCATGGGGATCGGCTGGGTGTCTGGCAGAAGCCATCAGGTCTGTAATGGGCTGAAGTGTGTCCTCCTGGAATTCACACGTTGAAGTCCTGACCACCAGTGCTTTAGGCTTTATCCGCAAGAGGCTTTATCTGAAGGAGGCTTTATCTGGAGAGAGGGTCTCCACAGAGGTCACTGATTTAAATTGAGGTCATTAGAGAGGGCACTGATCCAATAGGGCCAATGTCCTCATAAAGAGGAGATGTGGTGACAGAGGCAGACACAATTAGAGGGAAGGGGAGGTGAAGGACATGGGCGGAGCCAGTGCCTGCACTCCCAGGAGAGAGGCCTGGGACAGAACCCCCCACACAGCCTGAGAAGGACCCAGCCCCGCCCACACTGTGATCTCAGGCTTCAGCCCCCACTGCCGGGACAAGATCCGTTTCTGTGGCCTGAGCCCCCGGCCCTCGGGGCCTCTTTGCAGCAGCTCCAAGACACGGACACAAAGCTGTCCCACTCCCTGGCCACGCCTGCTTTGAGAACCACATGAACAGTACAGAAAATGATACAGAGTGTGAGACCAGGGGTGCAAGGCACCGTGGGGCCTGTTTGACATCCCAAGATTGCAGACCCCTAAGGCAGAGTGACACTTCCTGTCACCTGTGCCTGGGTCAGACTTCCCTGGCTGGAGGGAGGACGGGAAGGTGCCAGCAATGAAGACAGTGGTGATGCCATGAGGCCAATGATGGCGATCATTTGATAACCAGACAGAAATGTTGTTTCCCATCCTCCCTGCTGGCACTCAGCATAGAGTAAAATCACGCACAGGTACAGAGGAGGGCAGCCCCAGACAGCCACCTCCTCCTGCCACCTGCTTCCCTCCCCACCTGCAGGCAGGAGAAGTGGGGGGCAAGGCCACACACACTCACTTTTGAGCACATCCTCTGTGGAGACTTGGAGCTAGAGAGACAAGAGGGTCCTTGGCTAATGGCAGATGACACCTTAGAGAGGGGCCGTCTTCCAGGGATGCTGTGTCCAGCCCAGGCCACTGTCTGATTGGTGATGTCCCTCTAAAAAGCATAATGTGGCTGGGCACGATGATGCACATCTGTAATCCCAACACTTTGGGAGGCCGAGGAGAGCAGGTGGCTTGAGTTCGGGAGTTTGAGACCAGCCTGGGCAACAGGGCAAAACCCCATTTCTACAAACACACACACACATACACACATTAGCCAAGTGTGGTGGTGCATGCCTGTAGTCCCAGCTACTCAGGAGGCTGAGGTGAGAGGATTGCTCAAGCCTGGGAGGTCGAGGCTGCAGTGAGCTGAGATGGTGCCATTGCACTCCAGCCTGGGTGACAGAGCAAGACCCTGTCTCAAAAATAGGCACAAATATTTTAAGTTGAGCTTCAACTTCAAAATGCTCTCTTAGGGGTAGAATGCCATCACCTCCCCACCCAACCCCCGCCACCTGCAGACTCCCAACTTCACAAGTCTTCTGGGAAGTTCTCTGCTGTTTGGGAGTTTTCAGTGGCAGATGAAATTAGCAATTTGACCCCCTCCCACTGTATCTTAACGCAGCTCTGAAGGACCTCTACCCTTTCTGAGTGACTCCCTGGGCCCGTCAGCTCATCTAAATATACTAAACTCAGGGCTTCAAAATCAAGGCTAAATTTCAGAGGGCAAAATGTCTGATTGCAGGGCCATGGCAACTCACTGATCCCCAACATGCTGTGTTTAATGCAATCTGGGGGGCGGTGGATAGAGGGGCCCCTGCTTTAATTTTGAGTCTGCTACCTCCAGGCCCAACATGTCTTCAGGTATTTTTACTCTCAAAAATGTTTCCAATTGGAATGCAGTAAATTAGGACCATCTCCTTCGGCAAAAATGAGATCGAAAGGCATTTAGGAATCACTTTCAAAATCCCAAGATCTGAGGAGGAAGAAGGAGTTGAGACTTTCAAGGTTGAAATCCCAGCCATTCTAGAAGCGTGTGCTGTGCAAAGCATGCCTCTGATGTCGCCCCTGCCCTTCCTCGAGCGAGAGCTGCACGTGTGGACACTGATTCTTCTCTGCCAGAGCAGCTCCAGGGATGCCCTGGAGCCTTCCGAGTTTGCTGGGAAGGAGGTGGAGTGTCGGCGTCCCCAGCCCTCTCTCTGAACTGGGTGCTGGATGTAGCTTGCTTCCTGTTTCATGGTCTCGGTCCTGTTCTGGGGTCCTGATCCTGTTCCGTGATCCCGGTCTTCTACCTAAAACGTTTTATGCTAAAAGCTTTCCAGGCATAGATCCGTAGAAATTGAGGCTCACAACAGTGCCCCAGGCGGACTTGGGCCAGGACACTCTTTCAGAGAGGGTTTTTGGCTGTCTAACCCATTAATAGGTAAAAAAGGAAAAAAAAGGAGAGAAGTAGGTATTTAGGAGAAGGGGTAGGGCTTAGCACCCAGCATCACCCCCACTGTTTCAGCCGCCTCCCCTTGAAGGGTTCAGTTCCAAATGGCAGTTTTACTGCAGAGAAAACAAGCTTGGGAAGGGAGTGTGGACTTGACCTCGGTCACACAGCAAGATAACAGCAGAAACCAGGAAAGATCCATGGTCATCCAAAGCCAGGTCCCTGCTCCAAGGGAAGAACCAAGGAGAACCCAGAGCCTGCCTAAGACGGGAGGCCCAGGAAATCACAGCCCTTTGCAAACCCCCAATGCCTGCTATTCAAACACACCTTCTGGCCTCTCCATCATGCCCGACCTGGGACAAGAGAATCGGCTCATCCCAGAAGGATACTTGGCATAGCCATGCACCCCTGTCCTGCCTCTGCGACAGCAGCCGCTGCAAGCATAGATGGGAACCAGTTTGGTAGCTCCTCGCTGGCTCTAGGTGCCTGCAGCGTTGCACACGGTTGGCAAAGGGTCGGAGCCAGCTGCCTTTCCCTTGCTTCCTGCCGTTTTGGCATTGGCAGCTGTCCACGTGCTTTGTCCGGGTGTTTGGGTCTTTTCCCAGCATCACTGTGGAGCCTACAGAATCCACTGGGACAGGCTGCAGGTGGGACCCAGAGAGCGAGAGGCAGACGGCCTTTGCATAGCCACCCTGGGAGAAGTAGATGGAGAACTCTGTACAGAGCCTGTGCCTGGGCTCCTGCTCTCGGGGCAGGAGGACCAGCCGACCTGTGGAGAGGGGAGTTGTCTTTGCTTCCATCTGGGCCATGACAGCCAAGGCCAGGAAGGTGTCCGCGCCTGGGACCTGAGAGCCTCGGGGTGTTTGGCCCTTGGGGTTTGCATTCCAGGGCTTACAGCGAGGAGCCAGGGAGCTGAGATTCAAACCCAGCCAGTGCTGGTGAGGAGCGGCATGGAGGGGAGTCGAGGCGAGCTCTGCATGCTGACTCCAGAGCAAAGCCTTCCCTTTGAGCGCGGCTGAAACATTTGCTGCACTCCAAGCCATGGAGCAGTTGGGGCTGAGAGAAACGGGGACAGTTTGGGCTCTGTTTTTGCTGAATGTTGTCTCTCCTTCGGTTGTCTCACAGCTGAGGTTCACAGCACGTGTCATGCTGTGTTCCTGGAAGAAGCAGAAAGCCACTGTTGGAAACGTAATTTGGGTCTCAGTTTCCTCAGCTATAAAATAGGGATTAGAAACCTCAATTCTACCTTTCTTGTGGGTCTTTGTGACAACGAGTAAGATAATCTACATGAAAACATTTTGTATGGGATCTGATGATTGATTTTGAATAAAATAATCAGATAATGTGCAACATGCTTTGACACAGGTTCTTGCGCCTCTACTTCCCAGGCCCCTCAGTGGCGCCCACCTTTGTTGTAGCCCGGCGTGCGGGGGAACCGCCCAGCAAACCTTCGCAGAGCCTCCTGGGACCCGAGTGTCAGCTGAGGCTGGGACCTGTGGAGGACGGGGCCTTCCATGTAGAAGAAAGTCTGAAGGAGGAAGGGAAATGGCACCATGCTCCTCCCAGGTACACAGAAGACGCTTTGCGGAGCTGAACGTGCAGTGAATAACATAATCAATGAATTCCACAGTCAATGAGCAAAATACTCTACACAAACCTTATTTGCACTATGCACGTAAGGCACAATCTGCCTGTCCTCACCACGTACTTCACTCAGCTTCGGGGTGACAGCTTGGAATGAACAGATGACATCACACCGCTGCCCTGGTAACACAATGCTGAGGGCTTCTTTTGTGTTTGTTTTTAGCCATTTGATTAATTGTGAGGCGTCAGGACTAGTGCGTATAGGATGAGCCTGGGCCCACCCTCCTCAGGAGCTGGGCCAGACGGCCCTCCCCGACATCTCCCAAGGACCTGACCACTGTACCCTGAACTTTTCCCCTTCACACATACCTATTCCCACCCATTCAGTAAAGACATTCAAGGAAAATGTTTTCTCTGCACATACCCCAACTCCCAAATGTTCTTTCATTTCTGTTTCAAAACAGTGAGCATGCTGTTAACAGAAGCTTAGCTAAGCCACTGCACTCCATCCTCAGGTCTCCAGTGAGGGAAAGTCAGGTTTCAGGTGCGGAAGAGAAAGGGCACACATAGTCTCCCCTGCCTCCCAGACCCTCAGGAGCCCCCACCTTCCTGTGGCCCCTTGTTTGGGGAACAGCCCAGCTAACCTTCCCAGAGCCTCCTAGGAGCCAGGTGAGGCTGAGGCGGGGACTCACAGAAGACAAGGCCCTCCACGCGGATGAAAGCCTGAACCAGGAGTGGGATGGCAGAGTGCTCCTTGCAGGTGCTCAGAAGGGGCTTTCACAGAGGAACGTCTGTTTCTCGGGCTTTCCGGGAGCGGGGTCCAGCTAAGCTCAAGGCCAAGGAACTTCACAGAACAAAACTGCCCCCATCCTGCCCTCAGGAAGGATCAAGGCCTTATGCCGGGGGCCACAGTGTGGGGCGTCTCAGCCCTGGCTGGATTTGGGGGAGGTGACAGGGGCCGTGAAAGGACAGCCACATGTCCTGTCGTTTCCCAGGCTCTGCATGGCTGGGCGTGCAGGGTGGCCAGAGGCTGCCACCTTGCGTAGGTAGGAGCCAGGGGCGGGGCACAGAGGAGGGTGAGACTGCTTGAGGTGGGAAATGGGGGAGCAGGTGATCACCAAGAGGGGACGTGAAGAGGAGGGGGAGCAGACCAGTCTGGCTGTGGCGGGGGGAGGCGATGGCGCCAGCCTCCGTGAGCCACCAGGCAGGTGAGGCCTCTAGGTGAAGTGTTCAGGAGGCATTTGGAGGTTTGGATGTGGCCTTGAATGGATGTCCTGTGGGAAGGGAGGTGCATTTGGGGAGCCGGGGCAAGGTTTCCAGGCAGGTACTCTGGAGCAAGGGCTGCAGTGGCACGGCCGCCTAGGCAGCAGGATGCTGGAGCAGAGGGAGACACAGAGTGGCCTGGGAGAATCGCTGCATGAACCCAACATGGAGGGCGGGAGCAGGTGGCCTGAGTTGAGATGCAGGCAGCACCTGGCAGGTGTGGTCAGTGGTGAAGGAGTGTGGAGCCCCAGGCTCTGTGTGGGGTGCAGGATTGGGAGCAGCTGCAGGGGAGGGGAGGAGACAGATGCAGAGCTCTGTAACCCCAAGGAGAGCAGAGGGGTCTCTGCAAAGTCCAGAGGGTACAGGGGAGATGGGGGCCATGGGGGACAGCTGGTGGCCTGGAAGCAGGAGCGTGTGGGATGACCTCTCGTGCTGGCAGAGCTGGTGGATGGGGTGCAGCAGGAGGCTAAGTTGCACAAGGTAGGAAGCCTGGCAGGAGGGCCCATCTCTGGTGGGGGGTCTACAGGCCCGCGGGGCTGGAAGCAACAGGTTTCCCAGTTGTGCTGCCAAGTTCCCACTCAGGAACGTCTGAGTAGAACGTTCTCCACACCACAGAGGGGCACCGCTAGCTGGACACATGCCTCCTCCTGGGGTCCCAAGGTGTTTAAAGCCTCACGTTTCTAAGGGAGTCCTGCAGCAAGTGCTTCATGGACAGTGCACAGAGCTGTCCAATGCAGTCTCCATGGCCCCCATCACCTGGGAAGGCCTTCAGGGGAGGTGAGAATAGCTCTGGGTTGGGGAAGAAACAAGAAGGGGGCTCAGCCAGCATGAACCCTGGGACTCTAGCTGGGACCAGCTGCCTTTCTTCAGGGAGGCCTTCTGCAGAGCTGCCAGGGCAGCATGAGGAGCCCCTGGGAATGTGGAGGGAGCAGGGCACCCAAGGGCTCTCGGTCCCTGCTGCATCACTGAGCGGCTGGATCAAACTTCTCCTGAAGGTCTCCGAACCCGTGGCCTCTCCACCGAGGTGAGTGCATGGTCCTTATTACTTACCTCCATTTGGGCTGGATCTCCTGTCTGTTTACAACACAAAAAGTTCCAACGGACAGGGTGCTCAAAACTGCCACCAAAAATAGAGATCACATCACTGTTGCTAAAAACAGTCGTGTGTGCAGAATTTCAGGAGGGAGAACAAGGAAGCCTTTCTTGATATATTGGCATCCCAACAAACTACATCCAAACAGTAGCATTTCCAATGACACCAAAGAAAACAGGAACTGCTGCCAGGCTTGCCATCCTGGGAGTCCCAGGGAACGTGGCGACCGAGGGCTCACCTTGACCCCTGCCAGGTGTGGGCGGCCTCTGCACAGCCCATTCTCACTGCTGGAAATAGAGCAAATGAAGAGTTTTCTGATTTGACAAAACACAGCACAAAAAAACAACAACAGAAACAACAGCAAATAGCCCGAGTTTTCCTCCACGTCCCCATCTGTAAGGAAGCGACTGTAGAAACCAAACAGAACCAGCAGGGCCATTGGGGAAAGTAATGGGCTGATAAACGAGCAGAAAGGACCACCCAGGTGTTAGCTGTCATGCCGGGGGGCTATGTGGGTGCTCCAGGTTTTCAATGTCCAGAGATGAGAAGTTCCAGAAAGGTACTGGAAGCCGAGCCCAGCCCCCGCTCCTCAAGCTGGAGAGTCCTGGCCTACATTCTGCACGTCAGCGTGGCTGGACTGGCAGGTGTGAGGGCGCTCATTTCTGATGGACACGCCGGAGATAAGGCCCTTGAGACCTGTGCCCATGCCCTTCTTGTTCCGTGGGTGCCATTGCCACCACAATGCCCTCAACAGAACCCTAAACAAGGTGCGCCCAATGAGCAGCGTGCGGAAGCCCTGGAGGAGGTGCTGGTCTAGAACCCGGATCCCCACACCCTCACATCAGAGCAGAGTGCTCAAGCTTCCCACAAGGGTGGGGTAGGTCTTTATTCAGCACACAGCAGAGTGTTTTTTCTCATCTGTGTTTTTTTCTTTGGAAACAGACTTTCCACACAGGATGTGACTTCTTTACTTCTTAGTCTTGCTTCTTTAAAACTTGTTACTTCTTTAGTTTTGTTCGGATTTTGAAAACACATCGTTTTGATGCCAAGATTAACAAATGTGGCTCTTTATCATGTTGGAATTGACCCAACAATTCACAGATTTAAAAAAAAATAAGACAAGGCGAATCACGTTGGAAAAAGTTGCACATTCTTTTCGTCACATGGTCCTGCTGACCCCACAGGCCCAGTTCCTCCCACTGCCCATTCTTGGGAGTTGTAAGAATGAATAAAAAACAAAACCAAAGCTCCCTGCCTTCATTTTTATGTCCTTTGTGCTGACAGTGTCTTCCTGCCACAGCCCTTCTGTGTAAACAGCCAAATCTCTGTCCCTCCTCGTTGGCTGATTGGAGCAGGGTGAATGCTGGACCAGACGGCAGCCAACCGCTAAGCTGCCAAGGGCTGTGGCATGGGTGGCCTGGATCAAAAAGATGAGCTGGCCAAGTGGAGTCCTTCTGGGGACTGGGAAACACAGAGGCTGAGCTCACTGGCTGCAAGAGCAGAGACCAGGAGGATACCTATCTGGATTCAGCAGCAGGGGCCGGGGAGGCTGCAGTGTGTGAGCCCTGAGCAAGCTGGGGAGATGAGGGACCAGGACCTGTGAGGATGGAGAGGGAGCAGGCTGGCAGAGGAGCCCTGGAGGAAGCAAAGATGACCACACTGCCCCGGGAGCAGGTGGAGTGGGCAGTCACCCTTATTCCTGATTGCCTCTCTCCTTCCAGACCTTTTGTTTTACGGTACATAGCCTTGTCCAGACATCTTTTAGGGCCTCTCTCGCATCCTCTTAACCTGCCCATGTCCTGATGGTGCTTCACTAGGATGTCAGATGCTTCTCATCATCTGCCCAGGGCTCCTGGGCACCTGTCATGGGATAGAACTCATCTCTTCTGGGTCCCATAAGTGACAGCACAGGGGAGTTCACAGACCCTGGAGCAACTCTCCATCCATGGGACAGAAGCAGGAAGATAAATACCCCTCTTCCGCATCGTAGAGAAGGGGACAATTCTGACCCCATTGTCCATGACTGCTCAGAGGGTCCTCTGCATAACTAAGCCCCTGTTTCCAGCAGTGGCGACTGGCTCGGTGACACAGCCTTGGGTCAGCTTTCCCTCCTCCCTCCTTCATCTGCCCGGTCCCCCTAGTCCCTTTTCCCCTGGGAACTTAAAAAATGAGTAATCTATATAAAAGCTTGGCCTCAGAGTCTTCTTTGAGGGGGAAGCCAAGCAGTGGCACCCATGTTGTTGAGGGAACTTCAACGAATCGCTCTTATTTTGGACTTGCAACCAAAATAGCTCAATCTAGAAGGTCTTTTAAAAAGCAATTGAAACTTCCACTTCCAGGAAAATAGCAAACTAAGTTACTCAAATAAAATTCCTGCTGAAAACAAATTAAAATGCTGGAAAAATGTTTTTAATTCTTAAAAGCAATGAAGAGCAAACAAGATAGTAAGAAATAAACAGGCTAAACTATTTTTTAAAAAGTGGAATCCAGATAAAAATGAAGAATGTAAGCTGATAGTACTCCAAGGATATTTGAAGATCGAGGCAAAATTGGACTGCAGTAGCTTTGCTAGTCTACATGGTGCAGAGACCTCTCAAGATGGGGAGTCTAATGAGAGACCCTGTTCACATTGATCTGAGATCTCCCCCAACTGGACCACCACATTCTCCATACAACACCCAGGAGAGTTGAAGGAGAGGTACCTTCAAGGCACTGAGCAGAATACAGAGGAAAACCTACTTGTGACACATATTTGCACCCTACATTTAGATGCCTTTGGTGATCAAAACAAAAATGGAATTCTAAAAAATGTTCAGGTAACCCCCAAAAAGATGGAAAAAATGAAACAGAATCAACAAAAAAATAAAATAAAATAAAATGACAGACAAATCTTAATGCATCAATAATTACATTAAATGCAAGTGGTCTAAAAACACCAATAAAAGATAGAAATTGACAGGTTGGATTAAAAAACATTTCTCAACTACACACTGTCTACAAGAGACTCACTTCAAATATAATGATATGATAAGCAGATTGAAAGTAAAAAGATTTTTAAAAGATACTTTATGCAAACATTAATCCAAAGAAAGTAGAAGTGGCTATGTCGATATCAGATAAAGTAGATTGCAGAGCAAGTAAGATTACCAGAATTGGAGAGGAGACATTATATAGTAATAATGATCAATCCAACAAAAATACGTAGCAATCCTAAATGTGTATGCAGCAAACAACAGAATTGCAAAACATGGGAAGCAAAAATTAATAGAACTGAAAAGGGAAATAGACAAATCCACAATTATAGTTGGAGACTTCAAGTCCCTTTATCAACCATTGATAGAACTAGACAAAAGATCATCAAGAATATAGAAGAGCTCAAAACACCATCAACCAATAGTATGTGATCAATATTATTAGAGCAGTCCACCCAAGAACATCAGAACACATTTTCTTTGTAAATCCCAACAGAACATATATTAAAACAGACCACATCCTGGGCCATAAGACAAATTTCAAAAAATTCAAAAGAATGAAAATCATGCAGAGTGTGTGCTCCAGCCACAGTGCAATCAAACAGAAGTCAATAACAGAAAAACAATGGAGGAAAAACTCCAAAAACCTGGAAACAAAAAAGTCACGAAACCCCAAAACCACACATTGGTCAAAGAGAAAATCTCAGGGAAATTTAAAAAAGTAAATTGAACTGAAGGAAAATGAATATACAACATCTTAAAATTCATAGGACACAGCTAAAGCAGTGCTAAGAGGGAAATTTATAACACTAAAAGCATATATTAAAAAAGAAAAAGTCTCAAATCAATAATCTTTTTTTTTTAAATGGAGTCTTGCTCTGTCATCCAAGCTAGAGTGTGGTTGTGCGATCTCGACTTACTGCAGCAACCTCCACCTCCCAGGTTCAAGCGATTCTCCTGCCTCAGCCTCCAGAGTAGCTGGGATTATAGGTGAGCACCACCACACCTGCTAATTTTTGTATTTTTAGTAGAGACAGGGTTCCACCATGATGGCCAGGCTGGTCTCGAACCCCTGACCTCAGGTGATCTGCCCACCTTGGCCTCCCAAAGTGCTGGGATTGCAGGTGTGAGCCAACAAAAGGAAGAAAATAATAAAGATAAGAAAGAAAATCACTGAAATTGAAAACAGAAAAGCAATAGGAAAAATTAGTGAAACAAAGTGAGTGCCACTTTGAAAAGATCAATAAAATTGACAGAACTCTAGCAATGCTGACAAAAAAAATGAGAGAAGGCAGAAATTACCAATATCAGTAATGAAGCAGGCGATATCGCCACAAACTCTGCAGATATCAAAAGTATAGAGAGGGAATACTATGAACAACTCAACATAAATCTGTCAACTTAGAAGAAATGAACCAATTTCTTTATTTAAGATAAACCCAAGCCCACGATTTACCCAATATGAAACAAATCATTTGAATAGCCTGTACATATATTACAAAAATTAAATTCATAGTTTTAAGACAAAAAAACTTTATGCCTAGATAATTTCACTGAGAATTCTCCTAAACACTTAAATAGGAATTAACATTAATTCTACACAATCTTTTCTGGAATTAAAGAATAGGAGATAACAATTTATTTTATGAGGCTAACATTACCCTTATACCAAAACCAGACAGAGACAGTACATAAAACAGTATACTATAGACCAATATCTCTCATAAATATCAGTGCAAAAATTCTTAACAAAATATTGACAAATTAAATTCAACAATATATAGAAAGAATTATATACTAAGACCTAGTAGGATCTATTCCAGAGATACAAGGCTTGTGTGGTATTTGAAAATTTTAAATATGGTTCATTATATTAAAAGGCTAAAAAAGAAATCAATTGATTTATTAATTGCACAAAAACATTTTTAAAATAGGCAATACCCATTCATGGCAAAAAATAAGATTCTTAGAAAAATATGAACAGAGAAGGACTTACTCAACTTGATTAAAAGTGTCTACGAAAAACCTTAGCTACATTCTACTTGATGGAAAAAGACTGAATGCTTTCCCTCTAAGATTGGGAATTTGGAAAGGATGTGGACTTTCACCACTCTTACCTAATATATTGCTGGATGTGCAGAAAGAAAAGGAAGCAAATAAAAGGCATATATAATGGAAAGGAAAAAATGGAACTCCCTATTTGCAAATGGCATGGTTGCCTACATGGAAAATTCCAGGGAGTCTATTAAAAAAAAATTCTAGGACTAGTGAGTTCAGCAAGTTCACAGGTATAAGATAAACATACAAAAATCAATTGTATTTATATGTACTACTAACAAACATGTGTACACTGAAATTAAAAATACAATGCTATTTACAATTGTTCCAAAAACTTGAAATTCCTAGGTTCTAATAAATCACGTACAGGACTTGTATGCTAAAACCACACAGTGCAGATGACAGAAAACAAAGGAGATTGATATAAATGGAGGGACATACCATGTTCATGGATTGGAAGACTCAACATAGTAAAGATGTCTATTCTCCTGAAACTGATGTGCAGGTTTAACAAAACTTTGGTCAAAACCTCAGCAAGATTTTTTGTAGAAACTGACAATATTATTCTTGTCTATTCATCTGAAAAGGCAAAGCAATTAATAGCTAAAACAACTTGCAAAAGAATAAAGTGGAAGGAATCAGTCCATCCAATTTCAAGACTTATTGTGTAGCCAAAGTAATCAAGAGTGTATGACATTAGCAGAGGGAGAGACACATAGATCAATGGAACAGAACAGAGAACCCAGAAGTAGACGCACACCAATAGATCCAACTGATTTTTTAAAGAGGTACAAAGACAATTCAAGGAAGGAAAGATAGCCTTGCACTATATGGTGCTGGAGCAATTGGACATCAAAAGGCAAAACATGAACCACAGCCTAAGTCTCACTCCTTATAAAATATTAACTCAAAATGGATCACGGACTTAAATGTAAAACCCAAAACTATAAACGTTTAGTGGGAAGTGGGGGGAACAGAAGAGAAAATCTTTGAGTCTAGGGCTAGGCAAAGCCTTCTTAGACTTGACACCAAAAATCCAAGCTATCAAAGGAAAAATTAATAAACTGGACCTCATCAAAACCTTAATACTTTTTCTCTGTGAAAGATCCTGTTAAGAGGATGAATAAACAAATTATATACCTGGAGAAAATATGTGCAAACCACATATTTGACAGAAGAGAAGTATCAAGACTATATAAAGACCTCACCACTCAATAGTAAAAAAATCAATTCAAATAGAAAATGGGCAAAGAAGGAGCACAGACATTTTACAGAAAACAATCTACAGATTGCAAATAAGTATGTGAAAATATAGTCAACATTATCAGCCACTGGGGAAATACAAATTAAAGCCACAATATCGTTTCACACTTATCAGAATGGCCGAGTAAAAACAGTGACAACCCTAAATGCTGGTGGGAATGTGGAGAAACTGGATCATTTATACATGTCTGGTGGACTATAAAATGATGCGGCCACTCTGGAAAACAGTTTGGAAGTTTCTTAAAATACTAAACATTCTGAGGTGGGCAGATCACTTGAGGTCAGGAGTTTGAGACCAGCGTGACCAACATGGGGAGACCCCATCTCTACTAAGATACAAAAAACATTGGTCAGACGTGGTGGTGCACACCTGTAGTCCCAGCTACATGGGAGGCTGAGGCAGGAGAATCACTTGAACCCAGGAGGCAGATGTTTCAGTGAGCACAGATCGCACCACTGCACTCCAGCCTGAGCAACAGAGCTAGACTCCCATCTCAAAAAAACAAAACAAAACAAAACAAAACTAAACTAAACATTCAATACTATATGATCTAGCAATTTTACTCTTGAGCAGCATTTATCTGAGAGAAATGAGAACTTATATTCACACAAAAACCTGTACATAAATGTTCATAGCAGTTTTTTCATAGTGGCCAAAAATTGGAAACAACAGAGATTTTCTTCAAACGGTGAATGGTGAGATGAGGTGTGTGTGCTGCATCCTTGCCATGGAATACTATGAGGCAATGAAAAGGAGCGTGTATTGAACACACAGAAACCAGGGCAAACCTCCAGAGAACTGTGGTGAGTGAAAACAGCCAGATCCAAAAGACCACATGCCGCATCATTCCATTTACATAACGTTCTTGAGGTGGCAGAATTGTAGACATAGAGAACAGATGAGCAGTTGCAAAGAATTAGGGTGGGGGTGCTGGGCGTGGTGGCTCACCTGTAATCCTAGCATTTTGGGAGGCTAAGGTGGGCAGATCACCTGAGGTCTGGAGTTTGAGACCAGCCTGACCAACATGGAGAAACCCCGTCTCTACTAAAAAAAAAAAATACATGTGTGTGGTGGCACATGCCCGAAATCCCAGCTACTCAGGAAGCTGAGGCAGGGGAATTGCTTGAACCTGGGAGGCGGAGGTTGCAGTGAGCCAAGATCATGCCATCGCACTCCAGCCTGGGCAACAAGAGTGAAACTCCATCTCAAAAAAAAAAAAGAATTAGGGTGGAGGATGGAAAGTGGGTACGGCTGTAAGATGACAATGCGAGGGACCCCCACGATAAGGGACAGTTGAAGAATGGAATGGTGGCATATTTTGACCATGTCAATGTCAATTTTCTGGCTGTGAGGCTGCACTGTCGTTTTCTAAGATGTTACTATTGGCAGGAGCCGAGTGAAGCACGTGGGGATCTCCCTGTATGATTTCCTAGGGCTGCATACGAATCTACAATTATCACAAGATAAAAAGGTTGATTAAAAACAAGCAAAAGTACACAAAAGTAAAAGTTTATGAAGATGATACTCTTGTGTGTGAAGTTACCTCTGCTTGTTACTGTGTGAGAGCAGGGACCGACCAGGGTCAGCGTGGGGACCCGTGTTTAGTGGCAGCTGCAACCTTTAGCTGGGCACTGCTCTTCGCTTGGTCCTCGGCATCCCCCTTCTACGTGAGAAATGAAAGCTCTCCAGACTTGAAGAGAAACCCCCAGAACCCTCTCCGCTTTCTTCTTCCATGTTGCAGGCATGGTCTGGGTGCCTGTACTTGTTAAACTCATAACCATGCTTCTTCTCTATGCTCTTCATGAGACACAAGAGACGAGGGTGCAGAGCTGGAATTTGCCTTCCTGCCTAATTGCATGTCTCTACCCACTGCAACTCAAGCCCTGTGATGGTCTGGCCACTGTCTCCTTTATTCCCTGCTGGACTCTGGTTCCTAGTGTGGCAATTAGCATGTTGCATCTGCCCAATCAAGTGCTGAATCCATAGACCCACAGCAAGTCCATCTTGGTCCAGTGTAGCAGCGAGCGCTGCCATTCCCTGGGCCAGGGCTCAAGCGCTGATGGGGCCTCCCTGTGTGTGTGCAGCACAGGTGTGCATTTGGTCCACGTTTCCAGCATACTCAGCCTGTTCTACCACATCGGGCCCACCCTCAATTGGTAAACCACAGTAATCTGTGAATGCAAAGTGCACATGTACAGGTGAGTGCAGTGAGTCCCAGAGGCACACAGAGGTGCAAGTCACACTCTGTGCCCCAGAGTCCCCCTGCTTCCTGTCTCAGTAATTTGAAGGTCAACCCTTCCCACTCCCTTCCCATCAAGCTACCTTCCCTGTTCTGTGATAAAGCCCTGTATTTCCCACGGTATTTCCTTACACGTTAGGAGTCTAAGATGTCTCTGTGACTGTGTTGGTGCATGGTCATGCCTACCATTCTCGGGTTAATGCCTTGGTGACGGCATTTGGGACATGCTACCCTGTGGGCTCTTTGTGCCCTCTGCAAGGTAAAACTTGCAGCCCTCAGAAGTCACACCACTGCCCACCAAGCCTATCCTAAAAAAGCACCATGGAGGCTGGGCGTGGTGGCTCACACCTGTAATCCCAGCACTTTGGGAGGCCAAGGCGGGCGGATCACGAGGTCAGGAGATCGAGACCATCCTGGCTAACATGGCGAAACCCCGTCTCTACTAAAAACACAAAAAATTAGCTGGGCGTAGTGGCAGGCGCCTGTAGTCCCAGCTACTTGGGAGGCTGACGCAGGAGAATGGCGTGAACCCGGGAGGCAGAGATTGCAGTGAGCCGAGATCGTGCCACTGCACTCCAGCCTGGGCGACAGAGCGAGACTCCGTCTCAAAAAAAAAAAAAAAAAAAAAAAAAAAGCACCGTGGAACAACAACTGGGTATTTCCTGTGGGCTATGCCTTGTTGAGTTTCCTGTTCTGCGTTAACGCCATAGTCCTCTGCGCTGGTGCCATCACCATCCGCATCATCTGTGGGTAGAGGACCTGGGGCCCACACAGGCTGGTCCCTGGCCAGGCGTTGTATGACTGGCAGAAGCGAGGCCTGAAGAGTCCTTGCTCTTAATCTCTGTGTTCCCGCCTTGATTTCCCCCTGGCTCATTGTACTTTCACCTTCACCAGCTTTGAAACATTCAGCTACCATTTGGTTGTTCACAGGTTTGGAAGAGAATACTACTTCTTCCTGAACAGCACGCTGGCTCTGTGTGCTCAAACCATTCCACGGGGAACCCGGGTGAAGACAAGCTGCCTTGTGCAAGGCTAATATGTCTTCTGTTGCCCAAATGGAGGGCTGAGGGTCCCTGTGCACACCCACAAGCTGCCTCTGCGGAGCTTGGCTGGAACGCCTGCACGTGGGACGTGCATTGCAACGAACTGCAATGTGCTTCCTCTTAACTGTAAATTGAGAACAATGGATGCTCCACCCCCAAATCTCGACTCCCCCAGGAGCCTCAAGCTGTGGGTCCTTGTGGCCCAGCCAGGTGGCAGTTGGCTCTGCAGCCACAGTGTCCAGACATGGCAGGAGGACCCAAAGCCACTCATGACGGGGAGAGCAAATACATGTCTGGGTGTCTTCCCATCTTCGTATGCCATTTCTAGGTCAGGTTGCAAATCATTTCTGCTTTGTCCACTTTCCCCAATGTGTTACGGAAGTGAATGATCCTCTGTGCTCCTTCTCTACCACCCAAGCTCTCAAGCAGAACTGGGCCAGCCAAAACGGCCTTGCGTGGTCGGGGCCAGCTGGAAGAGGTGACTTCCCACCCGGGTGGCGGCTGAGCTGGGGAGTCCAACAGCTCCCTTTGCTCAGGCTTCCGCTGTTTTCCTGGGAATCTAAACCCTGGAGGGCCCAGCAGGTCTGTCAGCCTCTGGTGGGGTGACCCCATGAGGAAGCATGCCTGCCAGATGTCCCTGCCAGCTCTTCCTGCGAACACACACCCAGAGCCTGTGCAGGAGTGTCCACACGCACGCACGCACACACCCATTAATCAGGGCTCGCCTCTATCATCCCTCTGACCTCCCGCCAAGGCTGCCTTGGTTGAGGCGATTCCCATTGCATGAGGACCGGGATGCTTTCTGAGGGCTGGGAGGGTTTTCGTCAGTTGGGTTCGGTCCAGCATGAGTCACTGTCCGCCTCTTCTCATTAATTAGTGTTCTGGGAGTTGCTGGTGTAACTCTGGTGAAGTCTAGAGAAATTAATCAAAGTATATCTTACACTTGAAACACAGTGAGAACCACCATCCGGCCAAATCCCCCAGCACTGGCGCATGGACAACTCGAGATTTCCCTCCTCTTCTTTTTTTCTTTTTTTTAAATTAATTTGCAATGTCCCACATGCTTAACACTTGCCTTCCTCCCTGGATCTGGCACTATTATCTTTAGTATTGTTTTTCTGGCAGTTTTTATGCTTGTTTTTCCAACTATGGCAATTTCTCAATCCACTACATACCATCCCTCTCAATAAAACAGTTCTCATGGAACGCAGCGGCCCAGAAGGACTTGGCCAAAGGCCTCTCCTGGGACACAGCCCTGTCTGTCTGCACACTCCCTGCGCCACCTGGGTCATGGTCACCCCAGATACAGAGGAGAGGCTTCCATCCACCACTCATTGAGCCCCCGACCCTCTGCTGATCTTGAGCTTGTATTCCAGCCTCGACGGGAGCTACTCTGGGAGGTGTTTCTAGTGTGATGATCATTACATCCCAAATAGCCCCCATTTCACTTAAGAGGCTGAATGGACAAATGGACAATGACCAGGCCATATGTGAAAACAGAACCCTGAGCCATGACCTGCAGTAACAAGCCCTAGAAGCCCACCCATCATCCAGTCACCAGCCCAGGAAGCCCACCCATCACTCATGGTCACCAGCCTGGGAAGCCCACCCATCATCCACAGTCACCAGCCTGGGAAGCCCACCCGTCATCTACAGTCACCAACCTAGGAATCCCATCCATCATTCACAGTCACCAGCCCATGAAGCCCACCCATCATCTACAGTCACCAGCCCTGTAAGCCTACCCATCACTCATGGTCACCATCCTGAGAATCCCATCCATCATCCACAGTCACCAGCCCTGTAAGCCCACCCATCATCTATAGTCACCAGCCCGGGAAGCCCACCCGTCATCTACAGTCACCAGCCTGGGAAGTCCACCCATAATCTACAGTCACCAGCCTATGAAGCACACCCACATCTATGGTCGCCAGACTAAGAAGCATACCCATCACCCACAGTCACTAGCTTGAGAAGCTCAACCATAATCCACAGTTGCCAGGCCGAAAAGCCCACCTATCATCCACAGTCACCAGCCCAAGGAACCCATCCATCATCGACAATAACCAGCCTATGAAGTGCACCCATCATCTACAGTCTCCAACCTAGAAAGCCCATCCATCATACACAATCAACAGCCCGAAAAGCCCATTCACCATCTACAGTCACCAGCTCGAGAAGCCCACCCATCATGTACAGTCACCAGCTTGGGAAGCCCACCAATCACTCAGTTACCAGCATGGGAAGCCCACAGATTATCTACAGTCACCAGCCAAGGAAGCCCACCCATCATCTACAGTCACCAGCCTGAGGCCAGCCTGCTTGTTCTACAGCTAATCTGGAAAGCTAAACAGTAACTTCTGTAACAATTGGCCCCAGGTGGCCAGGGCTTTATTAATAACTGATCACTTCCCTAATTTCTCTCTCAACTTCCAACTTCGGACCAACCAGAGAAAGTCGAATACGCCCTTAACCAATCACATAGGATCCCTGCTTCTAGTGAGCCACCTCCAGCTCCCCCCAGCCAACAGCTTCCAGGCAGGGCACACCTGAGCCTCCCTTCTTTCCCTGCGAAGCTTCTCCTCTCCACTGCCTGCCTCCCAGTCTCCGCCAGACACAAAGGATGGTGGCAGGTTCTGAGCAAATGGTTGTGGTTCTCACCTGGGTCATCTGTTTATTTCCATACACTCTGCATCACATGAGTCCTGCTTTTTCTGAGGTGCAGTGTGCCTGGTGCTCCTCGGGGACACAGGAGGCTCTCCTTCTTTCTCCTTGAAGCTCATCAAAAGCTCTGAACCCCCTCCCCTGAGGCCCCCACAGTTCCCTGTAGATGTTCCTACGCAGCATGGGCTGGCTCCAGCCCAGGCTCTAACTGTTTTGAGGGGCATTGGTGGCTTTGTAGAAGGCCTTACATGGTGGCGTGGGGCCAGAAAGTGGGTGGCAAGGGCCTCCCGTGGCTTGTGCCAGCCATGTCCTCGGATAGTGCACTTGACCACTGGTGGCCAGGCCTCCAGCCTCGCCTCACTCCAGCTCTCCCGCGTTAGATGTGCTCGGGACACCTTGATTTTACCCTGCCTGTGCTCAGCCCAGCCCCAAAGGCTGGAATGACTTTCCTGCTTCCCCCATGTGGTCACTTCTTATACCTTCCAAGACTCCTCTTCCAGGAAGCCCACCTTGAGCTCAGACAGGTCTCTGTGGGCTCTCATTTGTCCACAGCCCACGTGTGTACTGCTCATCTATACATGGACCCCATTATGGAATCCTTTTCTCCCACTAGACTGAAGCCCTCCCAGGTACGGACTGCATTGACCCATCCCTGCATCTTCAGCCACAGCAGGTCCCAGAAGACAGTGATATACAGGGGTGGACCCTTCCAGCCAGGAGCAATGCTGCAGCCATGATGCCAACTGCTCTGCAAAGATCACTGGACAAAGGAAGTGGAGGGTATGGACCACTGGAAGGCAGAAAGGCATTCGGACAGAGGCCCAGCTGGGCCCCACAGGCCAGGGCAGAACGGAGGAAGGCCGAGTCATCAAGAAAGGAACTATTCCTGCCACGAAGTCTCCTTAAGAAGGCAGAGTCCACGAGGATTTCCACCCAAAATGATCAACTGTCTGTATGGTTTAGTGCTTAGAAGGATTTAGATTTCCAGGTGTCTTGAGAGGGATTCCCCAGCACACTAGCATCCAGGGGTGAGCACAGAGGTTTTGTCCAACCTGGGTCACCTCTGTAAATGAAAGGATATTAACAATGACACGGGGACAATGGGCCTAGGCTGAAAGCATGTCACCTACCTATTGGGTCACCCTGAGTAAATAGATGAGCTGCTCACTGTGGAGTTAGAGTAACTCTGTGGACCGTTAAGAATACAAACTTTACTTTGAAAATTGAGACCAAATCCCTAGCATTGGCTTCAGCAGTTGCACAGAAGTGGGCAAGGATGGACGTGTATGTCCTGGAAGTGCTCCATCGCAGGCACAACACAGGCTGGGTCCCCAGAGCAAAATGCAGCAAGCAGAAGCTTTCGGCTGAGCTCCTGTTGCTGGGTGAAGGAGCCCTTCTTCCCCATCGGACGTCCATGAGCCAGGAAGCCCAGGAGCTTGTAGCAACTCAAGCCGGACAAGGAACAGGATCTCCTAGAACACGACCCGGCTCTGATCCGGAGGCCTGGAGATGTGCAGCCCCGGAGGCAGCTCCCGGGATACAGGCATGGATACTCTCCTTAGCACAGCATCAGCAGAGCAACCGGGAGGCCCTTCTGGCTACTGGGAAGGAGGTGAACACAGTGAACGGGCCAGAGCAGGAAACAACCAAGGTGGAGGGCAGCCCCCATGGCGCCTGTATGGATGGGTGGTACTGTGGCCAGGGAGCCTGCCCGCGGCAATGCCTGGAAGGAGCCGGCTCCTCCTGCAGAGCCAGGTGAAGCAGAGGAGCTTCGCGCTGCCCAGCACTGGTGAGGTGACGCTGGTGGTGCCCACGAGCTGCTCGTTTCTGACCACAGTTGGGTGACATTTTTATGTCCTTCTCCTCCACAATGTAATCATTCTAGAAGATGTTGTGTAATCAGAGCTTCTATTGTCATTACCTGTCAACAAGATACTACTCCTCCTGGGTACCTCTTTCCAAGCCCTGCTTAAGGAAGCCATGTTTCCCAGCTGGTCTCTGCTCTTCCTCCATCCCCTGCTCACGGCCAAACCCCCAGAATAATAATTTTGTGTCTTAAATCATTTTCAAGTTTTCTAATCACATGACATATATCTCAAAGAACGCCTAGAGGCAAATTATATGCCATAAAAATGACTCGTTCCTTAAAAGGGTAAGATCAGCCAGATCACCTACCACATACACCGGGCTTCCTGATCATTTTTTTTTTTAATTTGAGGGCAGTCATTCTCGACCAGGAATGACTTTTTTTTTCCTTTGGGATATTTGGCAAAGTCTGGAGACATTTTTGCTTGTCACGACTTGGGGGGAAATAATGTTCCTGGCATCTGGTGGGAGGAGCCAGGGTGGGCGTGGAGCACCCCACAGTGCACAGGGTGGCCCCTGGCACAAAACGTGAGCCAGCTAGGAGCATCACAGCGCGTGGTCAAGAAGCCTTGCTCTAGGTTAATTCTGAATACCCCTCTAATTTGTTTTGTTTGGACGAGCTCTTCGTTTTAGTGACTCATTTAAGTTTTTCTCATATATAAATCCATCTGTTTCTACTTGTTATGTTTCCCTCCGATTTTCTTAGATTTTCTTATGATCTTAAGATCATAGGTTGCAGACTCCGTTTGATCCTTTTCTTTTCTTATTTTGATAAAGAAGATATTCAAAGGCCTGGAAATCTTTTTAAGTGCTGTTGTGATCCTAACCATTTCAATTCCATTTTAAGTGTGATTGTTCCCTGGTCTTCATTTCCTCCTTGATCTGTTTGTTTCCTAGGAAAGTCTCCTTCAGGACCGGTGGTCGGGGCACAGTGCTGGCACGTTTGTCACTAACGCACGTTTTACTGCCTCATGTGCCTCTGTGTGTCTGTCGACGTCTCAGCATTCTTGTGCACGGTCAGTTTGGGGACCTGTTCTACAAGAACCCTATTTCATTTTCCCTCCCCGTCTATTAACTCTACCCCAGCAGTGATTCTGATTTAGATTTTATGACACTTTACGGAATGGGGCAGAGACAGACGACTTAGTATCTCTGCCCCTCTCCCTCCGCCCTCCCTGGTTCACTCAGCCACTTCTAATCAGGCCCTGCTACGTCTGGGTCCCACCACAGATCCTGCTCCCAACTGGGCTGTCTGATTGGGCTCAGGCCCAGGCCATCCTGCCAGTCTCCACCAAAGTCAAGGCCCAACTGGAACAGCGGACTGGGATGCTGAGATATGGACTGGGAATAGCCAAGTCCATGCACATGAAAATGTGGGAACCCTGGATGCCCTGACCCACTGGAGCTGTGGACATGCCCCCTCCTCCCTGGTTAAAACCTAGGGCTCTGCCCTTGCTTGGGGAAGACACAGAGGCCTCTGCTTTACAAGACAGCACACACACACACACACACACACACACACACACACACACACACAACACCCCACACAAAGGATTAATCCCCACCTCCCCTCCTGGTCACCAGACAACAAGTGGATTTGAGGGGCAACATCACCCGACCAGGGCCTGCAGGGCTGCAGGGGGAGGAAGGGGCCACACGCCGAGCTGTGGAGTCACAGGAACGTGCCAGTGAGGGGGTGCCAGTGTCCCTGAGCTCCGTGGGGTGCATCCTCTTTAGGCCAGGGAAGGTTGGGGGGATGCTATTGCAGAAGGGGGCTCCCAGGCAGAAGTGAAGATGACAGAATCCTGGAATGTTAGAAGCTAGCTATGGCACTTCTCTATCAGCCGCAAGGTGGGCACAAGCATGGCAATGAGTGGCAAGTTGGAAGGGAGCCAGGAAGGCCTTTCCCCCTAAGAACTATGAGGTGGTTAACAGATATGGCACATCTGGGGCAAAACAGACAGGCAGCCAATAGATGTTCCCAATAAAAGTCATGATCTTGGCCGGGCGCAGTGGCTCCTGCCTGTAATCCCAGCACTTTGGGAGGCTGAGACAGAAGAATGGCTTGAGGCTCGGAATTCAAGACCAGCCTGGGCAACATAGTAAGACCCTGTCTCTACAAAACTGTAAAATAAAAATAAAATAAAATAAAATAAAAGTCATGATCTCTTGCCCATCATATGTGATGTAGAGGAAACACATTGTACTAGGAAAAGCTCTGGATTGAGATTCAGAGAATTCAAAGGTGAGAGATGGCAGATCCCTGATGACCTGGCTTTGAAATCAGGCTCTGCCATCTCATGGCTGGGCTATCTTGGGGCCAACACTGAGACTCAGTTTCTTCCTCAGAATGCTGAGTGTCTTAGTCTGTTTTCTGTTGCTTACAATAGAACACCTGAAACTGGGTAGTTTATAAAGAAAAGGAATTTTTTTTTAAGTTATGGAGGCTGAGAAGTCCAAGGTTGAGGGGCTTCATCTGGTGAGGGCCTTCTTGCTAGTGGGAACTCTTTGCAGAGTCCTGAGGTGGTACAGGCCATCTCATGGTGAAGGGGCTGAGCATGCTCGTGTGCTAGCTCAGGTTTGCCTTATAAAGCCACCAGTCCTACTCCTGTGATAACCAATTGATCCATTAATCCTTGGATGGATTAATCCATGTATTAGGGGAAAGCCCTCATGACCCAATCACCTCTTAAATGTCCCACATCTTAATACTGGCACATTGGGGATTAAATTTCGACAGAATTTTGAAAGGGACAAATATCCAAACCATGGCACTGAGATAATATTAACGGCCACTACCCCACCCTTCTTACATGGTGGTTGTGAGCAGCACATCTGGTCATCCATAAGACCACATCATGGACACTCCAGGACAAGGACAGGCCCAGACCTGTCTTTCGACCCCACCAGTTGCTGCTGGCCTAATGCCTGCCAGAATCTAGATTCCAAATGTCATGGGGCCTAGACAGTTCAAGGACACACCTTCCCAGAGACCAAAAGCCCCTTCCACCTTTTTTATTTTTAAGCAAGGGCTACTGGTTGACAGGAACTGATCCCCCAGCACCATGGCCACAGCCCCACCCCTGGCTGCAAGCTCTTGAGTTTTTTGCAAGCGAGAGCTGGGCTGACATCCTGGTTGTTGGTTTTCTTTCCATGTAAATTCAGTTCTTGCCTCCCTTTATCCTTGATGTATGTCTCAGAGAATTCTCCAGGAAGAACAATTTTCTGCCAAGCACTAGAGCAAAATCTGGATTTCACCTAAGATTTTATAGGGAAGGGCAGAGGACTCCTGCAGCCTACCCAGAGGATACCCTCCAGCCTGCCTTGCTCTCTGGTGCCACCAGCAGGCAGGCCCCACTCTGCACTTCCCTCCTTGGCCGTGGTTCACTGCTTGTCCCTGTAACAGGGCTGTGGCCTCAGCCCTGCAAAACCCAAGCAGCAACACACGAGCCTTGGAGGAAACCCTGCTGGCCTCTGCTAAACCAGCAGCTTATTATTGCCAGTTACTTACTGGTGCTAAGTGTGCCCCTGAGGGTCTCATCGCCCACCCAATCTGGTTATCCTGTTCCCACCAGCTTCATAAACGATGTCCCCTAAGAAAAGATTGAGTAAGTACCACTTTCTCCATCTTGGTCTGTTATGGGATCTTTAGGGTGTTGCTTTTCTGGCCAGAAACCTCTGTGGCCAGTGGTACCTTTGCCCGAGTTCTTGTCCTGTGTCCAGGAAGAATGAGGTACACAGACAAGTAGAAGGTAAACAAGATGAAGAGGAGTTTTATTGAGTGTTAGAATAGCTCAGAGGAGACCCACAGTGGGTAGCTCCTCTCTGTGGGAAGGTCGTCCTGTTGAGTGTTCAGTTCTCAGCAGAGAGGAGGCCCTGGAGTGGGCGGTTCCTCTCTGCAGCTGGTTATCCTGTTGTCTGCCGCTATCAGCAGAGATGGTAGCTCCTCTTTGCAGCTAGTCATCCATCCTTTCTGTCATCTCTCTGTCCTCTGTCCTGCTCTGGCTGAGCCTGGGGCTTTTTTGGGCCTCAGAGCAGGGAAGTGCATGCTGATTGGTCCACAGGCAGCCATGCATGGGCCCAGGAGAAAGCACCATGATGTCCCCCTCTGGTCCTCAGAACTGGCAGCCCAGCCCCCAGGCTTTATGCCTGCCCTGGCCTGAAGCTGGGGCTTCACTGGGGACCCTCCCCCTTCTGCCCAGGAGCCTGTCTGCCTCCCGTGGCCATTCATGGCACCCAGGTTGCTGGCACCAAGGGGCACCTGCAGGCCAGTGCCCAGCTGCCCTCAACTCTCCTTCAGCTTCTCCTCCCATGCTCCTCAGTGCCCAAAGTCCAGAGGGGGCTGAAGGGGCAGGGGGCTGGCATGTCAGCACTGCCCCAAGTGTGTGCACACCTGGTTGGGCTGTGAAAGTGCCTGGGCTTGGCCCCACCTCTGCTCTGAGATCAAAGTGGGTGCCAGGAGTGGGGAGAGGCTAGGCAGCAGGACCAGAAACCACTGAGCCTGCAAGGACAAGGGTTCCTTCCCAGGCCCCCTCAAGAGTGCCTTCCCAGGCCCCCCCAAGAGTGCAGGGATGCCTAGGTCTGCAGCCCCAGTTTGGGTGGCTACAGCTGTGCCTGGGGCAGGGGCGGGGCTCCTGCCTGCTCTGCAGAGCGGGATGCCCAGATCTGCAGCCACAATTTGGGCGGCTGCAGCCCCCTCTCAGGAGGGCAGAGCCCCTGCCTACTCAGTGGAGCAGGAGGCCCAAGTCTGCAGCCACAATTTGGGTGGCTGCAGCCCCCCCTCAGGAGCACAGGGCCCCTGCCTGCTCAGTGGAGCGGGAGGCCCAGGTCTGCAGCCACAATTTGGGTGGCTGCAGCCCCCTCTCAGGAGGGCAGAGCCCCTGCCTGCTCAGTGGAGCGGGAGGCCCGGGTCTGCAGCTTTGGGCAGCCGTGCTTAGGGCAGAGTTTGCAGCAGCACCTGGGGAGCTCCCATCCCAACTTGGAAGAGGTGGGGCTCTCACTTGTCTCCAGCTCCCGCTGGTTCCACAGAATGTGCAACCCCAGCTGCACCTCCCTGTTGCAGCTGATGTGATGGCAGCGGCAGGCCGCGTGGCACAGCCACTGCCATCAGTACTAATACAGGTAAAATAGATATGCAGCAAATTAGGTACTTACCATAGTGGGTTGAAGAGTAGCCTGCCCTGCAAATTCATGTCCACTCAGAACTCAGAGGGCAACTTTATTTAGGAATAAGGTCTTTACAGATGTAATTAAGGTGATAATCTTGAGATCAGATTATCTGCATGCGGGGTAGGCCTCAAATCTCATCACTGTTGTCCTTATAAGAGGAGAAGAGGACACAGAGACACAGAGGGAAGGCCGTGTGAAGACAGAGCAGAAGGCAGAGATTGGAGTGCTGCAGCCACCAGCCAAGGAGGGGCGGAGCCACCCAAAGCTGGGAGAGGCAGGAAGGAGCCTCCCCAAGCCTTCCAAGGGAGCACGGCCCAGCCCACAGCTTAGTTTTGGACTTCTGTTCTCCAGAGCTGTGAGATAGTGAGTTTCTGTCATTTTACGCCACCCAGTTTGCAGTTACAGTGGCCCTAAGAAATTAATACCCAGGCACACACAACCAAATCCACAAACAGGATGGACAAGGCCCCCTCAGACATCGATGAAAGCTCCGTTTTGGCCCTGACTGGTTTCTCTTCCTCTTCCCTGGTGTGGTTAACCTCACTGACTGGTCCCAGCTTCACCTCCAGCTGTTGGTTACACTCCCTGACCCACACTGTTTCCCAATGGACTGAGGATTTCTAGATTATTCTCCATGGCTGTGAACATTTTCAGAGTTTGCAGTTCATTGTCAGCTAAATGCAGATTGAACTCTGAGTCCGAGATCACACCTGGCAGGTGCTCTCTGCAGAGTCACCCACTCTGAGCGCCGCCCAGGAAGTGTTGGTCTCCAGAATGCTCTGCCTCTCTGCAAGATGAAAAGAGTTTGAAAGACCTTCCCAACATGAGTCAGAGATAGAAGGATGTCCAGGCATCGTCACTCTTGAGTCCTCCCAGTTACTCAGCACCAGTCACACCATGACCACATCCTGGGCTGCTGGACCCAGCTTCCCCTCCCCTCCTATGGCCATCCCACTCCCTCCTCCACTCCTGTCCCCACCTCTCCATCCTTTACCACAGCAGTCTGGAGCAAGGTTTGCTGTGAAACTGTTTCTTTCTGTATGTGGCCAGTAAAAGCACTTTAAAAATTTGTTGAGTTTTAAAAATTGGGTGATTTTTCATTGTAAGTTGTGTGCAGTATTCCATTTGTCATCCCTGAGGAGGGATCAGAATGTCTGGACTGAACACTTGCACGACATTAGATTAGCTCATCATTGGTGCTGTGGCTGAGGCTAGCTCACCATTGATGTGCAAATGAGGCTAGCTCACCCTCAGTGTGTGGATAAGGCTAGCTTACTTCTGGAGCTGTGGATGAAGCTAGTCACCGTTGGAGCCACTGATGAGGCTAGCTCACTGTTGGTGCTGGTGCTGTGGATGAGGCTAGCTCACCATCAATGTACGGATGAGGCTAGCCCACTGTTGGAGCTACAGATGAGGCTAGCTCACTGTGGAAGCTATGGATGAGGCTAGTTCACCATTGCGTGTAGATGAGGCTAGCTCACCCCTGGAGCTTTGGTTGAGGGTAGGTCATCATTGTGTGTGGATAAAGCTAGTTCACTGTGGAAGCTGTGGATGAGGCTAGCTCACCCCTGCACCCATGCCTGAGGCTGGTCACTGTTGGTGCTATGCAGGATTCCATCCTCATGCCATTCTGAAGGGGGCAGATTCTCCCCCTGGAAGCCACCTGCAGGGTGAGGGAGCACTGTCTCCCAGGTGGTTTCCTGGCAGGGACGGCTCCACTCTGCATCCAGCCTGGCTGTGCACCAGCATAGCTCACTGTGTTTCTTTCCTCTAAGATCATCCCCGCAGCTAAAACCCTGTGGCCACTTTTCCTGGGTGCTTTTCCTGCCGGAAGACAGTCCTGTTTAGGACAAACTTGCATTCCTTTGTTCCCAGCTGACTCAATGTTCAAACAATACAATAAAAAAGTGTCTTCCTTAAAAAGAAAAAATTCAAAACCAAACCCAGTCCTAAATTCTCACCAGGGTAACTATACTGGATTCTTTGGCTCCTGAAGCTCCCAAAGACCCTAAGCATGACATCTCCTCCTGGCATGTCCAGGTCTGGTGTCTGCAGGCATCAGTTGGGCCCCTGGAAGGTTCGCTGGAAGTGGTGGCCTTTGGGATGCAGTTGAACGCCTGGGTTGTGAAGATCTCTTTACTGGAGCAACTGGGGCGCACTATCTGTCTGGGGGTGCTGCAAGATGGGATCTTAATAACCACATGCTGCAGGTTGCCAACTGTCCTTCTGGCCTGTGTCCAAGACCAACGTTTCAGAATCTGCCTTGGTCCCGTGGGCCCCACATGCCCACTGCCTGGAAGAGCAGAGGGGACTCCTTTCCTCAGGCATTGCAGGCTTGGTATGCCCTTGGTCCCTGAGGCCACCATGTAAGCAGATGCCCTCACTGACACCCCTTGAACCCTGGAAGGGGGCCCCTGATAAACCCCCCATGGGGCTGTCTTTGAACTTCAGGGCTGCTGGAGCAAAATGACTTCCTGGGAAGCCCGCTGGCCTCGGACGCAGAAACCTGGATCCTGAGTGGGCTTTCTCTGGCGAACAGCTCCGGCTTTGGACAAGTTTATTAACCTCTCTGGCCCTCAGTTAGTCCATCTGAGACAGGGGCAAGGCCCAGGGTTAACCTTCAGGAGAGCCTACAGCTCCAGATTGAGCTGCCTCCTGCTTACAGTTAAAACATTGATGAAAATTTACCAAAACACAAAAACTGGCCAACCACACTAAAACTTGGTAGAAGAGCCAATTACTAAAGTATGGGACAGATGCTGATTCTGCCATCAACAGAAATGTGCTGAGCCGTCATCCCGAGCTGCGCACACTGCAGGCGGCATACTGAGCCGGAGGACGGAGGAGCAGCTCCCACTCACCCCACTGGCTGCTCACCCTGGGAGGCCCCCAGCTGCCCGATGTAGAGCTTCCATCCTCCTCCGGTCCATCAAGGGACCACCGAAGCCTGGACCCTGCTGGGTTGAGCAAAGGAGCTGGGCTTTTCCCTCCTGGTGCGTCACGTGACTTTAGGAAGGGCTGTGAGGCGGGCACCTGGAGGGACAGCTTCCTTTGCAGAAGAATCTCAGCCTCTCCATGACTGCTGGGGAGACCAAAGTCCCCAGCTTGGGAGCAGGCAAGATCTCACCTCCCAGATGCCAGGCCAGGGCTCTGCCGCCAGCCCTTGCTCTGGCGTAGATGGTGGAGCTTGCACACAGCGGGACCCGCCCCTGCAGAATGAAGGCAGCCCCAGAAAGAAAGGGCGAGGACACCATCTAAATTCCTCCCTGGACAACAAAGATCACAAGCAAAGCTCTGTGAACTGGGCAGGGCAGGGAGGCTCCATCAGTGTTTGCTGAGTGAATGAATGCAGGAAAAGAAACTTAAATCCTGAGAGGGAAGAACAAACCTGATAAAGCATCTCAAATGAGCAAGAGAACAGAGATTAAAATGACAAGAAAACCATTTGCTCAAATAATAGGAAATAAAGATACACATTAAAAATAAGAATTGACAAATAAGAGACCAGACCCTGTGAAACTTCTTAAACATCATTGGAGAGCACTTTCACAATTACCAAGGCTGTGTGAATTTTCTTCTTGATTGTTCCTTTACTGCTGATTTTTTGTTTTAATGAGTTATGGTGAAATATGTTGCTATAAAGTCTATCTTTTGGACTTAATTAAAGCTTCTTTTCCCGTGGTATGGGAATTTTTTTGGTAAGCATTCTATGAATGCTTAAAAAGAAAATTTAGAGACGAAGTTAAATATCTGCTAATCAAGCATAATGCTGAGTATAATTTATTGAAGGTTTATTTGGTGCCAGGAAGATGATGTTCGCACCCATTTGTTCAAGACAACATTTGAGCACCTGCGTTGTGCCAGGCATGCAGCAGTGAATCACAAGGGTGATATTCTTTGCCTTTCTGAAGCTGCTATTCAATAGGGCTGTTCTTACGGATCTTCTCAGTTAACTCCATGAACTTAACACCTTGGACGGAGACTTAGGTTAAGAAACTTGTCCAGTGACACACTCAAAATCAAGGGCAAAAGTGGATTTAAAACCAGGCCTTCTATCTGGTTTTAAATGCCCACGTGCTGAACCACTGCCTCACATGGCTTTCCTCGACCCGACCAACATATCTCTGGAAATAAGTGCACCCTTTCTTACTCCTGATCTGCCCGCATGGTCAGAAGATCTGTGTTAAAATTTGTCACAAAAATTGAGTTTCTATTTGCTCTCGCATTTCTAAGTGTGTTTGATTTATACAAGGCTCATACAAAAAAGTGTGTGACAGGTAGTGTTTTCATTAAGGATTCTTATTATCAATATAGGTTTCCCTTGGACCCATCTAATGAATTTTAACTGTGACTTTCATTTTATTTTCTATAGTTTTCGAAATTCATGTTTGCTTGTTTTGGCTGATATGTCCTTCCTTGATGTATTTTTAATCCGTTTTATTGAGTTATAATTTATATTCAATGAATTTTACCGATTTTAGGTATACAATTAAAGGAGTATAGCCTTGGGCATAATCAAGATACAGAACAATTTCATGATTCCAGAAAGTACTTTCATCTCCTTTGCAGCCAATCCCGTTCCACCCAGCCCTGGCAGTGATCGGTCTTCTCCCTGGTGCTGCAGTTTTGCCTCTTCTAGAGTTTTAAGAATGAAATCATGTGCTGTTTCCTCTCTTGCATCAGACTCCTCTATTCACTTTATGCTTGTGAGATTCATGCATGATGTTCCACGCAGCCATAATTGTTTCTTTCTTGTTTCTGAACAGCATTCTATTGTACAAATACTGCACAATTTGTTAATCTGTTCCCATGTCAGTGGACATTTTGGTTGCTTCCAACTTTTGGCTGTTAGCAATAAAGATGCTATAAACATTCACATAAATATCTTTTTGTGCATAAAAGTGAAGTTGCCAGATCATTTTGTAAATAAGCAACTGCCAAGCTGTGGTTCCAAGTGGGTTGTAGCACTCTGTGTTTCCACCAGCAACACAGGAGGGTAGAGTTGCTCCACTTTCTCACCCACGCTTGGTACTGTCTGTCTGCTTAATTCCAGCCTCTCTAGTGAGTACACTGCGGAATCCCACTGTGGTTTTAGTTTGCATTTCCCTAATGACTGATGAAGTTGGGAGCCTTTTCATGTGCTTATTAACTATTCATATACCTTCTTAAGTAAAATGTGCATTAAATCTTTTCCCCATTTATTTAATCAGAATGTTTGTCTTCTTATTATATTGACTTGTAAGAGTCCCATATAGTTTGGATGTGAGTCCTTAATCAGATAGATGTGAAAATATTTTCTTCAAGAATGCATCATCCATCTTAAAGTTATAAATAGTGCCTTGAAAGGAACAAATCTTTTTAGTTTTCATAAAGTCTAATCTATCAATTTTTTTGGCCTACTTTATGTCCTAAATAAGAAATTTTTTCTAATCATCTGTTTCTCCTATGTTTTCTTACAGGAAATGTTAGGGTTTTAGCTTTTATATTTAGGTTTACAGTTCACTTCAAGTTAATTTTTGTATGTGGTGTGAGGTAAGGGTAGAGGTTCTTTTATTTTACACAGATATACCCATGGTTCCAGCACCATTGCTGGAAGGCTGTCCTTCCTTCCAGTGAATTATCTTGGCACCTCTGTTGAAAATCTAGTGACCACATATGCTCGAGTGTTTTTCTGGGCTCTGTTCTGTTCCATATATCTACACAGCTGTCCTTATGCCAGTGCTGCACAGCCTTGATATCTGTAGTTTTATACAAAGCCTTGAAATCAGGTAGCATATGTCTTCCAACTTTGCTCTTTTTACTTAAAGAAATAAATGTTTTGACTATTGCCCATCCTTTGCATTTCTCTATAAATACCAAATCAGCTTGCTGAATTCTACAAAACAGAAAGCTGCTAGAATTTTTCTTAGGATTGCATTAATCATAGATCAATTTGAGGAGAACTGACATCTTAATGGTATAGACTTTTGATTCATGAACATGATATAATGTTCTATTGAGATAAATCTTTAATTTCTGTGTATTTTTCTTCTTTTTCAGTGCACTAGTCTTGTACTTTTTTGTTATACTAATTTTACAGTACTTTGTATTTTTATTTTCTTATAAATGATAGTTTCTGAGAAAGTTCAATTCCCATTTAATTCTTGTTAGTGTATAGAAATACAATTGAGTTTTGAACCTTGACCTGCTCTTCTTCAACCTTGCCAAACTTACTTATTTCTCCTCATAGCTTATTACTAGATCTTTTCAGATTTTCTCTATAGAAGATCTTATCACCTGTGAATTAAGACAGTTGTATTTCTTCATTTGCAACCTGTATGAATTCCATTTCTTTCCCTTGCCCCATTGCCCTGGCCAGTGCCTCCAGCACAATGTCCAACAGAAGTGGTGAGAGCAGACACCCTGGCCTCACTCCTGATCATAGAGAGAACGCATTCTGCCTCCTTAACGTAAATTATATAAGCTGTAGATTTTTAGTAGATGTAATTTGTTGAGTTGAAAAATCCTTTGTTTCTCCTGGTTTCTGGAAGTTTTTTTTTTTAACCCTTTTCCTGTTTTCACTGAGAATATTCACTGGGAGCGCTTGCAGCCAGTGTTTACCCTGAGACAACTTTGCCATTAAATATCTCGCTTTTATGATTATTTTCGCATTGCTCTAGGATATCAACTTTGGGAACAAAAGACATTATTCTATTTATAGGATTCTGTTTTTAGTAGTGGTATTTCCATTTACAAAATAGAGTACTTCTCGATCGCTGAAAATGTCAAACCCTAGGAAATGTAACACTCCTACCTATGATGCTAACATCATTCTTGAACAGTTTTTGGCCAAAGATTCATTGGATGAATCCAGTTTTTCCAAAATAGTAGATTCTGATGATTCAGACAATTCTGATTTTAGTTTCAAGAAAAGTTTTATATTTTATTTTCACATTGAAAATCAGTCAGATTTGCTTCAGCCTCAAAGAGTATGTTTATGTAAAATTAAATGACTACTGGCAATGAGCTGAATTTTTTTTTTCTTAAACGGGAAAGGGTTAAAAAATAATAAATAATATATTGTTGCTGAATTTGGCCAGATGCTTTCTCTGCAGCGATTGAGATGTGGCTCTTCTGTGTCCTGTCACCTGCCTTTCCTGCCCTGGTAAACCTCATCTCCCGACTCTGGCACAGCACCCTCCCCTCCCTAATGTGGTCAGAATGGTCCATGTGATGTGGGCCAATTGTCCAACCTATTAAAGCTGAACCTAGAAAAGGGCCCCAGTTTTCTAGCAGGCAGGTATCTGCAGGAAAGACAGTCAGGGCTCAGGGCCCAGGCTGCAGAGGCCAGCGAGGCCTCTGGATAACCGCAGGCTGGAAGGCAATGGCCAGGAGCTGGCAAGGGCAGGGACAGGAGCTGACCCGTCCTCTCCTCCAGGCAGCAGGTGGCAGGCGTGGTCCCTCTCCCTAGAGCCTGGCTCACCCCCATGACAGACCTTGCTCCTCCGTGAGGACAGAAGGACTCAGAGCAGAGGCCTTCAGACTAAAAGGCATTTGCCTGCAGCAAGCCAAGCCCGACAGCCATTTTCCCACTTTACAAATAAAAACAGAGGCTCACTCATCCTGGCCGGGATGATGTCCAGGCCTCCCTCCCGAAGGAAGCCTGCTTTAATAATCAATCAAGGAGCCATAAACCCCTCAGGCACCAAGTATTTCCCAGCTGGACGCATACTTGTGTGAAGGGTGCGGTGTGGATAGAAATGTGTAATTGGGGGTGTTATGAATGGGGTGGCAGGGATAATGATGGCTTTGGTTTACTGACCTTGCTCCTCTCATCCCTCAATCACTATCAAATAATGCGTTATAATTGAGAAAGAATCTGGGCAAAGCAAGAGAACTCACTAAGAATATTGGGTGCTAAAACTAGCTTTCTCATATATTTAGGCAACAACAGTTAGCTAGTGTATACCATTCACTGGAAGGAACTGCATCTTTGGACAGGGAAGGAAGTGTAGATGAGCCATGCTGATTCTTTTAAATGTAACTGAAATGATTCCCAAAATGACCAAGTTGTTCAAGACAGGTTTGCAGCAGATGACATTGTTGTTTGGGATGACTCACCCCCTGTTTCCTTGTAGGCGGACCTCACTGACTTGGGTCATGACCACGTAACTGGTTCTGATCAATGGGGTGGGGTGGGCATAACCTATCCCACACCCCACAAACTTACATGAGCTTTTGTGTTCCTGGGCCCCGAGAGAGGAGTCCCTCTCTAAGAAAGTCAATTGCATGGGACACTGGAGAGAGAGGGACAAAAGGCTCGCAGGAGCTCTGGAGGCGGAGGTGTTAGTGCCACCTTGGACACCCCATCCACCCAGGGCTACACCCCATTCTTTACTGGCTTCTACCCTTCCTGCACCATCAGGCTCTGCCTCACCTCGAGGCTGTATGCCTTTTATTTCCTTCATAGCTTTTGCTGACTCTTATGATTGTCTCACTCTTCATGGCAGCCACATGAGGTCATGGGAGCTCAGGCTGAAGGCAGAGGTATCGTGCAGGTGGCGGGGGCTTGCCATCCAGGCCCAGAAATGTATGTCCAGTGGGAGGGCATCCAAGCCCAGAAATGTATGTCCAGAGGTGCAAGGCAGGGGTGGTAGCAAGTGATGCCGAGAATGTCTGTGGGCTCCTTCCTTCTCCCTCTCAGTAAACTATGCCCTCTCCAAGGGCTCCAGGCCAGAGTGGACTTCAAGGCAGGACATGAAGCTTGGGAATGGGCTAAAGGGTTCGTCTGCTGGGGTTATCTCTCTGGCACTGACAGGCATGCTTTGGATCAGTGGTCCTCAAACTTTTCTCTGAAAGAATTTGGAAAAATTCTCTACTCCTCATATATCTTAAGTTTACATCTAAAAATGTTAATCATGTGTGTTAGACAGCTGCAAAGTCTGTAATTTCCAGGATATAATAAATAATAAATTTAAAAGTAAAACTATTGCCTTTTTAGAGTATCCATTAGCCTAACCAGGTGACCCTAGGGCAAGTTTGCTTCCTCCCTATGGCACTGCAGCTGATGTGCTCTTGAAAGCGCCACTTCCTGGCTGGAGGCCAACCAACACAAAATCAGTGCACCAAACAAAAACACAGCCAAGGACCTTCACAGGGTCCACTTCATTCCCCTGCTTCCTCCACCAGAGCAGGTGCTGGTAGCCACAGCTGAAAGGCCTGAAGATGGATCACATCACAGGACTGTTTGCAGACACTCCCCAGAACCAGCCAGGAGCCCAGTAGTTCCGCAGGGTGGCTAGACCCGGAAGAGAAAAAACAATCATTGCAGTTCAGCTCTCAGGAAGCCCCATCCCTAGGGGAAGGGGGAGAACACACATCAAGTGAGCACCCCGTGGAGCAAAACAACCTGAACAGCAGCCCTTGAGTCCCAGATCTTCCCTCTGACATAGTCTATGCAGATGAGAAGGAACCAGAAAAACAATTCTGATAATATGACAAAACAGGGTTCTTTAACACCCCCAAAAGATCACACCAGCTCACCAGCAATGGATCCAAACCAAGATGAACTCTCCGAATTGCCAGAAAAGAATTCAGAAGGTTGATTATTAAGCTAATCAAGGAGGCACAAGAGAAAGGTGAAGTCCAATTAAAAAAAATAAAAAACACGATACAGGATATGAAAAGAAAGTTCTTCAATGAGACAGAGAGCATAAATTTTTTTTAAAAAACATAACTTCTGGAAATCAAGGACACGCTTACAGAAATAGAGAATGCACTGGAAAGTCTCAACAATAGAATTGAACAAGTACAAGAAAGAACATCACAGCTCGAAGACAAGGCTTTCAAATTAATCCAATCCATCAAAGACAAAGAAAAAAGAATTAAAAAAAAATGAACAAAGTCTCCAAGAAGTTTGGGACTATGTGAAATGTCCAAACCTAAGAATAATTGGTGTTCCTGAGGAATAAGAAAAATCTAAAAGTTTGGAAAACATATCTGAGGGAATAATTGAGGAAAACTCCCCTAGTCTTGCTAGAGATCTAGACATCCAAATACAACAAGCTCAAAGAACATCTGGGAAATTCATCACAAAAAGATCATCACCTAGACACATTGTCATCAGGTTTTCTAAAGTCAAGATGAAGGCAAGGATCTTAAGAGCTGGGAGTCGGAGGCATCAGGTAACCTATTAAGGAAAACCTGTCAGAGTAACAGCAGATTTCTCAGCAGAAACGCTACAAGTTAGAAGGGACTGGGGTCCTATTTTAGCCTCCTTAAACAAAACAATTATCAGCCAATAATTTTGTATTCAGTGAAACTAAGCTTCATAAAGAAAGGAAAGATAACAGTCTTTTCCAGACAAACAAATGTGAGAAAATTCGCCACTACCAAGCCAGCACTATAAGAACTGCAAAAAGGAGCTCTAAATCTTGAAAGAAATCCTCAAAATACACCAAAATAGAACCTCCTTAAAGCATAAATCTCATAGGACCTATATAACAATAACATAAAGGGAAAAAAAGGTATTCAGGCAACAAATAACATGATGAATAGTATTGTACCTCACATCTCATTACTAACATTAAACGTAAATGGCCTAAAGGCTACACATGAAAGATACAGAATGGCAAAATGGATAAGAATTCACCAATCAAGTTTCTACTGTCTTCAGGAGACTCACCTAACACATAAGGACTCAGAAAAACTTAAGGTAAAGGGGTGGAAAAAGATATTCCATACAAATGGACACCAAAAGCAAGCAGGGGTAGCTATTCTTATATCAGACAAAACAAACTTTAAAGCAACAGCAGTTAAAAAAGACAAAGAGGGACATTATATAATGATAAAAGGACTAGTACAACAGGAAAATATCACAGTCTTAAATATATATGCACCTAACATCGGAGCTCCTAAATTTATAAAACAATTACTACTAGACCTAAGAAATGAGATAGATGGCAACACAGTAGTGAGAGACTTTAATACTTTACTGACTGTACTAGAAAGATCATTAAGACAGAAAGTCAGCAAAGAAACCATGGACTTAAACTATACCCTATAACAAATGGACTTAACAGATATTTACAGAACATTCTACCCAACAACTGAAGAATATACAAGCTATTTATCAGCACATGGAACATTCTCCAAGATAGACCATATCATAGGCCACAAAACAAGTCTTAGTAAATTTAAGAAAATCAAAATTATATCATGTACTCTTTCAGACCACAGTGGAATAAAATTGGAAATCAACTCCAAAAGGAACCCTCAAAACCATGCAAATACATGGAAATTAAATAACTTGTTCCTGAACAATCATTGGGTCAACAATGAAATCAAGATGTAAATTAAAAAATTATTTTAACTGAATGATAATAGTGACACAACCTATCAACACCTCTGGGATACAGCAAAAGCAATGCTAAGAGGAAAGTTCACAGTATTAAGTGCGTACATCAAAATGTCTGAAAGAACACAAATAGACAATCTAAGGTCACACCTCAAAGAACTGGAGAAACAAGAACAATCCAAACCCAGACCCAGCAAAAGAAAATAAATAATGAAGATCAGAGCAGAACTAAACGAATTGAAACAAACAAAAAATACAAAAGATAAATAAAACAAAAAGCTGACTCCTTGAAAATACTAATACAATTGATAGCCCATCAGTGAGATTAACCAAGAAAATAAGAGATAAGATCCAAATAAGCTCAATTAGAAATGAAATGGGAGATTACTACTGATACCACAGAAATACAAAAGATTATTTAATGAATAGTGAACATTGTTATGTGCATAAACTAGAAAACCTAGAGGAGATAGATAAGTTCTTCTAGATTAAACCAGGAAGATATAGAAACTCTGAACAGACAAATAACAAACAGCAAGGTTGAAATGGTAATTTAAAATAAAAATGCTGGCCGGGCACAGTGGCTCATGCCTGTAATCCCAGCACTTTGGTAGGCCGAGGCGGACGATCACTTGAGGTCAGAAGTTCGAGACCAGCCTGGACAACATGATTAAAACCTGTCTACTAAAAATACAAAAATTAGCTGGGTGTGGTGGCAGGTGGCTGTAATCCCAGCTACTTGGGAGGCTGAGGCAGGAAAATCACTTGAACCCAGGAGGTGGAGGATGCAGTGAGCTGAGATCACGCCACTACACTCCGGCCTGGGCAACAAGAGCAAAACACTATCTCAAAAAAAACAAAAAGAAAAAAGTAAATGCCAACAAAAAGAAGTTCAGGACAGATGGGTTCACAGCTGAATTATATCAGACATTTAAAGAAGAATTGGTACCAATATTACTGACACTATTCCACAGGATAGAGAAAGAGGGAATTCTCCCTACATCATTCTATTAAGCTATTATTACCCTAATACCAAAACCAGAGAAGGACATAACAAAAAAAGAAAACTGCAGACCAATATCCCTGATGAACATAGATGCAAAAATTGTCAACAAAATACTAGCTAACTGAATCCAACAGCATTATCAAAAAGATAATCCAACATGGTCAAGTAGGTTTCATACCAGGGATGCAGGGATGGTTTAACGACTGCAAGTCAATAAATGTGATACACCACATCAACATAATTAAAAACAAAAATCACACGATTATCTCAATAGATGCAGAAAAAGCATTTGACAAAATCCAGCATTGTTTTATGATTAAAACTCTCAGCAAAATCGGCATAGAAGAAACACACCTTAAGGTAATAAAAGCCATCTATGACAAACCCACAGCCAACATTATACTGAACGGGGAAAGGTTGAAAGCATTTCCTCTGAAAACTGGAGCAAGACAAGGATGCCCACTTTCACCACTTCTATTCAACATAGTACTAGAAGTACCAGCCAGAGCAATCAGACAAGAGAAAGAAATCAAGGACATCCAAATTTGTAAAGAGGAAGTCAAACTATCGCTGTTTGCTGATGATATGATCATATACCTAGAAAACCCTAGACTCATTCAAAAAGCTCCTAGAACTGGTAAATGAATTCAGCAGGGTTTCAGGATACAAAATTAATGTACACAAATCAGTAGTTCCGCTATACACCAACAGCGACCAAGCTGAGAATCAAATCAAGAACTCAATCCCTTTTACAATAGCTGCAAAAAAATAATGAAATACTTAGGAATATACCTAACCGAGGAAGTGAAATACCTCTACAAGGAAAACTACAAAACACTGCTGAATGTAATCATAGACAACATAAACAAATGGAAACACATCCCATGCTCACGGATGGGTAGAACCAATATTGTGAAAATTACCACACTGCCAAAAATAATCTACAAATTCAATGCAATTCCCATCAAAATACCACCATCATTCTTCACGAACTAGAAAAAAAATCCTAAATTTTATATCAAATGAAAAAAAAGAGTCCACATAGTCAAAGCAAGACTAACCAAAAAGAACAAATGTGAAGGCATCACATTACCTGACTTCAAACTATAGTATAGGGTCATAGTCACCAAAACAGCATGGTACTAGTATAAAAATAGGCACATACCAATGGAACAGAATAGAGAACCCAGAAATAAAGCCAAACTGATCTTTGACAACTAATCTTCGACAAAGCAAACAAAAACATAAAGTGGGGAAAGGACACCCTATTCAACAAATGGTGCTGGGATAATTGGCAAGCCACGTGTAGAAGAATGAAACTGGATCCTCATCTGTTACCCTATACAAAAATCAACTCAAGATTGATCAAAGACTTAAATCTGAGACCTGAAACAATAAAAATTCTGGAAGGTAATATCAGAAAAACTCTTCTAGACATTGGTTTAAGCAAAGACGTCATGACCAAGAACACCAAAGCAAATGCAGCAAAAACAAAGATAAATAGATGGGACTTCATTAAATGAAAAAGCTTCTGCACAGGAAAATAAATAATCAGCAGAGGTAACAGACAACCCACAGAGTGGGAAAAAAATCTTCACAATCTATACATCTGAAAAAGGACTAATATCCAGAATCTATAAATAACTCAAACAAATTAGCAAGAAAAAAACAAACAATCCCATCAAAAAGTGGGCAAAGGAAATGAATAGACAATTCTCAAAAGAAGATATACAAATGGCCAACAAGCATATGGAAAAATGCTCAGCATCACTAATGACCAGGGAAATGCAAATCAAAACCACAATGCGATACCACCTTACTCCTGCAAGAATGGCCATAATCAAAAAATCAAAAAATAATAGATATTGGCATGGATGTGATGTAAAGGGAACACTTTTGCACGTTGGTAGGAATGTAAACTAATACAACCACTATGGAAAACATTGTGGAGATTCTTTGAAGAACTAAAAGTAGATGTACCATTTGATTCAGCAATCCCACTACTAGATATATATACAGGGGAAAAGAAGTCACTATACAAAATGATACTTGCATATGCATGTGTATAGCAGCACATTTTGCAACTGCAAAAATGTGGAATCAGCCCAAATGCCCATCAATCAACAAGTGGATAAAGAAATACATACATCTCACACTTTATCATCTATTTTTATCTATCTGTCTATCTATCTATCTATCTATCTATCTATCTATCTATCTATCTATGCAATGGAATACTACTCAGCCATAAAAAGGAATAAAATATTGGCATTCACAGCAACCTGGATGGAACTGGAGATCATTATTCTCAAGTAACTCAGGAATGGAAAACCAAACATCGTATGTTCTCACTCATAAGTGGGAGTTAATTATGAGGACGAAAAGGCAAAAGAATGATACAGTGGACTTTGGGGACTCAGGCAGAAGGGTGGGCGGGCGGTGTGAGATAAAGGACTAACACTGGGTATGGCGTATACTGCTCGGGTGATGGGTGCACCAAAATCTCAGAAATCACCACTGAAGAACTGATTCACATAACCAAACACCACCTGTTCCCAAAAACCTATTGAAATAAAAAATAAATTAAAAAAAACACTCTTGAGGGAAATTCTGATCATGTTCATCCTTAAGTTCTTGACACAGTGACTGGCATGTACATAATAATAATAATAATAATAATAACCATTCTTCAGTGCTTACCAGACAACATGTTAAGACTTTTATATGCAGTATCTTGCTTTATCTTCAAAACAATCCTAAGAAGTCAGCACTCTTTTAGTCCTATTTCATAGATGGGCTGCCTAAGATGTTACTGCTAGTAAATGGGGAAGTTGGGATTCAGGCCCAGGTACAGTCTAGTGCCTAATACTACCCGCCCTGAGCGTTTACGGAATCAGCAGATGAGATTGTGGGTCACATACCTGGCACTGGGTGTTCCAATGAAAGATGCAATATTATCATCCCAATCACTTCGCTGACTCCTTCCCCATGAGAAACGGAAAGGACATAATCCAGTCACATTCTAAAAAGGGCCTGATAGAAGAGGGTGCAATTACAGACCTTCATGATCCTGGTCCCCAGCTTCAAGTAAGATGAATGAAAGTCTTCATTCTCAGTGCAGCTTAGCGACCTGTAACCCTCTGCTTCTCTGTCTCTTGATGTTTTCTTTTCTTGCCCTTAGGATGTAAATCTGCAGCTTTCCCAGGAAAGGCCACGTGCCAGACATTCTTTCAGGCCGTGGGCCTCACCAGCAGCCTCCTGAACTCGCTTTCTACTGAGAACTTGTCTGGAACCAGGGATGGGACTCAAAACCTTTTCACCATTCCAGCCGCAGGATGCCCTGGTGTCTGAGAAAGGAAATGAAAACTCTTTCATGACCAGTGCCTCTTCCCCTACCTTGCCAGGAGAGGCAGGGAAACACCTCCCACTCCCAGGGTGGTCTTGGAGGCCAAGTCAGACCAGGGTGGGGAAACGCCGTGGATAGTCAGCCGAGCTGCACTTGGGATGTGAGAATTCTAAAATAGTGAGTGGACCTCACACCTCAGGGCAGAGCCTCCCTCTGGGCTCTTAACCCCAGATGCGTCCTCCATACTCCTTCCTGGCTGTCCAGCAGAAGCAGACTTGACCACACCACTCCCCAGCTTAAAGCCCACCCCGGACTCCAGGGTGCGTCCAGCCCCAGTCCTGCCATGCCGGCTTCTCCACATCAGCCCTGCCCACCCTCCAGCCCCACAGCCAGCCACCCCGCCCGGCCACTGTGCCCACCCAGCCCCAAGCTGTGGACGGGTTCCCCAGGACCCTGCAGTCCTCAACCTTCACCTCCTTGCTAGTCAGGAGTCTCCAAAGAAACAGAACCAACAGGATCCTGCTTCTATCCTGGCTCTGAGCCGTCTCCATCACTAGCACTGTGGAGATGGAGCTGCTTCCCCTGCTGGCCTGCCCTTGTCCATCTTATGTTGTAACTGCAGGACCCACATGTGGTGAGTGTTGTTTGGAGTTTATTGAGTGCATGAAGCCTCTGGGGTCATCTGAAAACAAGCAGTGAGCTCACAGCCCCCCTCCACCACCTGACTGCATTCATCCTGGCTAGGAAGAACCCACAGCAGGCCTCACACCCAAGACCAGCCGACTTTGGGCTCCAAAAGGCACCTTGTACCAATTTGGACTTGGACCTTCAGGGGTCTCCTCCTCTGAGGACCTGGGATTCCCATGTTTCTGATCCAGTAAGAAGCAAACTCAACCAAATCACTCCCCACCCTTACACCAATTTTACCAAAAATCCCATATTCCTGCCTCACTGCACCTCTAACCAGGACACAGTTTACCACTCCTGTCTCCAAAGATCCTGCCCTGGGGGCTGTTGTATGTTGAATGGTGGCCCCAGAACGATGTGTCCAAGTCCTGAGCCCTGGTACCTATGAATGTGACCATACTGGGGAAGGATCTCTGCAGCTGTAATTAAGTGAAGAATCTTGAGATGAGATCTTCTAGATTAGCTGGATGGGCCCTAAATGCATGGACAAGCATCCTCACAAGGAGAGGAGGAGACACCGAGGAGAAACGCAGAGAGGAAGGCCTGGGAGAGTGGAGACAGAGACCGGAGAAAAGCATCAAGGAATGCAGAACGCCGCCGGCAGCCCAGGAGCCGGAGAGGAGCCAGGAGGGGACTCCCTCAGAGCCTGCGGGGTCCTGGCCCTGCTGACACTTGAATTTCGGGCCTCTGGCCTCCAGAACTGTGAGAAAATATGTTTCTGTTGTTTTAAGCCCCCTCGTTGGCGGTAATTTGTCACTGCAGCCCCAGAAGTCTCTGTGGTCCTGCCCTACCTCCCCACCCCATCTCAACTCCTCCCTCACCAGCTCCAGCTGCACTGGCCTCCTTCCGCCCTCCTCCTTCCCCATCCTTCCTCCTTCCTCTTTCCTCCTCCCTCCTGCTTCCCCCTCCTCCCTCCTGCCTCCCCCCTGCTTTTTCTCCCCTCCTGCCTCTTGCCTCCTCCCTCCTCCCTCCTCCTTACTCCTCCCTCCTCCATCCTCCTTCCTCCCTCCTCTGTCCTCCCTCCTCCCTCTTCCCTCTTGCCTCACTTCTGTTTCCTCCTCCCTCCTGCCTCCTCCCTCCTGCCTCCTCCCTCCTTCCTCTTTCCTCCTTCCTCCTCCCTCCTCCTTACTCCTCCCTCCTCTGTCCTCCTTCCTCCCTCCTCTGTCCTCCCTCCTCCCTCTTCCCTCTTGCCTCACTTCTGTTTCCTGCCTCCTCCCTCCTGCCTCCTCCCTCCTTCCTCTTTCCTCCTCCCTCCTCCCTCCCTCTCCTCCCTCCTTTTTATTCCCTCCTCCCTCCCGCCTCCTCCCTCCTTCCTCCTCCATCCTCCCTCCTCCCTCCTCCCTCCTGCCTCCACCGGGCCCGGCCAATGTCTCCTCTCATGCATGCTTCTCACCAGCTGGTCCCGCAGCCCCACCGGCCTCCTTCCTCCCTGCCGATCTCACTCACAAGTTGCTTCCCCCATGGCCTAGGCTGCCCACCGCCCAAAATGCAGCCCCTCTGCCTCCCCCTCCCTGCTCCTGTCTTTGTCCTGAGCCCTCAGCACTGTTCAGCTGCTTCCCTTCCCGCCTGAACATGAACCCCACCAGGGAAAGGTCTTGGTGTATTTTGGTTTTTTCTCTCATTGTCCCAAGCCCCTGGAGTAAAGCCCAGCTCAAGTGCACCATGGGCAAGAGTTGGTGTGTGAACAGATGAGAGATTCAAGGGCAAAGAGCCGGCTGTCACGGGCGGGTGCGCGAGGGAAGGAGGGCAGTCTGGTGATGGGGCTGATGGTGCGGCCCAGCTGGGGAGAGGTCTCATTGCACTGGCTTCTGGGGTGGCTGATGGTCTTTCCCTGGCTGGCACCGGAGCTACTGGCCCTCCAGCCCCCGTGGGCAGGAGGAGGCAGCCTCAGCCCCACGAGATTCCTGTAGGCTCAGACACTGGGTCAGATGCTCCTGGTGTGCGAGGAAAGCCTGCCCTGTCGCTAAATACACCCTTGCTTCTGTATGGATCAGGATCAAGTATCAAGTGTAATAGCAGATGAGGAGCCGTGGTATTTTCTCAGTAAATAACGGGTGGGCTGGGATTGGCGTCCGTGCCAGCTGACCGCAAGTGCGGCGGCCCCCAGGGCTCTTTATTGCCAAGATCCTGCCTTGTAAATTGTTGGTGTTCACAGCGAGTGGGGACCTGGTTCTCACGGCTCCTCTCTCCGTCCCATTAATTACCTCCATGGAGGAAGCGAGGTCAGGACTCCCACTCAGGTGACTTCGTCGCAGGGCTGTTCCGCCGTGACCCAGGTGAGTTCGTCGCAGGGCTGTTCCGCCGTGACCCGGGTGACTTCGTCGCAGGGCTGTTCCACCGTGGTTCTGGAAGGTGCTTTTCTTACCCACCATCGCCTTACCACCTGAAGCCAAGAAATGCTTTTAAAGGGGATGGCAGAGGGGACAGAAGGAGGAAGCCATAGGCCCTGTGCCAAGTGCTGGGCCTGCAGCCCCCACTTCTCCTCGCTGGCGTTTGAGCTGGGGACGTGATGACCCCGTGTGAAACGAGGGGACAGGGGCTCACGGAGGCCGCGTGGCTTTCCCAGGGCTCCACCCCACTGGTGAGTGGTCAGCCAGGACGTGGCTCCCCGTCCCTCCGGTGACCAGGTGGGCACTGGCTCCTGATGGTTCGAAGCCCCGGTCAGCCCCCGCCATCCCTAAACTAGTGACTTCCACTTGCGTTCTCCCCCAGGGTCTTCGGGGCACCCCACGGGAGAGAGCACCTGCAAGGACCATAACACGTGAGGCTGTGCTGAGTCCTACGACAGGCAGGAACTTGTACTTGGCCCCCGGCGACCCGGGCGATTTGCGGGTCTTCCTCTTGGTTTAACGAAGGCTCTAGCCCGGTTCCGGAGCCCACCAAGACGCTGAAGCCATCAGTTCTTGGCTTGCATTTCTAGAGCCACCCGTGTAGTTGCGAGACAGTGAGAAAGTTCGCCCGAGTTGCAATCCTGCCCGTGCCTCTGTCTAGGAGCGACTGTGGCTTCGGGTTAAGCCTCTGTCTTTACCTGTAGTGGGAGATGTCTGCTCGTCACCCACAGGCGCGGCCCATGTGTGTCTGCCACGTTGTGTCGTGCATGTGCCCTGGTCCTGTGCTTCTCAGTGACTGAGTTCTCTCGTCCACCCATGCCTGGTCTGTGACCTCCGGCACCGTCCACCACTCGCAGCCCCCGCAGTGCTCCCAGAAGCCCTCCACTCTCCTCTCTCCATCATCTCACCAATAGCTGTTTTCCTTCTCTGAGCGTCCTGAATCGAAGCCCCGTTATTCCTGGACATGGACTGTTCGTGGGGGCGGGGTGTGCTGAGCCTGTGACCTTCCCGTCAGTAGATTAATTCTGCAAGACTTCCTCTTTGGTCAATCTCCTATCCCCCACCAGGACAACTAAAATTGCTAGATGGCGGCGCTTTTATTAACCAGAGATGGTTTTATAATCGTCAACTCAGAGTAGCCAATTAGTCCCTCTCCTCACGCACTCACACAGACACGTGTCCAGGGCTGTGCTGTTCTAAACTCGCTGACCCGCATTCTCCTATCAGGAGCCCTCCAAACGGAAAATGGCTCCAGCAGCAATACCGCCAACAAAAACACAGCCTTGCAGGGCAGCTGCGTCTGCGATGCGCTCAGCCCAGACCCGCCCACCTGCCTAGCACCGCCCACTCGCCTAGCACCGCCCATGCACCCTTCAAGGCCCAACTCCTGGGGCACCTCCTCTATGAAGTCCTCCCGAGCTTCACCGGTCAGGCCAACTCCCTCAGCCTCCTGTCTCTGGCCGCAAAGTCTTTAGGCTCAGCCCTGCCCAGTGCCTGCTCAAGGGTGTTCATCTCCGCAGAGGTGGTGAATGTAATCTCTCATGCTGAAAAAGTGTGGGACGGGGCTGCCTGGTGGCAGAGGTTACTGTCAGAGATTGACAGGGCCTGGAAACCCTCATGCCTCCTCCTCCTGGGTTGGAAATCCTGGAGCAGACTTTCAAGGCAACTTTCAAGGCCAAATACAGACGCCAAGGTCAAATGCAAACAAGCACAAGCGCCGCTGAGCGTTAGGGCTTGCAGGACGTCAGGGAAGGAGCCCAGACTCTGGTTTTGGGGCTGGGAGAGATTTCCAAGCCCTCTTCTTTCACATTGGACAAAGGACGTTGTCACTCTGAGCTGTGGCCATCTCCCTGCCTCGAGGATAAAGTGGGTGAAGCCTGAGGGCTGCTCAAGGGTTTTAATGACCTACATGAAATGGTGGCTTGATGGGGCCCATTGCGCTAAAGAGATTCTTATAAAATAGACACGGGGGCAGCTAGAAGCTTCGGGCTCCTCCGTGTCCAGTGGCCTTGGGCAGCCTCCCAGCTCCATGAAGCCTCAGTCTTTGCATCTGTGTAAAGGGGACACTCACTTCTGTCCCGCTTCATCCATAGAGTGATAGACACGTAAGCTAATGTGTGAGAGAACGCCCTGACAATGGGGAAGTTCCTACAAGTATGAAGCTTTGCTTGCAGATCTCAGAGAAAAGAACAACGGGTGGTTGTGGAGTCCTAAATTCCCTATTGCCATGTGTTTGCTCACTTAGAGGACAGTGAGGATGGCTTTGATTCCCCAACGTGAACCACAGTCATCGTTTCTTTACCCAGTGTGGTCAGCCCTGAGACTTGGGCTGAGGCTCCAATGCCATCCTGGGGGCTGGGCCTGCTGGAGCTCCTGGAACCCCGGAGGGAGTAGCCCTGTGCCCTGGGGGCCCCTCTGTCTCTGCAGTCTGACATCGTACAACCCCCAGCTCTCAGCCATGCTGACATTTGACCCTCAGTTCCTTCTCAAAATATCCCTGACAGTTCCCTGGATGAAAATGCAGTGGCATTCAATGAAAATTTATGTGACGGGCCCCAGAGGAAAGAGTCAGGGCCCTGATGGGTTTGTTTAAGCCCCACCCACCACCTCTGCTGACCCCAGCCCTAATGACAGGGTGAGCTCCCAGCTCCATCAGGAGTCGCAGTGGGAGGCTCAGCATGAGGCTCCGGTTACCAGCCGCCCGCAGCCTGCCAGGAGGAGCAAGCAGGGGTGGACACCAGTCCCCAGACCTCAGGCCCTCGGGGTCCGCTAGGGAGCTGCCTCCTGCACCCCTCCCTGCACCGCTGCACCATTCTGACGCTGGCTGCGGTCTGGCTTTTCCTTCCCAGACCTTCCCCTGATCAAAGCGAGTCCTTCTCAGGTGCCCGACCTGCCCAGGTGGCCCTGCACCCGAGGCCCAAGATCTGCCCAGTGGAAGGAGAAGAGAAAGGAGCTTCCTTGCCTGGGGTGTTGAGGACCCTGATGGGGGAGCCCCTCATCTTATCACCCATTATTTTGCAGGACTGAAAAGCTGCCTCCCAGCAATCCCATGCAGATGTGATCACCTAAGCAACATGGTGACCTGCAGAAGAAGAGAAAGAGAGGGAGAGAGGAAAGGAGCGTGATGTGCAATATCGGGATCTGTCCTCCGCATCTGTGACCTGCCCAGACGGCCCAATGGGACACTTGACCTTGCCTCATGGTGCTGTGGTCCAATGTATGACTCCAGCGCAAGATGAGCCTGAGGAAGGGTGGCACTTAGCTGGGTAGGATTTGTGCCTACGTGTGCCACATTTCTTGGATAAAAATTAAAATGGTTAATAACCTCCTAGAATAATGTGGAAAATCGGAAAGGATTCTGCAGGACGCAAGCGGCCAGAGGAGGCACACACAGCATCAAGCCCCAGATGGGGGCCCTACCTCGCTCCTCTTCCTCCCTCTTTCTCTTCCCTTTGGTTTTGTGGACTCCATGGGGCTTCTCCACCCCTTCCTCTGCCTTCATGCCATGTGAGAGGAGGGAGAAGGCTCATCCCCCCAGCATCGTTCAACAGTACCCAGCCCCAGTCACGCCAGGACCCAGAATTGATCAGATGCCAACAGAAGGCACTGAGGGTGCCTCAGGTAGAGGGCTTCTGGCATCTGGAGCGTGGCATGGGGAGAGTAGGAATTTGTGGGTGTCAGGTGGGAGGTTGTGGGTTCCCCCAAAGGGCTGGCTGGGAGGAGGTGGTAGAGCAGGTTTCAGACCTTGTGGGTGGACACCTAGGCAGGATTTTCCTGCCCCTGCAACCCAAGGGCTTTCAGGCTGAGGTTCAGATGGGCTCTTTCCCCAAGAGCACTGTGCTGGGTTGGGTCCCCGAGTCTCTGCATCAGTTCCTCACAGAGTTTCCAGTTCTCTGGAATCTCTGGAACCCCGGCCCCTGGAGTTCCCAGTTCTCTGGAATCTCTGCAACCCCGGCCCCTGGAGTTCCCAGTTCCCTGGAATTCCTGCCCCTACATCTCCGCTTAGCCAGTCCTTAGCCATCCTTCAAGGCTGGACACACAACCCTCACATGTACCAGGCAGACCCCAGCCCCATGCATGCCCACTGTAGACCATCGGTGGAGGCTCTCCCTCCTCCTCTCTCTCAATCACCTGCCTGAGGAGGCCGAAGGCCAGGTGTGACCAGCCAGGCTGACCTAAGGCCCCTGTGACTGTGCTGGGCTCTCCTCTGCCACCTAGTGGCCAACCCCTGAAACTGCTGCAGGCTTTGCCTCTGACTCAGGGGCTGACCACGTGGCCCCTTCCAGGTCACTGGATGCTCTTGGGGGCTCTTCTCCTCACCCTCCACATGGGCAGCATTGCTGACCTCAGTAGCTGCCCACAGAGGCTGTGCTGCTCTTCTGCGGCCGGGGTTGAGCCCTGGGTTCAGATGGGGGATGAGGGCTCTCTGTCCTTGACGTCAAGCTGTCTGATCTGTTTGCTCTTGCCACCCTCTGCTTGGTCTCTGGGGTGCCACCTTCTACCCAGCCCTCACTGAGTGTGAGGGCAGCCCGCTGAACAAATTGGAGGCACGTTCCTGGGGCCGGGCTGGAGTCTTGGGTGCCTCAGCCTCACACACATCCCAGAGTCAGGCCCCCCACCCCCGCTAGTTATCCACAAGGGCCCACAGGACACTTGTGCCTCTTGGAACCCCATCCTCCCAGGAATACCCCAGAAAGGCAGAGAGTGACCTTCATTTCATCTTTATTCAAAAATCTTAGTCTCAATCAGCAACCCAAGATGGCATCCCCCTCCGTTGTAGAAGGTCCTCCGAGTCCTCATGGGAACAGAATTCCTGATGCCTCCAAGTCCTTGAGGGCCTGTGGTCCTTGCTGCACAGCAACACACTTCTCACCTGACTAAGGACTGGGTTGGGGGCTCACTGCTCATTCCTGGAGGGGCCACAGAGCCTGGTGCAGCACTTGGTGTATGGGGGCAGATGGATGTGCAGCCAACCATGGCCAGCCATGCCCACTGCAGGGCTGCTTATGCCAGCCTCTGCCTCCCTTGTAGGACAGTGAACTCCAGCTCCAGCAGCCTCCCCCAGGACAGCTGCTGTCTCTGGCCACTTACCAGGGCTGGGCTCCATGGAGGTCATGGCAGATGCAGATCTTCCCACAGCTGGGAGGCTGCCAAGGCCAGAGGCAGGTGGAAAGAAGCCCATCACCTGGGCAGAGGCCCCCAGGGCAGATCCTGGTACTCACCCATAGCCCCCTGCCTCCTGTTACCACAGGCTAGACAGGGATGCTCAAAGCCCCCAGAATCTGCTTCCTCGCTGGAACCGAGCCTTGTGTGAGGCCGCTAGCGGACTCTTAATGTCCAGCAACCCCCATGTCTCTGAGCCCGGAGTCAAGTCAAGGAGCATGCAAGCCCCAGCCTGAGAAGCTTCTAGGCACCCTCAGGCCCCCATCAGACAGGGGGAGATGTCAGGGTCAGGAGGAGTCCAGAGGTTGCCCAGCAATGGCCACCTGAGCAGGGACTGAAGTCCCTGTGACTTGCATGACTAGACTGCCTGTCCAGAGAAGGTTCCCCTCACCCCAGCCTTGCCCCCAGATGCTATGACGCGCCGGGATTCTGCCCATCCCCACACCTCTGGTGTGTGCACCAGCTGCTGCAGAAGCAGACCAAAGGGGAGCAAACACGTGTTGTGCTGGTGTCACACAAGGCTCCCTGTGCCCTTCCACAGATGGACGGGGTGGGGATGTCAAGAACACACAGCCAGTCAGGCAGCCCCAGATCCTGTGCCCGTGCCTCACTGCTCAACTCTGTGGCCCCCACAGTGAGGGTGTGAGGCATGCCACCTACATGGGGCCTCATGCAATGTGTCTCTGTAGGGATGTCCCAATGCACCAGCTGCAGAATGATGAGCACTGGAAGACTGCCCCTCCCAGGCCCCCTCCCTGAGACCCGGATCTGCCTGCTCTCACCAGGAAGACGTCCTTTCCGTGTTCGATGGGTTGGACTGAGGAGGGGTGGTCAGGACATATCCCTCGGCTGTACACACCTGAAAACACACCCCTTCCAGCATCCAGCTCTGCAAAAGTGAACCTTAGGACTTCCTCCACCCCACTAACAGCACTTTGGAGAGAACTATGTCCACCACTTGGCAGGTTTCAACTATTTGAGAGTAGCATCTCGATCCACTTCTTCCAGAAACTGTCTGTCTGGGTATCCTGAGCAGCACAGCCTACTGAGCTTCATCAAACTTCACATTTCTTAGATTAATTAATTTTAGAAAAATAGAGAACTTAAGCTCCGATACACCTAGGACACCCTGCTTTGAATATGTATGAGCATATAACAGATTAGCATACAGAGGCTCTGACAAGGCCTGCAGCAAATGTATCTGACTTTATTTCATCTAGTTGTTGCCAACCATTTTCATGTATTGCCTGTTAGCATCCTACCAAATAGAGACTCATGGGGCTGAAGTGACCAGCTCATCCCAGGAATTTCATGGGACTTTCCTGGTTTTAGCAGTGGAAGTTCCACACCCCTGGAAACCCCTCAGTCCCAGGCAAACCAGGACAGTTGGTCATCCTACAAAAAACCCACTTTGGGAAAGCTGCTCTGATGAATTATTTCCAAAGCACATTCCACTTAATTTTCCCTTCCCTTCTTCAGATGCTTAAGAGAAAGAAAATATTTTTTTTAAAAAAAAAAAAAAAAGCAGGATAAGAGCCGCAGGATGATGGAGTGAAGCTAAAAGCCCCAGGTCCAGGGGGAGGGAGTGGCAGGGAGGAGCAGTGGAAGGGGTGGCCCAGTCATTATCATCAGGAAGGTGGTACCCCCCCGGGGGGGAGATGGGGCATCCATCAAGAGCCTTTGTGACCCTGTCCAGACACTGAAAGATTCCTGGATCCCAAAAATGCCAAGATAATTCATGAGGCTTATATTTCATTCGAGACTTCACAATTATTTATTGGAAAAACATCTTCTCTAGGAGGAGGGGAAGGGTAGAGAGCCTTTCTCCTCCTCCTCCTCCTCATCCTCCTCCTCCCTGTCTCCAGGCAGCTCGGCAAAAAGCTGCATTCCATCCCCATCCCGGTCCCTGGAGTCCATCCTGCTGACAAGGCAGAGCTCTGTCCCCAGGTCATACCACAGAGGAAACCCCTGGGCTATTACAGCCTCTGCCACAGGATGCCTCTGACCAGTGCCAAGTCCAGCACATAGGGGATACAGGGAAGTATTTCTTTCTTTTAGACATGTTGACCTATTTTTTTTTAACTTTCAATTTAGTGCGCTCATAGCATAACAATAAGGTGGGGGAAAATCTAATTTAAAAACCCACAGTTCTCTCCACCCTAACAAATTGTGTTCACTTTTCTCTCTTCCTTTCTGGCTATCGTACATGCATATATATAATTGTTCCAGAGGCATAACCATGGTGCAAATAGAAGTTTGCATTTTGCTTTTTTCAACAAACACATCCTAAAAAAATTCTCCTTATTACTGTTTGGTCTTCATAATTATCTCAGACAATGGGTGCAACCATTCCAGCGAGAAAATGCAGAGTATTTACCTACCCTTTACCCTGTTTGGATTTTGAAGTTAATTCTAATTTTTCATCATATGGCCAATGTTGTAATGGGCATCTATGTATTGGGTTGTTGCACAAGTAATTACAGTTGTTGCCATTTCTTTCATGGCAAAAACCGCCATAACTTTTGGACCAACCTAATACATAAATCTTTTCTTCTGTCTGGATTAGTTATTTACATGTATATTAAATAATGAAATTTGGATCAGCTTCCCTGTGATGACTCAGACCCATTACGAGAATGACTGCAAACGTTCCAAAGACAGAAAGTCACAGTTGATTATTGCGGCTGGGTACAAAGGACACAGTGCTGATTTTGCTTTTTTATTCTTTTTTATAAATACAGATGAGTACATAAACCATATATAAAATGAAGAATCATTGCTGGGTAATGTCAGTGGAAATGCAGAGGAAGTGCCTTTGAAAATCATTTTTATATAAGCAGTGCAAACACTGGCCAAAAAAAAAAAAAAAGTCAAAATAAACTTTTCCAGGACTCTGGAAATTAACCAAAGGCTTGCAACAATTCAGGGAGCATTTATTCAGGAAAAGCGGCTGAATCGCCATAAGAACAGTGAGATTTGTGGCACCATAACTTGCCCTAGCCCAACCCCTCTCTCCAGCTCTGCAGTAACCCCAGAAGTCAATGGGCCTGCAGTCACAGTGAAAACCAGCAGCCTGGCAGACAAGCTAGGGGGCGGAATTCAGCTGGAGCTCCTCCAAAGCCCCATTCCCAGAGAACTGCCATTACTCATCCTATTCATTCCAGCTCTCTGGCAATTGTTTATTATGATAGCAGCTTGAGGTGATGAAACAATAGAGGTAAACAAGATGATGGAAAAAACCTAAAAGGAAAAGCTTGGGAAAGAAATATCCAGAAGGAGGCTTTGAGAAACTCCAACACATTTGTGGGACTCCAGAAGGCCACATGCATGCCCAGGAAAGACCTGATGGGGCCTGAGGCATCGCACGGGCTCAACTCCAGGTGCTGTGAAAGCAGGAAGTAAAGGATTGTGCCCAGTTGGAACCTGCTTGCCTGAGAGTTGAAGCATTGCCCCCTCACAGAGGCAGGGCCCCTCAGCAAAGGCTGTGAAACTTACTGGTTCTAGGTAGTCAAGGAAATTATCCAGTCATGATAGGCCAGCTATCCCGAGTACAAACCTCAGTGGCCACACAGGACAAAGAACACAGAAATAGCTCGGGAAGCCACTAAACAAGCAAATAGCAGCAACAACAACAAACCCTGAGGAGAAGGAGAATCTGATTTCCAGAGCTGGCATATTATACTATTTTACATGTTCAGTTTTCAACAAAAAATTAGGAGGCAAGCAAAGAAACATGCAAGTATGGTCTGTCAGGGGAATTAGAGCAAAAGCACGGGTGTTGGACTTACTAGATAAGGAATTTAAGTCAGCTACTTTAAATATCTTTAAAGAAATAAGGAAACTATGTCTAAAGAACTGAAGGAAAAAATGAGAACTGTGTCTCATGAAATAGAGATTAATAAGGAGATAGAAATCGGTTTTTCTTTAAAAAACACATAGAAATTCTAGAGTGGAAAAGTATAGTAACTGAAATAAAAACTTCACTAGAGGCAGTCAATGGCACATTTGAGCTGGCAGTATAAAGAATAAACAAGCTTGAAAATAGGTCCACGGAGTTTTTTCAATCTGAGGAAACAAAAATAAAAAGAATGAGGAAAAATAAACAAAGCCTCAGAGATCTGTGGGCCTACAAGCAAATACATAGTGGGACTCCCTGAAAGGGAGGAGAAAGAAAAGGAGGCAGAAATAACATTTAAAAAACAATGACCAAAACTTCCACGCGTGATGAAAAATCTTAGTCTACACATCTAAGAAGCTTAATAAATTCCAAGTAGAATAAATGGAAAGAGATCCATACCTAGACACCTCATAATCAATTGCCCAAAGCCAAAGACCAAGAGGCATCTTGAAAGCATGAAGAATCAACTCATCACATACATATATCCTCAGTAAGATTAACCGCGAATTTCTCACCAGAAGCTATAGATGCCAGAAGGCAGTAGGAAAACATACCTGACATGCTGTCAAGACTGTCAATCACGAATTTAATATTTAACAAAACTATCACTCAAAGAGAAAGAGAAATTGAGACATTTCCAGATTAAAAGAAAAACCTGAGAGAGTTTGTCACTAGCAGTCCTGTACTACAAGAAGCATGCACCTACTATGTACCCACAAAAATTTAAAATTAAAAAAATTTAATCAAAAAAGGAAACACTGAAGGAATATTTCAGGCTAAAATGACAAGAAATACACAGTAACTTGAGTCCATGTGGAAAAATACAGAGCACCTGTAAAGGTAAGTATATAGGTAAATATAAAAGATGGTATACAAGTATCATTGTTTGAAACTCATTTTTCTCTATCTGATTTTAAAAAACAACTTGTGTTGATGGTTTTTCACTGCATAAATATGTAATTTGTATAACAATAATAGCAGAAAGGAAGGAGAAAGTAATGGTAGTACATAAGGGTGAAGTTTTTATATACTATTAAAATTAAGTTTATAGTCATCTGACCTAGACATTACATTAGGATGTAATTGTAATTTCCGGGGCCACCACTAACAAAATATCTCAAAAATATATAGTAAAAGAAATGACAAGGGAATTAAAATAGTACACTAGAAAATATCTTCTCAACACCAAAAAGTCAAAAATAGAGAAGCAAAAAAGACATAAGAGATACAGAAAAAGTGCCAAGATAATTCAATGGGAAAGGAATAGTTGTTTCAATGAATAGTGCTGAGACAATTGGATAGCCACATATGAAAAATGAAGTTTTACCCCTATCTCATACCGTATACAAAAATTAACTAAAAAGAGTAACCTAAATGTAAGAGCTAAAACTATAAAATATTTAGAGAAAATAAGTGTAAATCTTCATGAGTTTGAGTTGGGCAATGGTTTCTGGGAAATGACACCAAAAGTATAAGCAACCAAAAAAAATAGACAAATTGGGCTTCATCAAAATTAAGAACTTAGATAAATTAAAGCACATTATCAAGAAAGTAAAAAGGCAAGCCACATAATGGGAGAAAATATTAGCAAGTCATAAATTTGATAAAGGACTAGTATCTAGAATACATAAGGAATACTTATAACTCAACAATAGAATGAAAAATAATCCAATTTTAAAATGGGCAAAGGATTTGAATAGATATTTCTCCAAAGAAGATACACAAATGGCCAGTACACACATAAAAAGATGTTCCCATAAGCCATTGGGAAACCTCATCTACTAAGATGGCCATGTCAAAAAGATGGACAATAGCAAGTGTTGACAGGGATATAAAACAAGTGGAACCTTTTTACATTGCTGGTGGGAATGCAAAATGGTGCAGGCACTTTAGAAAGCAGTTTTGAAGTTCTTCAAAAAGTTAAACATATATCACCATATGATCCATTCTACTCAGATACATATCTATGAGAAACGAAAATATATGTACATGCAAAAACTTTGTACGTATATATTCATAGCAACCTTATTCATAATAGCTAAAGAACCCAAATGTCCATCAGTTGATGAAGAGACAAACAAATTGTGATATATCCATGCAATGGAATATTATTCAATCATAAAAGGATGAAGTGCTAATATATGCTTCAATATGCATGAACCTTGGAAACATACTAAATGAAATAAGCCAGACATAAAAGGCCACATATTATATGATTCCATTTGTATAAAATATCCAGAATGGGAAAATTCATGGAGACAAAAATTAGATTAGTGGTTGCCAGGGCCTGGGGGGAAGGGGAGATGAATGGGAGGTATAAGATTTTGTGATAAAGTTGTTCTGGAATTAGATACTGGTAATGGTTATACAGCATTGTGAATATACTCTAAATCACAGAATTGTACACTTTAATGGGTAAAAACATTATATACAGTACGATGTCACTTTGGTAGAAAATTCACTTACATATTATATATATTTAGAAAAAGATCTGGGAGGATATAAACTATTAACAGTGGTAATTTTTAGGTGATGTGAATATAATGTTGCTATCATTTTTGTGTTCTGATTTTCTAAAATGGAAATACACTGCTTTTGTTAAAAAACGATTATTTCTAGTTTAAACAAAACAACATATGATTCACTGTAAAGCCAATTCCTATGTAGCTTTTTAGCTATTTTTTAATAGCACATCAGCCTCTGGAAGAGTTTCCTAGTTAGAACCTCCTCTTACCTACCCACCCCTAAGGGTGGCCACTGTTCAATTTTTATAATGATCACTCCTTGCTTTTCTTCTCTCAAATGCACCCTTGCATTGATTGTATTTATCCCCAAACATATACAGGCTAACCTAGTTTTGAACTTTTTTGAACTTCATGTTAGTGGAATTGCACCATAGATAGTTCTTGGATCTTGAGTCTTCAGCTTGTCATACACGTCAGTTCACCCTATATTGTTGCATGTGGGGATAGTTATTTAAGTTTCGATTTTGACTAGCATCCCATTGAATAAATATACCACAATCTATCCATGGTACATTGAAGGACACTCGGGATGATTGCAAAGAGTGCTGCTGTGACGATTATGAAACGTTGCCCTAGTACCCATGGGCACAAGTCTCCCTAGGGCATATGGAGAGTGAAATTCCATTCATAGGAATGCATATCCTCAAATGTACTGGAAAATGCCACTGTTTTCCAAAGGGGTTGAAACAGTTCATACTCCTACAGTGGTATGTGAGTTCCTATTGGGCCACACCCTCAGCAACATTCTGCATTGTCATGGTTTTTTTATTTATCGGTCTGGTGGGTGTGTGATGGTATCTCACTATGGTTTGATTTGCATTCCTCTGATCATTGATGAGGTGGAGCACATTTTCATTCATCTATTGGCCATTTGGATATCTGCTTTTATGAAGTGCTACTTACATCTCTTGCCCATTTTTGTCTACTGGGTTCTCTGTTTTTTATTATTACTTTGTGGGAATTCAAATTCTTTTTTTTTTTTTTAGACCAGAGTCTTGCTCTGTCACCCAGGCTGGAGTGCAGTGGTGTGATCTCGGCTTACCGCATCCTCCACCTCCTGGGTTCAAGTGATTCTCCTGCCTCAGCCTCCCAAGTAGCTAGGGTTACAGGTGCCCACCACCACGCCAGGCTAATTTTTGTATTTTTAGTAGAGACAGGCTTTCACTATGTTGGACAGGCTGGTCTCGAACTTCTGACCTCAAGTGATCTGCCTGCATTGGCCTCCCAAAGTGCTGGGATTATAGGTGTGAGCCACTGCGCCTGGCCAGGAATTCTTTTTATATTTTATAACATGAGTTCTTAGAAGATATGCGGGTGGCATATATCATCTCTCACTTTGTGGCTTGTCTTTCCCTCCACAATGATATCTTTCAGTGAGCTAGAGGGGGCTACATTTATTGTACACCAGTACAACGATCTTTTCCTTAATGGTTAATTCTTTCTGTGTCTCGTTTATGAAATTCCTTTCTACTCCATGGTTATGAAGATAAATTCCTACAATATCTTATGAAAGCTTTATCGTTTAACTTTTGTTTTCAGTTTTTGTTTTGACCTGCCTGAAATTGAATTTCGTGTGTGACGTGAGGTAGCGGTCTGCTCAGTTATCAGAGCTGTGTAACAAATTAGTCCAAAACTTTGCTGTATAAAACAATCACATAGTTTACTCACAGATTTTTGTGGGTGAGGAATTCAGAAAGGGCCAAAAAAGTGAAGTTTTTGTTTGTTTATTGTTTGAAGTCCACAATGACTGGGTTCTGAGAAACTTTTGAAGGCCGAGAGCCAGAACCAGCTCATGCACTCACATATCTGTCATTTGATGCTGCAGTCAGCTAAGGCACTGTTTCTCTGCACGTGGGGTGGTGGTTTCTCCATATGGTCTGGTTTTGGCTTCCTCTCAGCGTAGTGGCTGGGTTTCAAGGACAAGCATTAAGAGAGGCGGGAAAGAGAGAGAGAGAAAGCCAGGTGGAAGCTTTATTGCCCTTTTTGACTTAGCCTCAACAGTCACTTCTGCGCATGCTGTTGGTCAAGGTATTTGTAAAAGTCTGCCCTGGTGCAAGGAGAGAGAACACAGACCCAGGTCTCGATGGAGAAGTGTCAATGTCATCTTGAAAGGACAGCCTGTGGGATGGGATGTATACAGGTGCAGTCATCTTTGAAAAATGTAATCCACCATGGCATCCAATTTCATTTTTCCACATGGATATACAATTTACCCAGGATCACTTATGGAAATGTTCGTCCTTTTCTCACTGGCCTGAAATGCCACTGCTTACACATATCGAGGTCCTGGATATGGGAGCTTCTGTTTCAAGATGTTGTTTTCTGTTCCATTGTTCTATGAGTCCATCCTTAGGCCAGTGTGACACTTTCTCAGGTATTACAGCATTATAATAAGTATAGATGTCTCACAGGTCAAGTACATATTGTGATATTGTGCAATTATTTCTCTTTCTTTTTTTCTTTCTTTTTTTTTTTTTTTTGCAGTTGCAAGATTTAATAGAGTGAAAACAGAGCTCCCATAAAATGGGAGGGGAACCAAAGGGGGTAGCCATTGCCGGCTCGAATGCCTGGGTTTATATCCCGACCATTGCCCCTCTCCCTGTGCTCTCAGGCAATAGATGATTGGCTATTTCTTTACCTCCTGTTTTTGCCTAATTAGCATTTTATTTTATTTTTTTTTTTATTTTTTTTTTATTATACTCTAAGTTTTAGGGTACATGTGCACATTGTGCAGGTTAGTTACATATGTATACATGTGCCATGCTGGTGCGCTGCACCCACTAATGTGTCATCTAGCATTAGGTATATCTCCCAATACTATCCCTCCCCCGCATTTTAATGAGCTCTCTTTACTACCTGATTGGTCGGGTGTGAGCTAAGTTGCAAGCCCCGTGTTTAAAGGTGGTTGCGGTCACCTTCCCAGCTAGGCTTAGGGATTCTTAGTTGGCCTAGGAAATCCAGCTAGTCCTGTCTCTCAGTCCCCCATCTGAACAGGAAAACCCAAGTGCTGTTGGGGAGGTTGGCTGATGACCACTCTAACTGCTTCCGGCTGAACTGGGGAGTAGTAGGGGTCATGCAGTTGAGATTTCCTAGGGAAGGGTGCCTTTGATATCATCAACATTGGAGCAAGGGCTAGCAGGCCGGTTCAGGGGTCCATGGTAGATCTGCCATGGACTGCATCTGGGGCTCGATTTGAAGAACCATTTGTAGTTTTACAGCTTTGATTCTGGAAGAGACAAACCTAACAAGGAGGCTAAAGATGCAGGGATTGAAATGTATGGCCTAAAGTGCAGGGGATTATTTCTTTGGCACATTTCACAGGCCCTGACTATCTGCTTGATAGTATTGAATAGGCCTGGTCCACTAAATAATAATTTGGCCATCTGATGGGTGCTATCAATGCCTAAGTGAAAGGTTTGGTGAAGGTTTTAAGTAATTTCCATTGGTTAGTTGCAGGAAAAAGTATTTGTCCTTTTTCAGTGGCTAGCCATGCTGAGGGGAGGAAACTATGTCTTCGTGAGGTTCCCCATTTCTTTTGCTGAGTACTGGGGCTTGGTTTCCTGGAGGGGATTACCTCATACTGGGGGTCCTTCTATAAGCATTTCTAATGGAGGGTCCTGCCTTGCAGCTCTTTTGGCTCCAATATCCCCTGGGCAGTTCCCTTCTATTTTCCTTTCCTTTCCTTTTTGATGACCCTGGCAGTGTAAGACTGTCACCTCTTTAGGTTTCTGTACAGCCAATAATAATCTCCTAATGGCTTCCTGATGTTTGATAGGTTAGGAATTCCCTTTCTCTCCATATTGCTGTGTGGGCATGGAGGACTAGGTAAGCATACTTAAAGTCTGTATATATATTTGCCCTTTCTCCTTTTCCTAATCCTAGTGCCCGAGTGAGGGCTATTAGTTCTGCCAGCTGAGCACTAGTTCCTGGAGTGAGGGGATTACTTTCAAGTATTCCATTATCACTGACCACTGTATACCCCGCTTTTTGAAGTCCTTTTTCTACAAAGGAACTTCCATCAGTATACAAGTTGAGGTCGGGATCAGTCAAGGGAACCTCTAGAAGGTCCCCTCGAGCAGCGTAGGTTTGAGCAATCACCTGTTGACAGTTATGTTCTATCTTTTCTTCATTGTCTGGAAGAAATGTGGCTGGGTTAAGAGTTGCACAAGTGCGCAGTTGCGGCACTGGCCCTTCAAGTAATACAGCCTGATATTTAAGTAAACGGTTGTCTGACAGCCATAAGTCTCCTTTAGCAGTGAGTATGCCGTTCACATCATGAGATGTCCACACAGTAAGATCTCTTCCCTGTATTATTTTAACTGCTTCAGATACTAAGACTGCTACTGCTGCCACTACCTGTAAACAATGAGGCCAACCTTTGTGATTATTTTTCAAAAATGGCTTAATTCTTCTTGGCCCTTCATGTTTTCATATACATTTTAGTGTCATTTGGTGTCAAATTCCACCCTAACCCTTGCCTTCCACCCCTCCCAAAAAAAACTATGGACGCTTTGTTTTTGGGGGTTTTTTAGAGGTTTTTTAAAAAACTTCTATTTTAAGTACAGGGGTGCACGTGCAGGTTTGCTACATAGGTAAATCTGTGTCACAGGGTTTGTTGTACAGATATTTTATCACCCAAGTATTAAGCTTAGTACTCATTAATTATTTTTCCTAATCCTCTCCCTCCTTCCACCCTCCACCCTCCAATGGATCCCAGTGTGTGTTGTTCCCCTCTATATGTCCCTGTGTTCTCATCATTTAGCTCCCACTTATAAGTAAGAACATGTGGTATTTGGTTTTTTGTTCCTGTGTTAGTTTGCTATGGATCATGGCCTCCAGCTCTATCCATGTTGCTGCAAAGGACATGATCTCATTCTTTTTTATGGCTACATAATTATATTGTGTATATGTATCATATTTTCTTTACCCAGTCTATCATTGATGGGCATTTAGGTTGATTCCATGTCTTTGCTATTGTGAATAGTGTTGCAACGAACATACCCGTGCATGTGTCTTTATAATAGAATGATTTATATTCCTTTGAGTATATACCTATGGGATTGCTGGGTTGAATGGTATCTCTGTCTTCAGGTCTTTGAGGAATTACCTTGCTGTCTTCCACAATGGTTGAACTAATTTATACTCCCACCAACAGTGTATAAGCGTTAAAAACTATGGACTTTTTGACTGGGATTGCATGAAATCTACATACCTATTTGGGAAGAATTTACATCTTCATATATTAGCTATTTCTCATCCATGAACTTAATGTATTCTTCCATTTGGGAGGCTGAGGCAGAAGAATCACTTGAACCTGGAAGGTGGACGTTGCAGTGAGCTGAGATCGCACCACTGCACTCCAGCCTGAGGGATAAGGCAAGACGATCTCAAAAAAAAAAAAAAAAAAAAAAAAACCAAACAAATAAAATAAATAAATGAATAAATAAATAATGTCTTTATAAAAAGTTCTCTTTTTCCATCATAGAATTCATATGCATTTTGTTCAAGCTTATTTCCAGGGACTTCATTTTTTTTAAAAAATGGTTTGTTTTTCTGTTTTTTTCCCTAGTTGTTTCTGGAATGTAAAATGTAATTGATCTTTGTATATTGATTTTGTATCCAGCAACTTGTTACATTCTTATTAATTCTAATAAATTCAACTTAGATTCTTTATGTACTTTTAGGCACACAATCATAATATCTGTGAATAGTGGGGGAGCTGAACACAGCTCACTAAAAGCAGGACACCCATGTGGGTGGTTATGGGTATATTTGGCTTTCTCTAGTTGGTCCTATGTTAGAAGCAGGGACAAAAATTAGGGAAGATGTCAGCTGTTCATTGAATCCTGGCCACTTGGGGTCAGTTGTTACAAAGGCTCTTGTTTGGCTTCCTGGACAGGTTGCTGGAGATGGTGGCCTGCCTTCCTCCACATCTGGCTTATTGACAGCAAGCTGGCCTCGGGGCTGGTCACTGTAGGAAAGGGGTGGGTTTCCGGGGCTGGTTGCCGCAGGTTGCAGGCCAGAGCTTTGTTTTTGTTTGTTTGTTTGTTTTGAGACGAAGTCACGCTCTTGTCACCCAGGCTGGAGTGCAATGGCGCAATCTCGGCTCACTGCAAGCTCTGCCTCCCGGTTTCAAGCAATTCTCCTGCCTCAGCCTCCCCAGTAGCTGGGACTACAGGTGTGCGCCACCACACCCACCTACTTTTTTTTGTATTTTTAGTAGAGACGGGGTTTCACTATGTTGGCCAGATTGGTCTTGAACTCCTGACCTTAGGCGATCAGCCCGCCTCGGCCTCCCAAAGCGCTGGGATTACAGGCATGAGCCACCACGCCCGGCCGCTCTGTTTGTATACACGGTCTGACCAGTGTCCATCTGTGTAGTCAGCTTCTCACTCTGCAACAGGTAACTAAAGGAAGCATGGAGATCACTCAGCTTCCAACCTGGCTTCTCTCTTCTCAGCTATAAGACTGAGTCAGGATCCACCATCTAACTCTGCTGTGAGCAGGGTCAATATTAAATGATCCTGTTCAATGTTTTCACCTGTTTTCCAAGAAAGGGTCTGAATGATTTGAAGAGGAAATATTTTTGTTTAGAAATAAATTATTGTCAAATAACATATATCAAAATTTGAGAAAAAATAAGCATTCAAGGTCTCTGACTTGACTGAAGAAAGCTTCAACATGTGCATCTATAGTGAGACACAGTCATTTTTGTGGTTGGTGGGGAGCTGCTTTTCCTACAGAAGTACGGAACCATGCATGACGCTGGCAGAATCCAGGTCAATGAGCATGTGCTTAACCATAATTTTTAAAAATACATATTTTGTTTTGTACCAAAGGGCTTTCATCTTCTCCTCCTTTGTAAAAATCACACAGCTTTTGAGTCCGTTTGTGTTGGCTTTCATTGAACTGTCCTGGGTTTTATCAGCCCAGAGACATTCCCTCCAGGACTCCTACGGGTGCCACCTCCAGAGCGGTAATCAGGGCTAAGCTTAATTAGAGAGAAAAACTTCCAGAAAGGGCAACTCCATCCCTTTTTATGGTAAAATAAACACATTTCCAAAAGGGGCCTTTCCTTTAATTAAATTCTCTGCAATGTGGCAGCTGCTTGGGAGGTATTTTTGCATATTTGGGTTTAAGAAGATGTATGTACATAGAGGTGATGTCACATTTGGAATGATGAGTGTTTATAAGACCAAGTTTATGAGTTTACTAACTCGCAAGCCAGCTATCTTCATACCAGAAAGGACAAAGCCAGCGTCCAAGCGTGGGCCTTCCCACGTCCAGCCATCTCGTAAAAACAGGCGAGGTGGGCCTCGGGAGAGACACAAATGTCAGGGGCGCAACACAAAAACCGAACAGGAATGTGGGGATGGGGGCTGCCGGCCCCTGGCGCTCAGCGGGAGGCCCCACCATAGAGCTGGGGCCCAGGGAGTTTGAGTATTTACCCCAGAGGTTACCCAGGATGGACGTGTTCAGTCTGGGCACACAATCAAAGCCCGCGCGGGCCCCTCAGGGAGGGTCTTTCCCCTCCTGCTGGGAGGCAGGGTCCCCAGCGCCCCCTGACCTCGCCCTTGCAATTGCTCAAACTTCAGGACCGCTCATCCCAGGCTCCACGGGGCTGCTGCAGAGCCAAGAAGACCCTGTTCTACTGAGCGACCGTTCAAGGGACAGTACTTTTTAGGGGGGTCAATATGAATCTCCTAATTTAACCTCTCCGCTGCCACAGCCATTCAACCCGTCCCTACAGAGCTCCTGCAGCGGTGCTCACGTGGCCTTCGGGAGGATCCACCAAGGTCACCTGCGTCACACCGGGGAACGACTCCCTCCCTCCCAAGAAAGCTCCGAGACAAAACCTGTACCAGGAAGGGTCCCTCGGCTCGTGGTGCTGCAGTGAGCCAGGCTACACCCTGGCTGGCAGAGCCCCGGGGCTTCCAGCAGCGCAGCCCTAGGCCTGCGGAGGGAAGGCTGCACTCCAGCCTGTCGGGGCCGCCGGACAGCTCTCCTGGGAGGCTTGGGCCTGGCACACTGGGGCCCTCGCTCCCCTCTCCATCGCCCTCTAACCTTGGTTCAGCTCCCGGCCCGCCCCTTCCCAGTGGGAACAAAGGCAGTAGCGATGTCCTCGCTGCCGCCTTCTTCCTCCAAGAGGAGTCCACTCCCTGCAGTCCGGCCCCGCTGCCTCTCCACGCGGGCTGCCTCTTTCTCATCCCTGCGCCGGCGCATCCTCTCAGATCCACAGCAAGGAGGGGACGTGCGGGGGAGGGGTCGGCTGGCTAAAACCCAGGCTCGCCCACAGAATGGTGGGACCCCTGCCTCAGGTGGTGGGAGATGCGTGCAGGGTCCCAGCCCCAGGGCAGGCGCCTCAGCCTCTGCGCGGGGCCGCCCTGCTCTTCCCTGGCTCGCTGGGATCCAGGCCCTGGTCTAAGCCCCTGGCCTCACCTGCCCTGCGCAACCAACGGCCCCAAGGTCCAAATGCAGGGACCCTCTCGGTGACCCAGGACGTGCTCAAGTTACCTTCTTCCTGGCACACACACCCACCCCTAAATTCAAAACTATCCCCGGCCATTTGGGAAGCAAGGCTCGCTCTCGCTCCCCTGGGGCTGTCTCCTTGCGCGGAGGGCTCCAAGCTCAGGGCGGGTCGGCTCAGGCAGGGTCTGGGGGCTCGGCGGGGCGCGGGTTCAGGCAGGCCCAGGGAGCAGGCGCATGGGGCGACCGCAGAGCTCCAGGACACACAGTCCGGGTCAGTGTTCCCTAGAGACCCCTCCAAGAGCCCCTCCTGGACACCTGTGCCGACGCGCAGCCACATTTGTCCTCTTCAGGTGGAAACAGGGCCAGTCTGACACTCCCCAGTCCACGCCCTGCACACCCCCAGACCCTCCACCCTTGAGGTGGACGCCGCCCTGAGAAACCCTCTCTCCTTCCTCTGGCAGCGTCACCTGCCGTCTGCACTGGCACCTGCCGCAGTTCTCTAAGTGCACCTGGGGACGCTCACTTGTGGCCTCAGGAGAAGGATCTGGAGGACGAGGAAGACAGAGGCAGGGACATTTTCTGATGCATCAGAGACCCGCGCCTACTGCGTTAGCCCCAGTAGAGACAGCCCTGGATTTTAGAGCCGGTAAAGCCTGGGGTCACTGTGGAAGGCTCTGTCCCGCTCCTGAGGAGACCCTCCCTCTTCTGCCGGGTTCAGGCGTGGAGATCAGAGGGCAGGCAGGGACCAGAGCATCTGACTCCCGGGACGCCTCACGACCCCGAGAGAGGAGCATAAATGTGGCCTAACAAGAATGCCCTTCTCACCCCCTTGCATCCTCCCCTCCCGCAAGCATCCCTGGTGAGGGGACAGGCAGGACACACCATTGAAACATAATTTGAGAACACAAGAAAACAATATGAGGCTGATTTCTTAGCATGCTGAATGGAGAGACGGTCAAAACAAAACAAAACAAAAAACAAACTAGATGGATTTCGCAACTGGAGGCGGAAGGAGCTTTGTAAGAGCCCAAGGAGAATCTAATTAGAGACTTCAACTAGAGTTTTGCAAATGAATTATTTACAATTCTTCAGAGGGAAATGATTATAATAATAACCTTTACAATGCTGAAATTAAGCTTATTATGCTCTTTTCCTCTGCCCCAGAAATTGTCTGAGGTCTGTCATCAGGCAAGATGCAAGGCGTAAGCTCTGCCTCCCGCTCCGGGCAGCGCCTGGGGCCAGCCTCGGGCCCTGGCTCAGCCCAGAGTCGGGGATGTGGTCAGCCAGGCGTTTAAAAGAGAAAGCCAGCAAGCGTCCTTTGCGTCTTTCCGTCCTTTGTTTCTCTCTTGTGACTTGAGGATGCTCTAAGTCAGGCTTGAGGAGTTGCAGAGGCTCAAAGAAGAAATCACAGCATCTATTCCTAGGGTGGGCAGGCCCCGGAACTGCCAAATGTAAAATAAACCATGTGAACTGAATGAGAAGAGGGGTAGAGGTGTTATGAAAAAGCAACTCAAAACAGGAGATTCCTTATGGCCTCCTTGGCACGTGCTACTTGGATTGGGAACTGAGGGTCAATCTGTTTAGAAGTCAGCGCATCCCAGGGGCTAGGCAGCTGATGCTGGTCCTCACAGAGCCCCCGACAGGGGTGCAAAGCGGGTAAATGCTACACCTCAACATCCCTCTTCAGGCCCTGCACTGCTGTCCTTCGATTTTATTAACTTCCTCCTTGACATGGGCCAGGCCTCCTCCCAGCCCTTCCTTGCCTCGGGTCCCCCAGGGCGTGGCTGCAGACAGGGCTGACTCTGCAGGTTGGCAGGCACTGCAGTGGCTGTGTCTAGTCACTGTACCCGAGTCCCCATCCCAAGTCCACACCACACCTGTAGTGGGTTGAATGGTGGCCCCCACAAAAGATAAGCCCATGTCCCAGAACCTGTGACTGTTTCCTTGTTTGGAACAAGGACCTTTACAGGTGTGATTAAATGAAGGCTCTCGAGGCCAGATGATCCTGGGTGATCTGGGTAGATCCTAAGTAGCCAACGACAGATGTCCTCCTAAGAGACAGAGGAGAAGACACAGGGAGAGGCAAGGGCCGTGCCCATGCGGAGACAGAGGCAGAGATGGAGGAGAGCTTGGAGCCACCAGAAGGCAGAAGAGACGAGAATATTCTCCAGGAGACCCTTTGGGGAAGCACAGCCCAGACACACCTGGATTTTAGACTTCTGGCCCCCAGAACTGGGAGAGAGTAAGTTCCTGTTGTTGAAGGCACCCAGGTCATGGTCCTTTGTGGCAGCCCCAGTGCCATCAGCCTTCCCCAGTGATCCCTCTCCATCTGTCTCTGCCACCGCCCTCCCTCCCTGAGAAGGCAGCGGTGGGCGGTCATGCCCTGTCCCATCTGCTCACTCACACAGGCCTCATTCTTGGCCAATCTGTAAACAGGCACCTGCTTGGGCAGGACTCTGGCAGCAAGTGCTGGAGTCCAAGTGCACTCAGCATCAGCCAGAGCAGCCTTATAAGATCATGGGCCCACCAAGGGCAGGGAGGCCCATAGCTGGAGACGCAGGGCCCTCTCACCAGTGGCAGCCACAAAATGCAGGAGGGCCTGTGATGAGCCCTACCTAGGTTGGGCGTGCAGCCACACCTCATCCCTGAGGCAGTCCCTGGGATGATACCGATGGCTCGGTCTTGGACCAGGTTGTGCAGACAGCTTTCAGCTACCAAGCAGGTGGAGGCAGCAAAGACATGGAGGTGGGCTGTACTAGTGAGGGCTGTCCAGAGGGACAGATCAATAGAATAAATGTAAGGGAGTTTAATAGGGAGAATTGGCTCATACGATTATAAGGCAAAGCCCCACAATAGGCTGCCTGCAAGCTGGGAAAAGAGAGAAGCAAGTGGTGTGCTCAGTCTAAGTCCAGAAGCCTCAAAGCCATGGAAGCTGACAGTGCAGCCCTCAGTCTGCAGTCAAAGGCCCAAGAGCCCCCGAGAGGCTGCTAGTGCAGGCCCCAGAGTCCAAAGGCTGGAGAACCTGGAGTCTGATGTCCAAAGGCAGGAGGAGAAGACGCAAGCATCAGGCATGGGAAGAGAACGCAGAGACTCAGCAAGCTGCTTATCCCCCTTCTTCTGCCTGCTTTGTACCAGCTGCGCCGGGAGCCAATTGGATGTTGCTCACCCACACTGAGGGTGGGCCTTCCTCTCGCAGTCCGCCCACTAGAATGTCAGTCCCCTCTGGCAACACCCTTGCAGATACACCCGGAACGATGCCTCCCTCGCCATCTAGGCATCCCTCAATCCAGTCAAGTTGACACTGAATATTAACCATCGTGCTGATGAAAAAAATCCAAATCCTATAAAATATTTGAAGAGATTTATTCTGAGCCAAATGTGGGGACCATGACCCATGACACAGCCACAGGAGGTCCTGAGAACAAGTGTCCAAGGTGGTTGGTTTATAACTTAGTTTTATATGTTTTAGGGAGATGTAAGACATCAACCCATGTATGCAAGGTATGCATTGGTTCAGTCCAGAAAGGCAGGACAACTTGGAGTAAAGTGGAGGCTTACAGATCATAGGTGGAGTCAAAGATTTTCTGATTGGCAATTGGTTAAAAGGGTTAAGTTTTTAATGTTTTTTTAAATTATACTTTAAGTTCTAGGGTACATGTGTATAACGTGCAGGTTTGTTACATATGTATACATGTGCCATGTTGGTGTGCTGCACCCATTAACTCATCATTTACATTAGGTATATCACTAAACCTATATAGCGATACTATACCTATATAGTATAATGCTATCCCTCCCCCCTCCCCGCACTCCACAACAGGCCCCAAAGTGTTAAGTTATTATCTAAAGACCTGGAATCAATAGAAAGGAGTGTCTAGGTTAAGAGAAGGGGGTGTGGAAACCAAGGTTTTTATTATATAGATGAAGTCTCTTAGGTGGCTACCCTTAGAGGAAATAGAGACTTTTAGAAGGTTTTAGACTCTCAGTTAATCTCTTCAGGAGCAGAAAAAAGACCTGAAAATGGAGGAGAATTCTCCATAGAATATTGATTTCCATCACAAGAGACAGCTTTGCAGGGCCATTTCAAAATATGTCAAAAAAATACATTTTGGAATAAAATACTTTGATATTTCTTCAGGGCCTGCTATGTGTCATGTGATGCTATGGTAGAGTCATGCTGGAATTTGATATCTTACTGCTACCAAGAGTCTGCTTTTTTTTTTTTTTTTTGAGATAGAGTCTTGTTTTGTCACCCAGGCTGGGGTTCAGTAGTGCAATCTCAGCTCACTGCAACCTCCACCTCCTGGGCTCAAGTGATTCTCCTGCCTCAGCCTCCCAAATAGCTGGGACTGCAGGCAAGCACCACCACACCCAGCGAATTTTTCGTATTTTCAGTAGAGACGGGGTTTCACCACATTGGCCAGGCAGGTCTCAAACTCCTGACCTCAGGTGATCCACCCACCTCAGCCTCCCAAAGTGCTGGGATTACAGGCATGAGCCACCCCACCTGGCCAAGAGTCTGCTTTGTCAGTCTTAAGATGTCTGTTTTAATGCTAATGCTGGTCAGCTGTGCCTGAACTCCACGGGGACGAAGGCATAATGAGTCATGTCTGACCCCTTCTTGGCCATCATGGCCTGAATTAATTCTTTAGGTTTCTTTAGAATTCCCTTAACTGAGAAGGGGGTCCGTTCATTCAGCTGCCAAGCTTAGGATTTTATTTTTGGTTTTTACCATCACACGGGGAACCTGCAAGTCAACGGCTCCCTGGTGTGTGTCTACCTCCAGGCACAGGCCTCAGGCCAGTCCTCCTCCCCTCTTCCTTGCTCTTTTCCTGTCTCTCCCTGTGGAGTTGCCACCACACAGCAAACTCCTCCAAGACCCCAGTCATCAACCCTCCACTGATCTCACATCCTTGGGCTTCCCCAACTCCATTCACCTGGATGGGAGCCAGGGTTCACCTTGCTTGGATCAAACTAAACCATTTCTCTCTCTCCTCCTCCACACTCGGATCTCCCTCTTCAGCAAAAGTGTCGGACACTCTGACTTTTGGGGATTGAGTTTCTCTGGCCCCCGCCATTCCACCTGTCTTCCTTGGATTGTCCCCACTGCCCGAGAGGGAAGGATACACCCACCTCATCTTCCCCCATCGTCTCCTTGACCTGCTCTTGCTAGACTGCAACCTCTTTCCATTTCTCTTTGCAACCATGTTCCCTTGTGGGGCTGGATTGCAGCCCATGTGTTAGAGAAACCTGGCTGGAAGTTTAGGTTGCTCTGCCCAGAAGCCGTGAGAGTAACGGGGAGGTGATAGATGTGAAGGATGGAAGACCTTGTAGCAATTTGGACAGAGACTGTATGGCGCCGCCCAGAGAGACGGTGTTCCCTACCCAGTGGTGTTTATTTATAGGATGGCCATGACTACGTAAAGGTTATGAACCCATGTGATTGGTAGAAAACAGGAAAACCCTGAAGGGAGGGCTTTCCATTTTTAATGCCTATTATTGTTACAATGCTCTTTGCACAAAAAGAAATACAAGGTTTAGCTCATTTGCCACTTGGCTATCATTCCATGGCTGGGGGCGTCATTCTCCCACATAGCAGCACTGAGCAGCTTGGCATTGGTGGGTTGTTTTGTGTTTTTTGTTTTGTAAATACAAACCTCAGGCTTGTCAGAGAATAACCCAGAAAACTGGCACTATTGCCAAAAACCGTAATGGCAGGAAGAGTGTGGAATCCGCAGCTACAACTGGCTCCACGTCTGCAGGGAAGCAGCAGGGGACGCCTCCGTTACTGTGAAGTCCTCTGCGTGGAGATGAGCTCGGAGCAGCCGAGGAGCCACCACTTTCAGCATCAAACCTTTGAAGCATTTTCGTAGAAGTTTTTTTTTTTAAATGGATTAACCACTTCTCCAACCTCTTAAGAGAACCACACTAAACAGTATTCTTTTCTCTACAAACTCAAGGTCATCAACATGAACATAGACCTCTCTTGAACTGAGATGGGCCACAGTGAGGATCCCAGGACTCAACGGGTGGGGGTTTGCAGGAGACCTCAGAGACTATGCCTCTACATGAGAGCTTTGTAAATTCTTTGTAGATTCTTTTATTTCTGAAACAGTGCAGCCAAGTGCTGATGTTCGTTGAAGCTGGGTGATAGGTACACAGAGGTCCCTGGTAATCTCTACTTTTACGTAAGTAGAGGATGGAAATTATGTGTGGAAATTTCTACCATAAAATCTTGAAATTTTTTCCCCTGTTTTGTACAGTTTTTCCTGTCTTCTAAGAAAGATCTTGGTGTCGGGCTGGACAGATGTCATTCCCTGCTGTTTCCAGCATGCCCACCTCTAACCTGCTGCTTCTCATCAACTAGGACCCTACAGTCTAGAAACTCCTAACTCCTGTTAGCACTTCAGGTAAAGCACAGGTCCCCAGGCTCTGCCTGAAGGATTTTTTTTCGTAGGAATTTACTCCAAAGATATACCCCACTATACAAAAACACCTGTATATAAAGTTATCTAGTAGGGCACCGTGGCTTATGCCTGCAATCTCAGCACTTTGAGAGGCTGAGGCGGGTGGATCACTTGAGGTCAGGAGTTCGAGACCAGCCTGGCCAACATGGTGAAACCCCATCTCTACTAAAAAAATACAAAAATTAGCCAGGTGTAGTGGCAGGCACCTATAATCCCAGCTACTTGGGAGGCTGAGGCAGGGAGAATTGCTTGAACCCAGGAGGTAGAGGTTGCAGTGAGCAGAGATCGCACTGCTGCACTCCAGCCTGGGTGACAGAGCAAGACTCTGTCTCAATAAAATAAATAAATAAATAAATAAAGTTATCCAGTATAGCAGGGATTTTTTATAATTAAAAAATATTGAATGCCCACACACAGGAAATGTGTCGAATTAATGGTGGCACAGAGTGGGGCACTATGCAGCTGTGGAAAGAGAAAGATTGCTGTGAACTCACGTGGCATGTCAAGACACCATATTAAGTGATATAAGCAAGGGGCACAGAAGTATATATATAATGTTAACTTTTGTTTAAGGAAGGAAAGGAAATAAGTACATATACTTATTCTTACAAAAAGAAACCAAAATAAACCAGACATGAAATAGGTTTGGAGGAATGGGTAGGAATGGTATGGGTAGGATAGGAAGGAATTGGTACTTCTCTGAGTATACCATATCTCTTTTGTATAGTTTTTGATTCTTGGAACCAAGTTAATGTTTTACATATTCAAAAAAATTGAGTCAACAAAGAAGGAAGGGAAAAACATAAAGCTATATACACACAGAAACAAATGAATCCAGCTGCATCTCACAGGGCTGACATAACTGCTGTAATTCCCAAAGTCAACTGTGCCCACAGCCCCCATCCCACCAATTCTTGGTGGAAATGATTTGGGGCCAGCTTCAGGAACATGCCTTCACTCCTGCTCTTGAAGCCTTGAGCTTCTGTACAAGAAGTTCAGCCTCCTCTGCTGGAAAGGGAGTTGTGGAGGGGGAGCTGAGGCCCCACATGAGTGATGAAGCCATCTCGGACATCCATCCAGGCTGAGTCCTTGCCTGACTTCACACTATCTGCTACACCCAGATGAGACGCCCCAAACAAGAACCACCCAGCTGAACACAGTCAACCACAAAATTGTGAGGATAATGAAATGTTTTTACACCTCTAAGTGTTGGGTAGTGTGTTATAAGGCAACAGATGACCAGAACAGTAACCACATAGAAGGGGAAAAAAAACATATTAAAGTAACATTTGAGGATAACCTCAGTCGAGAGAGAAAAACATCCTTTTGCTGGGTATAAATCTTGAACTTTACTCAGTATGTTTATTTTTGAAACTATTTTGTGTGTGTGCTATGATTGTGTAAATGAGTAATTATAAAGATGTAGGAAAAGGAGAAACAAATGTGAAATAGTGGAAGGCAAGTCAGAACTTTGCAGCATTAGGCTAACCTGAGACCGGTTTGGACGAACTTATAGCCAAGATACCTATATAAATATGAATACCACACACAAAACTTGAAAATGTTTGTGTGTGTGGTATTCATATTTATATAGGTATCCTGGCTCTGTCCATGGAAAGTGCTCTGAAACAGTGACACCCATCAGCAGTGAGCACACTAGTGGCCACACTTGGTCTCTAAATCCCATTCTTCACTAAGAGAAAGCAGAGTTCTTTGGAGAAGTGGTTGAGTCCAGGACCAAAGCAAGTGAGAGAAGCCTAGAATGTCTTGTTTCTGCCACAAAGTAAAAAAAAATATGCTCAAAATATGATTGAAGCATATGAAAAGGAGGGGGCTCCCACCGGCCAAACCAAAGGCAACGTGAGTATCAAGATGAATAGTAAGACCAATGGGCTAGAATGCATTAAATTTGTTAAAAAGAGAGAAACACCATGTGTCCATATTTATTTTAGAAAGAAACAGAAGAGAAGAAAATGTCTTCTACTGTAAATAGAATATCAACTAATAAATGTGGAAGGAATGATAAGGGTTAGAAAATAATAATTTTGCAACCAATACAGTAATAAATGATTCACGCAAGAATCAGCAACAGATGCTAAAACCAATGAGTCAAAGTATATTAGGAAACAGCTTGTTTCTTCAGTTTCAAAGTTTCAAAAAAATGTATGTTGACAGTGGAGGACTCTGCAACATCACCTTAACCAAGTGATCAAAGTAACATCTCTAACCATGGGACAAAGGGACTTTGTGTGCCTCGTGATATGGTACACTGAGAAGGACACAACATCAGTTGTTTCGTGTCCTTGCCAAAAATGCAACCATAAATAAAATCATAAGGCAACCATGAGACAAATCCAAATTGAGGGGCATTGTACCAAACAAGTGGGCTGTACTCTTCAAAAATGTCGTAAAACACAAAAGACACACAATGTTATAGCGGCATTATTCAGAACAGCCAAAAGGCTGAAGCAACTCAAGTGTCCATTGACAGATAAATGGATAAAATCTGGTATACACCTACAATGCTGTATTATTCAGCCTTAAAAAAGAAAGAAAATCTGACACATGCTACAACATGGATGAATCCTGAGGACATTATTTGAGTGAAATAAGCCAATCACAAAAGATTATATGATTCCATTTTAATGAGGTACCTAGACAGAAAGTAGAATGGTGGTTGCCAGAGGCTGGGGAGAGGAGGAATGGGGAGTTAGTGTCTCATAGGTACAGAGGTTCAGTTAGGGAAAATGAAAAAGTTCTGGAGATGAATGGAGGTGATGGTTGCATGGCAATGTGAATAAACATGACTGACACCACTGGAATGTACATGGTTAAGATGGCAAATGTTAAATTATGTGTTTTTTACCACAATTAAATAAACTTTTTTAACAAGACAAAAGGAAGCTCAAGAATATTAATAGACACGACAAACAAAAGCATTGTGCAATCCTGCATTGGGAGTTGGGGGTAGAGATGCTACTAAGCACATTATTAGGACAATGGGCAAGATGTGGCTGCAAACTGCATTTTTTGATAATAGTATTATATCAATGTTACATTTTCTGAATTTGATAACTTTATCATACCGTGCTGGAGAATGTATTATTATTTTTATTATGAATTATTTTTAGGAGGTGTGCACTGAACTTTTAGAGCTTAAAGGTGATGATGTCTGTGACTTACTTTTGTATGTTCCAGGCAACCCAGACCCTGGATCTGCTTGGTCTTGCCCAGCTTTTTAGGCACTCGGACGCTAGGCAGCTGAGCTGGGAGAGGGGCATCCACCAGCCTCAGAGCCACCACATGGCTCTCCACTCCTTCCATCCCTGATAAGCACAGGTGACTCCATCTGGAACTTCATGTCCTTGAACTCCAGGACTCCTCAGCCACCAGGAAGGACCGGGAGCTCTGAGGCTGGTTTCCGCAGGAGTCGGCCCGAGCTGGAGACATCTGACCAGTGGTGATGGGGCCGGCTCCGCTCCCTCCATCCCACCAGGCCAGGTGAGGTAGAGCCAGAGAGGGCATCTGAGCGGGAGGCAGGGCCCCTTCATAGTGTGGTCCCTGGCTCCCCTGTCCCTGGGGGTTAGGAGGGTCTTGGGGGCAGCCGGGAGCAGAGCCCAGGGCCGCAGGAGGAGCAACTTTGGCTGCCCTTTCCTTGGGGCTCTGGCCAAACGCCAGCCTCTGCAAGAGTCCAGACCCAACTTTGCCCAGGGTGCCTGTGGAGGGTGGGCTGCTCAGACCCGTGCGTCCCCACAGAGGGGCCGGAGTCCCACTTCCATGGGGGCAGGGAGTGCCCAGTGCATCCTTTTCCCTAGAATGCCTCACCTCTGGGAAAGCTGTCACTGGTTTCGAGCCAGCTGGTCCGCCTGGGACCGTGTCCCCTTCACCATATTGGGCAGGCTCAGCGTGGGCTCGGCCATGCCATGGGACAAGGTATGCCTATGGGCTCCTGGCTGCCTGGGCCCCCGCCTCGGCCCACCTTCACACACAGCTCAGCAAGAGCTTGCTCTGGGCACTGGGCTGAATTCCTTCACAAGGGGGAGAAGGGGAAAAATATAATCTAAAAATACAATATGACAAAGTGCTGGCCTTCAGCTTGTGTGGGCCACTGGTGAAAACTGTGCCAGCTTCCTGGCAGGCTCGGGAGGGCAGGGAGATGCAGGTTCCCGCAGCTCACAGTAAAGTGTTGTGAACCCACGAAGGACCGCTCCAGGCCTGCGCTCCAGCACCAGCCACCGCCGTCCACCCCACACAACAGAGGTTTCATCACCACATTCTTAGTGCTTTGGAAAGACCTGCTTGACCTTTCTATGACCTAAAATTAACGCTCCGAAAGCTCGAAAGCTCCTTAAAATATTACCTTTCTCCTCCCTCCCGAAAATCTTAAGTTTGTGTCTCTGCCAAGGACTGGGGGTTAGATCTGGAGCAAACCAAGGGCCGGCTTTCCCGGAGAGGCCCTGGGGGCCAGCATGGCCTCGGTGCTGGCCTTCTTGTCCCTCTCGGTGAAAAAGGGTGATGGGAAAGCACGACCCTTGGCCCGGCTCAGTGCACTTCATGCTCCCTCCTGGTAACATCAAAAAGATGAAAACTTTTAATCCCACCCTGGACCCAAAAGTGTTGCTCTTGGCTCCAGAACAACAAAGTAAGAGTAATTAATAGAAGGCCAGAGACTCAGGAAAACAGCAACTGATTTCATGAGGCTATGAGGACCCTTTACGAGAGCCTGTGGCACCCCATCCTGCTCGCTCCCCGGCAGAATGGCTGTGGCTCCCGAGAACAGATGGCAAAGGGATGCACCTTTATGCCAGAGACGCACAGCATTCCCTAAACTCCCAGTCATTCAGCAGCAAAGCCTCCCGTGAAGGCAGGACAGGAAAGAGCCGCAGCTCTGTGAGTTAGGGGAGGAGGTGCTATGAACCACACTCCCTCGGCATGGTGCAGGGCACCGGCAGGTGCCTGGGTCACCTTCCTGTCTTAATTGTACCAGGTCTAGACCCAGCTACTGGGAGGTGAGGTAGACCCAGCAGTCCTGGGAGCTCTCTCCCCGCAAAAAAGACCAGTCCCTGTATGCATCTGCAGATTCCCCAGCAAAGGCAGCAAAACATACCCCCAACCCCTGCTGGGGACCTACCCTGAATATTTCCTACCCTTAGGAAATAATAATCTTCCTTCCTTCCCTCCTTCCCTCCCTCCCTCCCTCCCTTCCTTCCTTCCTTCTCTCCTTCCTTCCCTCCCTCCCTCCTTCCTTCCTTCCTTTATTCCTTTTTTCCTGTCTTCCTTCTTTCTCTCTCTTCCTTTCTCTCCTTCCTTCCTTCCCTCCTTCTCTCCCTTCCTTCATTTATTTATTTATTTCTCTCTCTCTCTTTCTTTCTTTCTTTTTCTTTCCTTCCTTCCTTCTTTCCTTCCTTCCTTCTTTCTTTCTTTCAACAGAATCTCACCCTGTCACCTAGGCTGGAGTACAGTGGCGTGATCCCAGCTCACTACAGCCTGAACCTCCCAGGCTCAAGTGATCCTCCCGCTTCAGCCTCCTGAGCAGCTGGGACTATAAGCATGTGCTACCATGCCTGGGTATTTTTTTTGTAGAGCTGGGGTCTTGTTATGCTGCCCAGGCTGGACTCCCCTGGGTTCAAGTGATCCTCCTGCCTTGGCCTCCTAAAGCACTGGGATTACAGGTGTGAACCACCACGCCTGGCTATACACCTTTTAAATGTTGTTTCTGCTCACATTTGGTGGGGAAGAAGCCTCTATCTGAGGTTTGTTTTCTGAGAAGCACATGGGGTGTGGAGGGAGGGGCCTGGGGAGAAAGAACGTCACCATTTGACAGCCATGCACAGGAAAGGTGGGTGAACCTGGGCAAATCTCTGGAACCATCTAAGCTTCCCAATTAAAACGTCAGCCCCACAAGACCGGTGTCTGCTTGGTGTGTGCACACATATGAACTCATCAAGTAGGCAGGGAAGATATTCACATTCCAAGAAGAAAATACAGCTTGGAGAGTGTAAATCTCGTTCAAGGTCACAGGCTGAACACTGGCCAAGCCAGGAATAAAAATCAAGTCCTCTGACTCCAAGCCCTGGGCGCTTTCTGCTGCAGCACCTGGGCTTCCAGAAATCTTAAGCATCTCAAATACAGCCATGAAATGGAGAATCAATTTTAAAGTCCCTCTGAGCGGCAGTAAAAATATCTACTGGAGAGGCGGCCTCACCCCAAGATCCCAAGGGTTGCATTAAATCTAATATTAAGATTACGAGTGTGACAGAGTTGTTTGTCGGATCGGTCCTGTTGTAAGGAACAGAGATGTACTCAGGTTGCTGGGGTTAATGAGGTCAGGGCTGGAGAGACGCAGGAAGCTGGGAGAAACGTTGCGAGCTCAGAGCAGGCCTTTCAGAGGGCGGGAATGTTACCCAGAACACGCTTGTTTGCCACTGCTCAGCCACGAAGTCCGTCACTGATTCTCAGGTACTCCACTTCCAGGCCCCGGCCAGGCCAGCTGGCCCCTTTCCCTTCTCTCCAGTCTCAGCACTTGGCTTTCCTCCTGCCCCTCCTGGCTTCTGTCTCGCATCCCCACGCTGGACTCACCAGACCCTATCACTCTCTCCTGAGCTGCTTTAGAGTGTGCTTGTGGAGCAGAGCTTTCCTGCCAGGTCAGGCCAGAGGCCACTGGGCAGTCTGCCAAGAGTGGCCTGGGGTCAGTTTCCTACCCTGGTCCATCCAGTTGGCTGTGGCCAGCATGACTCAATTACAGAGGCAGCCTCCTCAGAAGGCAGAGTGGGGCTGCGGTAGGAACAGAGACAAAAGCAACGGATGCCAATTTCCCCCAATAGTCTCTCTTTTTTTTTTTTTTTTTTTGAGACAGGGCCTCGCTCTACCACCCAGGCTGGAGTATAGTGGTGCAATCAAGACTCACTGCAGCCTGGACCTCCCAGGCTTAAGCAATTCTCCTGCCTCAGTCTCCTAAGTAGCTGGGACCACAGACACAAAAAATAATTTTTTTTTTTATTTTTCATAGAGATGAGGTCTCACCACGTTGCCCAGGCTGGTCTCGAACTCCTGAGTTCAAGCAATCCTCCTGCCTCGGCCTTCCAAAGTGTTGGGATTACAGGTGTGAGCTACTGAGCCCGGCCACCCCTGATAATTTTTGATGCCTCCCCATCTTGTCCCAAATGACCCTCAGTATCAGCAGAAGGAACAGGTGTCAGTGCGTTCAGGCTGCTGTAATGAAATGCCATGACCCGGATGGCTCCTGAACAGTGAGATCTGTCTCTCGCAGCTGCGGAGGCTGCGAAATCCAAGAGCCAGGCAGATGCAGTGTCTGGTGAGGGCTACTTCCTGGTTCACAGATGGTGCCTTCTTGCTGTGCCCTCACATGGTGGAAGGGGCAAGGGAGCTCTCTGGGGCCTCTTTTTTAAGGGCACTGATCCCATTTCTGAGGACTCTGCCCCCATGACCTCATCACTTCCTAAAGGCCCCTTCTCCTAATACCATCACCCTGGAGGTGAGGATTTCAACCTATCAATTTTGGAGGGACACAAATGTTCGGCCCATAGCAAATAGAAATTGCAGACAACCTCCCGAGGTGCTGAGTCCACATTGGTGAAAAAACTTACTTGTGCATAAAATGTTTGTTCCTTACATGCACGCAAGCTTACGGTGATGGCCTGGCTTGTTTGTCAAGGCTTGGTGTTTCTGCGCAGCACAGGGCGGGCTGTCGCTGGTTGCCCTGATTTGCATTCCCCTCCCCGTAGTGAGAAGATCCAGTCCTCACCACTGAGCTCAGGAGGGCTTCTCGGCCAGGGAAGTGTGGGCCAAGTCATGTGGGACACTTCCCATCAGAAACACAGAGAGCCAGCCTGTGGTTCTGGAAGTCTCCCTGCCCTCTTTGCATGAGCCTGGCAATGTCCCAGGTGGAGCCGCTCCTGTCCAGGACGTTAGGGAGCAGAGCCACAGCCCATGGGTGGTGGAGTGAGAAGTCGCCCTGTAGTTGTAAGCCCTGAGAATTGGATTGTTCCCACAGTCCTTAGAGGCTGTGAAGGTTTTTGCCATAAATCTAGCTTGTTTCTTATTGATACACCCTCTTCTTTTTATCTGTATTTGCTGTGTGTTCCTGTTTTTCATCCTTTAAAAAAAAAAAAAAACTGGCAGGGCGAGGTGGCTCACGCCTATAATCCCAACACTTTGGGAAGCTGAGGTGGGCGGATCACCTGAGGTCAGGAGTTCGAGACCAGCCTGGCCAACATGGTGACACCCCATCTCTACTAAAAATACAAAAATTATGGTGGTGCATGCCTATAATCCCAGCTACTCAGCAGGCTGAGGTAGGAGAATCACTTGAGCCCAGGAGGTGGAGGTTGCAGTGAGCCAAGATTGTGCCACTGGACTCCAACCTGGATGACAGGGTGAGACTCTCTCAGAAAAACAAAACAAAACAAAAACAAAGTCTCTGCCTTGTTTTATGTGTCTCTTTGTGAGCAGCATCTAGCTGAATTTGGGGGATGAAGGTTTAATCCTGTAGTCTCCGGTTTTTGTACATGAGTTTAATCCCTTTACAGTTATAGTTAATACTAAAGTAATTAAAATTGTTTCTATTATTGTATGTGATATTTCATTTGCCATGATTTTTGTTTGCTTTCTTTTATCTTTTCTGCCTTTTCTAAGCATGATAACATTTTTGGATTTTTCTTTTCCCCCCAAGATGGTTTGGCAGCTGTAGATTTTTGTTTCTATTCTTGACAGTGACTATCCTTCATTTTTAGTCTACATTCGGCACTCTGGGTTTTTTCTAATGAAATCTAAAGTATCTACGTCCTTTTTCTAAACAAGGAACGTTATTTCCTGTATCTTGCCCTATCTTTGTTATTGTTATTGTTTATAAATGCACAAAGGTGAAGTGTTTTTACAGCGAGCAGGTACTTTATGGACACATTTGACCAGCAGCATGCAGAGATGGGGTTTATGTTTGGTCGACTTGCTCACAGTGGCTTCCGGCCCGAGGGTTGTGTCATTCCTGGGCTTGGGACCCTTCTTGGCGTTGTCTGTTCAATCTCACTCCCCCACCTGATGCTCCTCTTTCCCGGACCTCCTCCAAGACGGGCCAGAGTTGCCCGGCCAACTCTGCCAGTCTCTTGCCTGCTCTTTTGTGGTGATTTTCTTTTGAAATCTCAGTTGCTGTGTGATGCGTTCTTGGAGAATTCCTTACGTCCGTCTTCCGTTTCACCCGAGATCTGTTTGCCTGAATTTGCTGAGGATTTTATTGCATTTGCTGGTTTCCTTTTTATTTCAATGAGCATCTTTTTAATTTTCAGGTTTACTAATTAGATATTTTCCATTTCCATCAGTTCTGATCCTTTTCATTTCTGCCAAGTTTTGTGTATAGCCAATTACTCTTTTTAGGCTATTTCTTGTCTTTCCTCTTTAAGATGCTAAAAAACTTACTTTAAGGTCATTTTCCTGTTGCTGTGGTTCTCCCCCGTGTCCCTCTCCACACTCCTCCTTCTCTCCCTGTCCACGCCTCTCACATACACTCAACCCTGTCTGCCCTGAGGGTTTGCATCGGTCTTCGCCCAGCCTCCAGGGATGCCCTCCGTGAACCAGGTTTCATGTCCCACAGAGCATCGGCTAAATCACAAATAGAGTAATGGCATTGGTGGTGCCTTACCTGGGTCCTGGACAGGAGGCTGCTTCCTCTCACCTCCTGGTCCTTGAATCTGTGGAAGCTAAAGCCCGAGAAGCACTCAGCTGGAATTTTCTTTCTGTTCCCTCTCTGGGGTGGGGGTCTCTCTGTGCAGTCAGCTGGCCTCTGCTCCCAACCGTGGGGGCTGCACCAGGTGCCAGCACTTCCCCGACATTGGTTCCGGACCGGAAGCCCCATCTCAGACCCCACCCACGGGTTTTGTTCTGTCTGTTTTTGGTGTCTGTGATGCTTGGCTTGTTTTGTTGAAATATGTTTTCTCTAATGCTGCTGCGTATTCGGAGCAGAGAAGAGGCCTCAGTGCATGAACTTGTAGGGCCGTGCTGTCCAGAAATCCGGAAGTTTCATTTCTTTGTTTACATAAATCAACTTAAACCCAACTTGGAGCCCCACCCTGTGGGGCTGGCAGAAAATGCAACTCTCTCCCCTCCTAGAGTCCCTCCAGGATCCAGAAGCTTCCATGGTGCCCAGAAGAGCTGAAGGGCTGGGAGCTGTCACCACTGCCTCAGTGCCACTCGCACGCAAGTCCCGCTGCCCTCAGGCTGATGGCTGTTCCTCCACCCTGCCCGATGCCTGGGGATCCTTGCCGGGGATGAGAGCCTCAGGGCACAACATGGGCAGCCGTGTGCGCTCCACCCTCCCAGGCTGTGCCTTGGAGCTGTGCTCAGACCTCAGGTCCTTGGGGACACCAGCCTCCTCCTTTTCCCAGCCTCAGTGAATCTTGCCCTCTCCCTCCCACTCGCCTCCTGGGTTTGGGTTTTTATGAAATGGGTTTAGGTTTTTACAAAAGACAGAAAGAGCCTTTGGCTTTGAGCTGCTTTGGCGTTCTGCCTGGAAAAAAAATCCCCGAGGCAAAAAAATTACAAAGAGCCGGGTGATCTGCTTGAAATTGGATGAGGGGGAGAAATAAGAAAGCAAAACAAAGATTAATATCTCCACCCACCCCCTCAAAGTGTATTCCATCACACATCCCATTAAGAGCTGGCGAATGAATGGGCTGCCATTCTGAGAAGGGCCAATTCTTGGGGGAAACAGCTGGCAGTCACCACGTCCAGAAGCCGGCGATGTGGGGGCAACTGAGGCAGGGGCCACGGCCCAGCCAGTCGAGCAGAACTGGAAGGATCACAGCCCAGCCCCGGCTCGGAATGGCCCCTCGGCAACCACCCTGAGTTACCGACAAAATGCCGACGGACTGTTTCAAACTTGTATTCTCTTAAGCACGTTGGGAGAGTATGTTTCTGTGGTTTAGAACGCTTACTATCAAAAGAGCATTTTGAACATAATTTTGTCCCTTAAAGAGGTAAGCTTCAATTACTTGAGAACTTCATGGAAGCCTCGCATTTTGCAGCAATGCCGGGTCCGTGCGTACCATCGTCTGTCCTGGTTGTGTCTCTGTGTTCTCCATGTGAGAGGGCGGGGAGGGCCGACCAGGGCTGTTGAGGCTCAGGTTCCTCGCGAACTCTGCAGGGACTCCTGGGCACGCCACTCCCCTTTTGCCCCCCATGGCATTTATCTGTAAAGTAAGAGTTCTGCTGGGTTAAATGGCGCCACCTCCAAAAGATATGTCCAACAGGAACATCAGAGTGTGCCCCTAGTTGGCCCAAGGGCCATGTCATTAAGATAAGAATCTCGAGATAAGATCATTCTGGTTTAGGGTAAGCCCTAAACCCAATGCCAGGAGTCCTTAGAAGAGAAGAGAAGGGGAGAAGACACAGAGCCACGGGGAAGGAGGCCACGTGGAGACAGAGGCAGAGGTTAGAGTGATGCATCCAGCAGCCAGGCTTCCCCGCACCTGCCAGGAGCTGCAGAGAGCCCCGGAGAGATTCCCACTCACAGCCGCAGAAGAAACCAGCCCTGCCGCCGTGATGTAGGACTTCCGGCCTCCAGAACTGTGGGAGGACACATTTCTGTTGTTTGAAGCCACCCAGTTTGGGGTCATTTTTTATGACACCCCTAGGAAACTAATTCAGGAGGTTAAACTAAATCATTTCGAAGCCTCCTCAGAAATCTCCAGGCTATGGTTAGGAAGCGGGGTCCTGAATGTGGAATCCCTCTGAAGAACACAGCACACATATTCCCGTCTCCATCGTCTCCCTTCTCTCTGGAATCCGGGCCGGCCGAGAGGAAGCTGCCCTTCCCAGGCTGCTGCACCAGAGGACTGGGGGCCTGCCAGTGAAGCTTACAAGAGAAATGGCTGTAGGATGCAAAGATAGTTAGCCTGGGAAAGAGGAGACGTCCAGGGCCGTGGTAAGTTGAAAGCTTCTCATTTGGAAAAGAGATTAATCTTATTTTCGGTATTTCCAGAGGCAGCCCTGCAAGAGGAGTCAGATCTCTTTTCTTATTTCTTTCTTTCTTTATTTAGAGATAGAGTCTTGCTCTGTCGCCCAGGCTGGAGTGCAGTGGCACGATCTGGGCTCACTGCAACCTCTGCCTCCCAGGTTCAAGCGATTCTCCTGCCTTGGCCCCCCGAGTAGCTGGGATTACAGGTGCCTGTCACTATGCTCGGCTAATTTTTTATTTTTAGTAGAGATAGGGTTTCACCATGTTGGCCAGGCTGGTCTCGAACTCCTGACCTCAAGTGATCCGCCTGCCTAGGCCTCGCAAAGTGCTGGGATTACAGGTGTGAGCCACTGCACCTGGCCAGGCTGGTCTCGAATTCCTGACCTCAAGTGATCCACCTGCCTTACCCTCGCAAAGTGCTGGGATTACAGGCGTGAGCCACCACGCCCGGCCCAGATTTCCTTTCAGTACAATTTCCTACAGGGAGAAGACTGCAGCCCTGGAAGGGCAGAACCTGCCTCTGCTGGTAGCTGTGCAGGCAGGTAAGGGTGAGAGAGGGTCACAGCCCTGTGGGTGTTTGGGCTGGACAACCTGAGACCCCTTTTAAATCTGAGTTTTTGAAAGTTCATTATTCCTTGGGCTTTTTAGATCTCACCAATACAATTTAATTCCACAAAATCAGAAATCTCCAGTGAGCAGGGCCCAGGAATCTGCATTCATGCAAAGAGCCGTTGTGTCTCAGGCAGTCTGGAGACTCAGGCTAGTGACTGAGTGTTCCCTCAGCTGAATACAACCCGACCACAGCCAGCTACAGCCCCAGGGCTTGACCCACTGGGGACACCCCAAGACCACCTGCCCTGGCTTGGGAGGAGCTCCCCTTCTCTGCTGCGGGGTTGGGTCCTTGCCCTATGCAAATGCCCTTGTTGGCTGCAGATGGATCAGCCTCTCTCTTCCCATTTCTGAATTTTGGCCAAGATTAATAATAGGAGATAATTTCTTAAAATGCCCTTTACTCCTCTTTCCATCTTTCCCTAAAACCCGCCTCCTTCTAGAAGCCCTTTCTAGCCGCTATTTTCTGTCTGTCTCCATTATTCTCTAACTTAGCAAGCAAGCCATTCCCTTAGTTTATTGAATTTATCAGCTGGGGTGAATGTGTTTGTTAGCTTACTTTTTAAACAAAATTTTTGTTTTGAATTGACACATAACAATTGTACATGTTTCTGGGGTTCACCGTGATGTTTCCATGCGTGCACACGTGGTATAATAATCAAATCAGGGTGGTTAGCATGTCAACCCCTCAGACCTTTATCATTTCTGTGTTGTGATAACATTGAGATCCTCTTTGCCAGCTCTCTTGAAATATATAATACATTCTTATTAACCCGCTGTGCCATAGCACACCAGGCCTGTTCTTCCTGTCTCACTGGAACTTTGCACCCATTGACCAAGCTCCTACCCCCGCCCATCCATCCTCTGGGAACCACTGTTCCACTCTCTATTTCTATGAGATCAACGTTTTTGGATTCCACATGCGGGTGAGATCATGCAGAATGTAACTGTCGGTGCCTGGCTTATTTCAGGTAACATGATGTCTTTGATCTGTCTCTTTCTCTCTCTCTACTCTAAGCTCCCTGGGAGCAGGGGCTGTCTTTCTCTTATCCATTCTCAAAGTCCCAGTCCTTAGCACAGGGTCCTGATGCACAGTAGGCGCTTATATCCACCAGTATTAGGTTCAGCAGCAAAGAACAGAGACCCCGAATTACCATTGACCCAACCACACAAGATTTTGTTCCCTCAAGCAGAAACTCCAAAGGTGGACAGTGCAGGTGGTGTGGGCAGCTCGGCTCCACACAGCCGACAGGGATCCAGGCCCCTTCCACTCTCTGCTCCACTGTCTCCCAGTGTTCTCGTAGTCTGAGATGGCTGCTTAGATCTAACCTATATATCCATATATCAGACAGCAGGAAGGAGGAGGGATGATTCGGGGCACAGCCACTTCCCTTTAGGGAAGCAGCACACAACACTTCCAGTTACATGCCATGAAGCGGATGTTAGTCATGTGGCCAACCATAGATACAGGAGAGTCTGGGAGGTATAGTTTTATTCCAGTCAGCCATGCACGGTGCTAGAAAGAGTTCCATTTCTAGGAAATAGGGGTGTGTCCAGCAGCCTCTGCAGTGGAGCTCAGTAATTATAACTTGAATAAATAGGTGACTCAGAGCTCAGCCCGAACTGGTAGAATCTTAGGTCACCTTTATTTGACAGGGAGGATGCCCTGCTATTTACGGGCATTGATCTTTCTGCCCATAAAAATGCTGCTGGCATTGCTTCAGTGACTCAGGGACATCAGACCAGCACCCAGGTGGATGGCAAATCCCTGGAGAACACAGACATCCTTCCCTTCCCTTCCATCATGTTCATTTGTCCCTCATTCCTCTTTCTGTCCCTGCAGCACCGGGCCCTCTGCCTTGCACACCGTGGGTTGAGCAAACGTTTGTTGCTGGTGATGATGGTGGAGGGAAGGATGGTGTTCTCCACAGGGTTTGTGAGGGGCACTCACCTGCCTTGAGTGTTTTCCAGATGGGCTTTCACAGTTCTCTAAAGTCCAGTATAAATACGGCGGGGAAATGGGGCAGGGCTGTTGCCATCTTCCAGTCGGGAAAGGACTGGCAATTGTCCTCATGGCAATGGTGCTCCGTTCATCACCAAATCAACGTGCAGAGCTCAGGGTGCAGACGGAATCATCGCCTTTCTTAATTATTTTTGGTTAATAAGGAAAACACGGGCTCCTGGGCCCTAGACAGACCCTCCTGAGTTGCAGAATGATCAATCTTTCATGGCTGTGCCTTCACCTTCATAGCAGTCACTTCTTCCTGCTTTGGATGAATCAAATCCTATTTTCAACCAGACTTATCAATGTGCCCTTAAGAGGATTTGAAACCCTGTCGCTACTGAAAAAAAAAAAATTAGCTGGGCATGGTGGTGAGCACCTGTAATCCCAGCTACTCAGGAGGCTGAGACAGGAAGAATTGCTTGAACCCGGGAGGTGGAGGTTGCAGTGAACCGAGATTGCACCATTGCACTCCAACCTGGGTGGCAGAGTGAGACAAAAAAAAAAAAAAAAGACAATTACTTATGTGCACCAAACACACACTCACTGTCTCTCTCAACCCATAACTCACTGCAGCCAGGTTCCTACTCACACCGCAGCCTCAGTTTCTCTTATGCTTCTGCCGTCCCCTGTGAAGACCACACCCAGCCACCCTGCAGCGTTTGTGCCCCTCCGCTGCTCCGAACGGCTGAGCCCCTCGGGATGCCTCCGAGTAGATGAAGCTTCCTCATGCCACTGCGTCCTTCCTCTCCATCCTCCTTCATCCGGAGGTCTCTGCTATGTCGTTTCTGGGTTTGCCATTTCATTAGAACTGTTTCTCCAGTGCTTTCCTAGATGAGGCACTTAGGTGATAAACTCACTGAGGTTTTATGTATCTTCAAATACCTTCTGCTCCTAACACTTCGACAATCTCTTTATTGAGAACAGGGGTTCCTGGGGTGCAGTCTTTTGCTCTTCCACTGCTTTTAGCTTGCAGTGTTGTAGATGAGAAGCCTGAGACCATTCTGATTGTTTTGCTTTTTTAGGTAACATATTCCTTTTGACTGAAAAATGGTTGACTTTTCTTTTTCCTCAATGCAGAAAGTACAGCACTTATAATTTTCCATTCCATTTTATTTAGTAAAATTTGTATACAATAAAATGGATCCATTTTAAAAAGTACATGTTTTGACATGTTTATACATCTATGTATTCATTAAAATTTCCATCACTATCCCAGTCAACTCGGTGGCCCCTGACAACGACTGGTCTGATTTCCATCACTATGGATGCAATTTGTTGTTTCTGGAGTGTCACACAAAGGGAAGAATACAGTGTGTATGCAGAGTTCGGAGGCTGTTACCATGACATAGCACAGAGGGCATCTTTTCTCATCAGCTGAACCTAGAACTCCGTGAGCCCTTCCATGCCTACTCTGCAGGCGTCCCCCAACTCAGGGGAGAGTTCCGATATGTAATGACTGCCCTTCCTCCATCTGTGATTTTCCGCGCTCCTGTAACTTGTTACTCTCAGATCAGATCTCCTGGGCCCGACCCCCAAGCCTCCTGCATTCCGTCGGCGTCGGCCTCTTTCCCGCTCTGCTGTGTCTGCCTAGCTGTTTCTCACCCTTTTCCTTCCTCGGGTCAGCGTCTGCATCAAGAGTGAGTCTTCAATCGTCTGCCGGATGTTTTCATGATGCGGGCCAATTTTGAAGCTCCTGGACTTCGTTCGCGCCCTGGAATTGGGATCTTCTCACGTGCCCTGTGGGTTTTGATCTCAGGTGTTCGTGGGCCTCCTCCCACGCTCCGTTTCGCTGGCCACGTGGGTGGACGGCTCCCTCTGACCTTCCTCACCTGACAATACCCAGGCGCTCCCTCCACCCCCTTCTATGCCCACCCGGCCAGATGGAACGTTCTTTTTTTCCCACCTTTGTCAGCAATTTGGGGCACAGGTCTATTGCTGCAATGTCCTTAATGCCCAACAGGTTAAAGACAACAATAACAACTAAGGGATCCGCCCCCACCCGCTTAAAGGTTCTCAGCCCCTCCGAGGCCCCTAAGGAACTCTCCTTGCCCTCCTCCCCTCAAGGACAGAGAAGACTCCACCCGCCCACTCGCCTCCCTCTGGGAGGTCACGTGGCCTTCACATCCCCTTCCTCAGACCAGCTTCCCGCTCACAGGGTCAGAGGCGGTGGCCCCTGAACCATCCAACCGCAGGGCCGGAGGCCTTGTGTCACTCAGCCAGTGGCCGCAGCAGTAACGTGGCTCTGCAGAGGAGCTGGAGAGGAGACGGGGACTCTCCAGGCCCAGGTGCGCCCTGGGCACCCTCCCAATCTTCCTCCTCACCACTGGGAGGATGTGGCACTCTCTTCTCTTACAATATACACATGGTTTCTATTTGCAGACTTTTCTAAGTGACCGGTGACTGACAGTCTATGCTATTTACAGATACCTTGTGGAAAAATAAACACAGTCTGCTCCTCAAGGTAAAGTTGGCATTTTAATAAAGAATGAGAAAATAGGGGGGATTTTTTTAAAGAAAATAATTCAGTGGAGATTGCACTTTAAAAACAGAGGCTTTAAAACATTTTCCACTGTTATATAATTTTGTGGCTTAAAACAATATTTGTCTTCTACAAAAATTCTTATATATGGACACTTTAAAAATTTAAGGACAGAATTTTTTTCAATCTGTTCGAAAATCTTCCAAATGAAGGATCCTAGTGAGTTTTAAATATGTTTGTTAAAAACTTTTAAATACAACTCCTCCCAATTAATTTGCAAGAGCAAATTATTAACATCAGGGAAGATGGGCACTGACTGGACAAAATTTGAACAAAATCTTTTGCATAATTGGTGGATGGAATTGAAAAGTTACAGCATATTTAATAAGTACAGCCTTCTTTTATTTGGATCTACATGACTTTGTAAGCAATTTCTTTCCAGCAGTGATTGTCATTAAAACCAAGTTACAAAATAAAATGAACTTAGACCTTTGGATTTTGGGGTTTTTATTTATTTATTTATTTTTTGAGACAGGATCTTGCTCTGTCGCCCAGGCTGTAGTGCAGTGGTGTGATCACAGCTCACTGCAGCCTCAACTTTCTGGGCTCAAGCAATCCTCCCACCTCAGCCTCCGAGTAGCTAGGACCACAGGTGTGTGCCACCGTGCCCAGCTAATTTTAAAATTTTTTGTAGAGATGGGGTTTCACCGTGTTGCCCAGGCTAGTCTCAAACTCCTGGGCTCAAGCGATCCTCCCACCTCTGCCTCCCAAAGTGCTGGGGTTGCAGGCATGAACCACCGTGCCCAGCCAGAAACAGACCTTTGAATCACTATGTCACAAACTATTAAAGCAGCCATAATAACACTGCTCACACTAATGGTAAATTTCTCTGGTTTGTGTTTTGTTTGTTTGATTTTCGGTGGTTTTTGTTGTTGTTGTTGTTTTTGTTTTGTTTTGTTTTTTGAGATGAAGTCTCTCACCCAGGCTGGAGTGCAGTAGCGTGGGCTCGGCTCACAGCAACCTCCTGTCTCCCAGGTTCAAGCAATTGTCCTGCCTCAGCCTCCCAAGTAGCTGGGACCACAGGTGCAAAAATTAGCCACCACACCTGGCTAATTTTTGTATTTTTAGTAGAGTTGGAGTTTCTCTATGTTGGCCAGGCTAGTCTTGAACTCCTGACCTCAAATGATCTGCCCACCTCTGCCTCCCAAACTGCTGGGACTACAGGTATGAGCCACGGCGCCCGGCCCTTTGGTCTGTGTTTTTCTAAAGTGCATTAGTACAGTAGTGCAGTAGTATACATATATCATAAACAAACACTGTGTGCTGGTATCAGTTTATTACCATTCAGCTCCAACTCTGCCCTCCTTGGACCTGCCCTGTGATGCGGGAGCTGGGCTGTGAATGTGGCTCCTTTGCAAGCTGGCAGCGCCAGGCTTCATCCATGGAGGGTACTGGGGGTGCTGTCAGGCATGGCAGAGGAAGGGGCCTATCTCCGGGTTCCACGTCCCTCCCAGCTTGTTCCTGCAGCACGGCAGCCGGCAAGGCATGGGACGCCCAGGACGTTCACCCCAGTGGGCATCAAGGGCACCACCATGTGGGTGGTTCCCCAGCAAGTTCCACTGGCCCCCACAGGACAGCTTCCCAGCGGGTTCCATTGGCATCCAGAGGGTGTCTTCCACAGGGATTTCAGCAGCTCCACTCCCGAGGTGGCCTCGCTGGGAGCTCTACAGTCACCCTGGTCCTGCTGCTGACCTGGCGAGCCGCTTCCCAGGGGAATTTCCAAGTACCCTAGAAGGCAGGCGCTCAGCTTCTGCCTGAGAGGTTGTAGCTGCTGCCCGTATCTCAGATTCCTGTACTCTCTAGGGTTCCTTAGGGCAAACTTTACCCTTTCAAATGACTCTGAGGCTCCTGTTGGAGCAGCTGCTTTGGAGGGACATGGATTTGTCTGGTTGCTTACTGGTGGGTTTCCTTAAGACGGGTTTCCTTTTTGTGCAATGTGTGATTTTTGTGTCAGAAAGTGGCTGGCCTCTTGCAGTGGTTTTGCCTTTAAATTGACATTCGTTATTATACCTTCAGCTCAGGAAAATGATCTTCAGTCATTTCTGATTGTTCATTGGGCCCAGCTGTTGCTCGCACTTCCCCACAGCGCCTCTTTCTGTGCAGCTTTAGCAGGAAGCGTGTGAGAGAGGGGCAGGCGCAGGTGCAGAGGATGGAGCCACGGACCGACTAGCCCATGGGCTCTTCCAGGGTCCACGTGAACTGATCTGGGCAGCAGGAGGGGAGTCGGGTTTAAGAGGAATGGATGGGGCTCAGGTAGCAAAGTCTCAGGGAAGACAGCGCTGCAGACCTGCCCCGGGGCAGCCAGAATCCAGGACCACCACCGGAGGCAGCTACTCACCAGCCTCCACCCAACAGCCATGGGCGCCAGGCCTCCCACACCCAAGCACAGCTTCCTCCAGGGCTTGAGAAGCAGCCAGAATGGAGGGGGCCACAGAGAAAGCTGCAACCCCCTCCAAAGACCATGCTAGGAACACCAGGAACCACTGTGGACCTGGTGCCCAGGCTGGTCCAGGGCCATCCTCCCTCCCAACTGTGGAGGAGAACAGGAAGACATAGACCAACCACTCCTGGCAAGGGTGAGTCGGATGCTGCTGGGTGCTGGTGGGTGCTGCTTGGTACTGCTGCATGCTGCTGGATACTGATGAGTGCTGCTGGGTACTATCATGTGCTGATGAATACTATTGGATACTGATGGGTGCTACTGGAGGCTGCTGGGTACTGCTGAGTGCTGATGGGTTCTGCTGGGTATATTGGGTACTTCTGGGTATGACTGGATACTATTGGGTACTGATGAGTACTGATGGGTGCTACTGGCTACTGATGGGTACTGCCAGGTGCTGCTGGGTACTGATGACTATTGCTGGGTACTGAGAGGTGCTGCTGGGTACTGATGGGTACTGTTGAGTACTGCTGGGTACTCCCAGGTGCTGCTGGTTACTGATGTGTACTGGTGAGTACTGCTAGGTACTCATGGGTATGGCTGGGTGCAGCCAAGTACTGCCAGTTGCCATTTTCTTTTGGTCCACGAGGTGATTTAAACAGTAACACACCTGCAGGGTATCAAGCTTGGCCCCAATAAAAGCAGTTCCGTTCCGTTGGCTGGGACCTGTCCTCTGCAGGCGTCCGGGTTGTCAGGCCCTGCATGCAGTGTCTTCTCAAGATGGCACATCTGAGCCATTAGCAAATGCACTGCAGACCATTATCTCCTAGGCCAGCACCCATGGCCTGGGAGGTGCTGGTGGATGTTCCCCCAAAATTGCGGAGGGTGGTAGGGGAGGCCAGAGACTTGGCCAAAAAAGTTTGGGAGATTCCTCAAGCTATGTCCCTGGGGGCTCACCCAGGCTCATCCCAGCACCCCAAATGTTCAGAGAAGCCTGCCTTGCTGCAGGGCCTGGGCTCGACTTCCGGGGCAATGCTCAGCCACGGTCAGGTCCAGGAATACAGAGTGATCCATCGAGGCCTCTCCCTGGGAGACAAGCTTGTGTCGGGGCACCCCTGTGCTAGCTGGAGGCCAGGACAGAAATTCTGTGTGCTATCCACCAGGCCACGCTGCCTGCCCTGGGGACGAGATGGCTCAGCTGCAGACACAGTTCTGAGACAGACCCTTTTATGCACCACCTCCTCCTAGGAGCACTTGTTCCAGCCAACACGCATCGTTAATCTCAAGTCATTGTAAGCAGCTCAGTGAAGGATTTCCACTTTTGGGATTCGGATGATTCATAAAAGTGACAGGACTCTCCCTTCCGAAGGAGAGTGACGCATTAAGAACTTGACTTATGGAAGCAAATCCAAACGTACATAATTTTTCTGCTAAAATTGGGATGGGGGAGGATTAGATATGACCTCAAAGTTGCTTCATTTTATTCCTCAAAAACAGACACTTATATGACTGATTTTAAAGCCCCTTTTTAAAAATAATGGGAAACTTATATGTATATAAAGTTCCAATGAAAAGCTTAAAAAAGGAAACTAAACAATTTGAATTTTCAGTGCTACAGGGATAGTAATACAAATTATGGGATCTCTGCAAAAAATGCTAGGCAGTCCTTAAAAATAATAAATATATTTACTAGACACAGGTAAAAAGCACTGTGAACGTGTTAAACACAAACATGAGATACACAGCACCAATGGCTCACATTTGCTGGGGAATCAGGAACTCCAGCCACGAAGGCAGGCGGCCCAGTGCGGACTCAGGCTCGGGCACCCTCCACCTTGCTATCTTGGGATGCTATTTAGACGGTGAGATTCCGAGTGAAACCTGCTTTAATTTCTTTTTATAATGGCTTAAATTCGATTTAATACCAAATGAGTGAATAAAGTAGGGTTTTTTTTTTTTAGAAATGGGAGTTGCTTCTGATTCTTCGGTAAAACAGGCTATTCTAAGTAGTTTTCCCCAAGGTCCACCCATGGACGAGCTCCTGGAGGGATCCAGGTGTGACCACTCCTCCCCAGGGAAGCCTGTGCTGGCTTTGTTAGGTCGCCCCCCAGCTCCCATACCAATGGGCACACCCTGCAGGGACCTGGGAGGGGTAGCAATGGGATTCACAGCCTTTTCCAGCCCAACCAAGGGAGCTGCCTACTTGTTCCACCCTCGCAGCCTGGGGGTTTCAGTCCATGTTCCATGGACCCTTACCCAGCCCATGCCTACCTCAGGGAGGACAATCCTAGTTGGGCAGGGGTGGGGCAAGGGCCCTTGGCTGCCAGCCCCCCATCCCCCTTAGCAGCCTGTGCACGTCATGCTTTTGTTCAGTCTCCTTTTTAAGGAATGGTTCCACCGCTGGGAGGAAATGATTTTTGAGATCTGTTGGTGTGGCTGGAAAAGCACTGAGCTTGGAGTCCAGGGACCCAGGTACAGCATGGCAGGGCCACCTGTGGCAGTGTGGCCAGGGCCTTGGCCCCTGCTGCCTGGAGACTGTGTTCTTCAGGAGGCAGGAGGAGGGGTTGCTGAGTGCTGTGAGCACAGACTCATGTGTGTGGGGGCGCTTGGCTAGAATCTACCTGAGGAACTCGGTGTGGGGGCAGCTTGGAGAAGTGGAGATGGGATGGGCATCTTTAAACACGAGTGGCAGACCCCTGGGAGGGAAAAGCTCTTGCTGTGTGGGGTGCCAAGGGGCAACACTGGTGGGCAGTACCAGAGAGGAGCCTTGTTTCCTATTAAACTGGGATCTCTGGCAACCGAGAGGTGCCTGGGGGTGCTGCAAGGCCCCCGTCAACAGGAGTCGGAAGCAGGGGTTCGCATTAGGAAGACAGAGGGACCCCTGCAGGACTTACCTCCTCCTGTGATGGGGGCGCACTCCAAAGCCCTGTCACTCTGCCTGTGTCACCGTGACAACCGTGGACCCACGGACCCATAGGGAGGAAAGATCCCCGAGGATTTGGGGCTGTGCCGGGCTCCTGCCACATATCGAGCAGACATCAAGGATGCTCTGCTGCTTCTTTAAAGGAAAATAGAGCTGGGAGCGTGGTGCCCCAGGGAGGGGTGCGGCTCACACGCACAAGAGGCCCTGGGTGGGGAGCACCATCCCCCTTTGCTCTCTGGCTCATGGCCCTGCAGGAGCTGGCTGGGAAGCCACGCCGGCCACCCTGCGTGGGGTGCACGGCCCCCTCCCTGGCAGGCAGCTGCAGCACACTCCCAGGTTGATGAGGATTTGTTAAAGTCGCACTATTTTTTTCCGCCTACTTTCTTCCCATGGACCTCCCTCTCCTCCTCGAAGTGAGAGTCCAGGGCCAGCGGGCTGAGCCCCTGCGGCCTTCTGCACAGCTGCCTCCAAGAGCCCCACATACACACCACATTCGTTCCGCCATATATGGCCTCCCGTGCCTTCCCTCGCCTCTCCCCCATCCTCTCTCTCTCCTAGGAGGAAATTTGGCCCTTGTCTTGACTGTCGCTTCTTCGCAAGGATGTCAGAAATCTGGCTGGAGATCCCGGCAGCCTCCCCCGTCCCCTGTCCCTGCCTACGCCGGCATTCCATCGCATCCCTGCGTCTGGCTTTATCTCCAGTGCTGAGCCCTGCGACCTCATGTTCTGGGCACCAGTGTCTGCTGGACTTAACAGCCTGCAAAGGAGGACCCTGGCCACGGATGTGTGGCTTGACCCAGAGCTTTGGCCACAGGAGGCATCCCTGCTCCCAGCACCCACCTCCTCCCATCTATCCATAGCCTTGCAAGATTCCTATCTAATCAGATACTGCCCTTTATCCCTCCAGAGCAATTGCATAGGACAGGACGCTGGAATCTGTTCATGTGTGATGTCATTGCTTGGTCAGCAGCCTCAGAGCCTGATAATTGCCAGTATTGATCCTGTAAACACTTCAGGACATCACAAAGGATCGAGGGAAGACCTTTTTAAATAGGTCAAGCAGTCCCTCTGCAGGAGGACCACCTCTGCAGGGCGGCTCCCGGAGGCCAGGGAACAGCAGTGAGGGCCCTGCCACAGGACCCAAAGGGGGCTGAGCCTGCTCGGGTGCCCGCCACCCTCCAGGCAGGCCCCCAAGCCTTTCAGAAGAGCCTTCAGATGGCTCCTACAAGCCCTGCAGGGCCCAAGTCCTGGCCTTCTGTGGCCCACGATGGGCTATCTGCCCCTGCTCCCACCAGTTTCACCTGCAGAACTTTTGCACAATCCAAAGGTCACCTTTAGTCACACTTCACTGCATTGTCTCTACCTGCCCAGTTGCCTCAGGATGTCCCCTCGGGGCAGGGCCTTTATTCAGCTCTTTGTTGTGCCCTCTAATACCCTGACACCAAGATCGGTTGCAGGAACCATGAAGGATTTGAGTGAATCCCATTGACCTTAAAGAACCAGAGATCCCACTGCTCCAGCATCACTTAGCCTGGCCGTTCCCTTGTATGATGTTCAGGCTAATTTTCTTGTACCACCGAGTGAGGAAGAGCTTGGCCCAGGATGGATCCATTTGCATTCAGGGAAGTAAGAGAAATGGATTGGACTTTCCAGGAAAGCAAACAGTACAGTTTGGAGGCATGGGGAAGGTTCTGAGGTACAGGGGACGTTCTGATTCTTGATCTGCAGGTATTCACTTGTAAGTTTATTGTTCTGATCACTTAAGATCCCAGCCCTTTAGAGCATCTTCGACTGAAATGCAAGGGATCCCTGTGCATATGCCTGTGTGTGCAAGCATGTGTGTGTGTGTGTGTATGAGCATGTGAGCACGCACATGTATTTGAGCAGGTGGGTTTGTGTGTGTGTATGAGCATGGGAGCACACACGTGTATTTGAGCGAGTGGTTTTGTGTATGTATGAGCATGTGAGCGTGCACGTGTATTTGTGTGAGCAGGTGGGTGCGTGTGTATGAGCATGTGAGCACACACATGTATTTGAGCAAGTGGGTTTGTGTGTGTATGAGCATGTGAGCACACACGTGTATTTGTGTGAGTAGGTGGGTTTGTGTGTATGAGCATGTGAGCACACGTGTATTTGAGCAGGTGGGTTTGTGTAAGTGTGTATGAGCATGTGAGTGTGCACATGTATTTGAGCAAGTGGGTGTGTGTATATGAGCATGTGAGCACACACGTGTATTTGAGCAGGTGGGTTTGTGTGTATGAGCATGTGAGCACACGTGTTTGAGTAGGTGGGTTTGTGTGTATGAGCATGTGAGCACACGTGTGTTAGTGTGAGCAGGTGGGTTTGTGTGTGTGTATGAGCATGTGAGCACACACGTGTATTTGAGCAGGTGGGTTTGTGTGTATGTGTGTATGAGCATGTGAGCACACGTGTATGAGCAGGTGGGTTTGTGTGTGTGTGTGAGCGAGCATGTGAGCATGCACGTGTATTTGAGTAGGTGGGTTTGTGTGTGTGTGTATGAGCATGTGAGCAAGCACATGTATTTGTGTGAGCAGGTGGGTTTGTGTGTGTGTATGAGCATGGGAGCACACACGTGTATTTGAGCGAGTGGGTTTGTGTATGTATGAGCATGTGAGCATGCACGTGTATTTGTGTGAGCAGGTGGGTGCGTGTGTATGAGCATGTGAGCACACACATGTATTTGAGCAAGTGGGTTTGTGTAAGTGTGAGCATGTGAGCACACACGTGTATTTGTGTGAGTAGGTGGGTTTGTGTGTATGAGCATGTGAGCACACGTGTATTTGAGCAGGTGGATTTGTGTGTGTGTGTGAGCATGTGAGCACACGTGTATTTGAGCAGGTGGATTTGTGTGTGTGTATGAGCATGTGAGCACGCACATGTATTTGAGCAGGTGGGTTTGTGTGTGTGAGAGAGAGCAGGTGGGCATATATGTGTATGTGTGTGTGTAAGCATGTGGGTGTGCGTGTATGACTGCCTTCTCTCCTCTACCACTGGGAGCAAATTCCTTTGGTCCCTGTCTAGGGCTCCCGGCTGCAGGTGTGAGGCCCCATGCAGTGCCCATCAAGGGTGACCCAGGCTGCTCTTGAGCACAGGTCTGCAGCACCCACACTCACAGCCTAGGGAAGCCGAGCTGCCTTTTGGGGATGTCCCCACTTTCCCAGCTGCAAGAGCCTTGAGGCAAACCTACCTCTCCTTCAGGCAAGTGAAAGAAGTCACAACTGCATGTACACATACAAGTGCACACCTGAACATATGCACACACACACGTGCACACACACGTATGCACATGTGCACATACGCACACATATGCACACGTGCACGCCCATATACTCACACACACACACTGTTCAGAATGCCGGCATTCCCAGACAGTAAAGCTTTTTAAGTCAAAGCCCCCACGCCCACTCTGCCCTCCCCACCTGCTGCCTCCTTCCCACGCTGATTTACCGCCCCCAAGACGTCCCGCAGAGAGTGAAGAATCCCAGACTCCCTGAATTTCTTCGCAGATTTTACTTCCTTGCCAGAAAAGTTCAAGGTTGGGTCAGATCTTCCCCTTTCCACCATGGGCTGTGCTTTCCCAGCCCCCTGTCAAGCCGCATCTGGGGGTTCCCTCTTGGGGAAGGAGGCCTCATGAGCAGAGGGTCCCAAGGAGCTGAGGGTGGCTCTGCACACACCTAGCAAGGGGGCTCCAGGGACCATGGGCACTGTGCCCTGCTACATTCCCCTGCACATACTCTCAATGAGCCCTGTCCCCTTCCTGTGCACACTGCACCTGGGCAGACACCCATGTGGGGGCAGGGAGGGGTGGGGGCCTGTTGGTAAGTGAGGTGGTAAACCCGGCCAGAGCACCTTCTGCTCAGCCTGGGTGCTCGGCCTGGAGACCAACGTGGCCCTGACCTTTCCAGGCAACTGGTCTCCACCTGGGAGTGCCCGTGGCCCCTGCCTGCCTGTCTCCTACAGGGTGGCCACCCTAAACTTTGCTCCAGGTTGGGCCCTCCTGTCTGTCCCTCACTGGACTGGAAGCATCCTGCAGGCAGGCACTGCCTCTGTGCCTTCACAGCAGTTGCTGAGCACCCAGCACTCGAAAGCACCATCACCTGGTGGGAAACTTTCTGGGAAAGTCCCTGAGGGTTCCCCGCAAAGCCACTTGGAGACACAGATGATCAGCCCCAGTCATGCGCTGCTGTGGATTTTGCACATGCAGTTGGTCTAGCCTCGGCCCCGCCATCACCTTGTCTTAACACCGGTTGTTATATTTAAATTCGTAACCTTTTTTCTTATTAAAAAACAATATGCATTTTTTGTTGAAAACTTAAGGAGCACAATTTTAAATAAGCAAAAAAAAATTTAAGTATAATTTTCATCTCACCACACAGAGCTAAGTGCTGGTAACATTTTGTTGATTAAGCTTTCAGACGTAGTCAATACACAAATCACTAACCTTTCAGTCCTGCCTAGTTGAGCCATTCTTACTGTATAAACTGACCTTTTTGGAGGGCATTTAACCTGCCTCCATTCTTTAACTATTAGAAACACAGAGTCCATCAATATCCTTGTGAAGCATGGTGCACCTCCTTAATGATCTCTAATACTTTTCTAAGTGTAGAAATTGCCATGCCCTCCATCTTCCTTCCTAAAATGTTCTAGGCTTGGACCAGACACTTTCTCTGGTCCTTCTGCCTCAAAAAAATCTCCCATTCGTGAGATAAGATTGGAACACCTTAATAGGGTGGGAAGTTTGGGTTTTTTTCTTGCTTGCTTAAAGAGTTAGGAGTCTTGTATTTTCACTGTACAGCCTCAGTGTGAAGGCCCTGCTGTGGGGGAAACTCAGGAAGAGAGCATCCTTTGAGCCCTCAAGGGCAAAAACAGGGACATCCCTTCAAAATGTTAGCCAAGTTTATGTCCTTCCTCCCTGAGCCCCAGTGAAATGACAGAAGAAGAAGAAGAAGAAACATAAGAACTAGTCCCTGACTGTGCTGGAAAAACAGATCAGGCTCTCCCCATCTCAAGGACAATGAGGAATTTCTAGAAACGAGAGTGGAAGTGATCAGCTTGGAAGCACCGCATCATGGTTGAACAGCTGTGGGTGCAAGGAGGGCAGTCTCCACGTGAGACAGAAGAGCCCTGGGAAACTCAGGCTCCGAGGCCACACTGAGAGTGGGAGGCGGCGGTCACTGGCCGGCAACCCCCACGGACTAGAACAAGGCTCTAAGGCAGGGCGCGTCGGGGAGGCCAGTTGGTGCCCGAGGAAGGGACTGAAGCTGGAGGTGAAGGGGAGCGGAGCCCCAGGGACCTGATGGCCACCAAACAAAAGGAAAATCCGGGCCCCCAGAGCAGCCTCCTGGAGACCGTCCCCCTCCTGCCTCCCTCTGGGGCAGGCTGTTCCCGACCTCAGAAAGCTGCACCAGTCAGAGGTGCATTTCCTATCCAGTCCACAGAGCTGCTTGTGAAGACAGAGGTGCAGAAAACCACTGGGCAGTGACAGTGACCAGCGGGTGTTGGGAGCCTGCTCGGCCACTCACCAACCAAGCAACTCACCCATGACGGCTCTGACCCCCCATATGCCAGGCCTCCGCATCACAGAAGTGACAGCTCCTGCTTGTGGTGGGCCTCTGGGATTGTCTAGGAGGGATGATGCTCCCAAGGCAGAACCCACAGCACCCAGGTTTTTCCCTCTGTGAAGGCTTCTAGGGAAGTGGGGCAAAAATATCTGTTGTTATCTTAAGGTCAGGCTGGTTTCTGCTTTGCTATGACTGCTAGGAAGCTCAGAGCCTAATTTGCAACTCACCCCTAGCAGCTATACAGGATCACTTGGTGTGCATTTGTGGTTCTCTTTTGATTCTTGGCTTCATCTTGATTTCTTTTCCTCTTATTTTTTTTTCCACCTCAATTTCACTCATAGTGTCTATCTTGTTAGCCAGTAGTGCCATAAAGTCTGGGGCTGGGGGTCGGGGGATTGCTCAGGACCCAGGGGCTGTCTTGGCTTCCATCTCCCACCGCAAGCCTCTCTGGTGCCGAGTTCAATTCAAGGACTGGGGATGCTCAGTGTTTGTAAACATCCCCTCAGACGGAAACCCAAATGGTGAAACTGGCTGCTTGCAGAGGTCTTTCCTCAGGGACACGCCCAGAGTCCTGGAGGGCGTTCCTGCTGTCCCTTTGTTCTCTCTCTCTCTAATGTTTCTACCTTTGTGTGTGTGCATCACAAAGGTGAGAAGCAGTCAAACTTGGGAAGAAGAAATGGCTGAAATGCTACCATTTACAGCTCAAGCCATGCTTCCTCGCTGACGTTGGCCGATGCGTGGTCAGAGTTGGTGCCACCTGCTCGATTTCACATGTTGTGGCCAATGACATCACCACAAAATGACCCAAGTGTCGGGAAGCTTAAGGGTGTCCAGGCATCCACCAGCGGGAAGGGTCGGTGAAGACTGGACAGCCACATCCACTTCTGAGCAGTGACCCTGTGGCCTTCAGCGGCTGGGCGGGGAGTAGGGAGGATGGTCCGCCAGCCACGAGCCCCACTGCAGCTTATCCGGGTCAAGAACACACCACACAAGCACTGCAGGGCCATGGCTGTTGGAACTACCCCTTGAGTCTGGGCAGAAACTGAGAGCAAGCATGTAGATACTTTGCTGTCCCTTGATGCGGCCAGGGCATTTTTGCCTGTATTTTATGAAAATATCAGTCCACAGTGGATTGGACATTTTAAAAAGCTGGTTCTTCATCACAGAAAGTTTGAGAAGCACATGTCTGAAAATATTGTAAGAAACACCAATATCAAATCCAGTAATAATCATATTCGCTGCCCTCGCTCTGCTTGTCCTCCCACAGGACAGCTCTCTTGGATGAGCGTCACAGCAAAAGGCTTGTCCAGATCATCTCTCACTGATCCGGCCTCTAGGAGACTTAGCCCTGTAGGCACTGATTCAAATTACACAATGCCTTTCTCTTAGTTTTTGCCATCATTATTTATAAAGACACACTGGAAACTTGGATTACAAAAATGTTACTATTTCAGGGACTCAGAAGACGACAAGTCAATGGCTATTGTACCCCGCAGTGCACCAGGCTGTGCTGTGCTTCCTGGAGGTGTGAGCCCAGGATCGTCCCTTCCAGGAGGTAGATCCTCACAGCTCTCACCGCTTCCCCAAACTTTATGGCAAAACAGCTGTGACAAGCCGTCAGCGGGGCCTACCATATCTGACAGTTTGGAGTAACTTGGCCATTGGCTTGAATCAATCGTCAAATTGGCTGTTGGCAAATGGATGAAACAACCCAGAGCTTGTGCGTGGCACTGACTGTCCAGAGCCAGGAACCCGCCTGAGGCAGACTCTGTCCCGGCAACATCAGGTCTGAGTGGAGGGGGATAAACAGAACAAGCAAACAGCCAGAAAAATACATGGGGGGAGCTTGGGGAAGGGGGATTTGAGCTGAGGCCAGGGTGGAAAAAAGGCCAGAGCCACTCACTGTTTGTGGGTAGTGAGGTCTCCATTTGGGGATGTAACTCCTGGGGCTGGAGGAGGGTCTGACGGCAGCAGACGTGGGGCCGGTGGGGAGTCCGTACAGACACACACACAGCTGATGGGTGATGCTGGCCCTGATGAGGTGTGATGGAGGAGATGTAGAGGAGAGATTTACTTCCAGAAATACCATGAATCACTCCCTGTTTTTGCAACACAGCGCCGTGACTCTGTGAGGTACAAAATAATTATAAAATGCTGTCCTTTCCCAGTCTGTTAGCTTGTTTTAAAGTTAAGTAATTTCTCCCCTCCCTGTCCTTTATTTTAAACCCAAGACCTTAAAACAATGAGCTAAAACCCCAAGACTTCCACAGGTTGTTTTGGAGGCTTCTAGGGAACTGGGGCAAAAATATTTGTTGTTATGTTAAGGTCGGGCTGGTTCCCCCTTTGCTGTGACTGCTGGGAAACTCAGAGCCTCATTTGCAACCCACCCCTAGCAACTGTACAGAATCACTTGGTGTGCATCTGGGGTTCTCTTTTGATTCTTGGCTTCATCTTGATTTCTTTTCCTCTTACTTTTTTTCTTCACCCCAATTTCACTCATAGTGTCTATCTCATTGATGGGTAGTGCCATAAAATCTGGGGCTGGGGGTTGGGGGATTGCTCAGGGCCCAGGGGCTGCCTTGGCTTCCCTCCCCCACTGCACGAGGATGGGGCCTCTCTGGCGCCGAGTTCAATTCAAGGACGGAGGATGCTCAGTGTTTGTAAACTTCGCCACAGACAGAAACCCAAAGGGTGATGCTGGCTGCATGCAGAGGGCAGTGGCGAGGTAGGAACTCCACCCTTTCCTCCACTCCAACAGCTGCTGCCACAGCAGCCGTGGGCCCTATGGGCAGCCCAGGTCCTGCATGTGCTCCTGTCTGGGCTGTGCTCCCTGTCCTCCTTAGAAGAATCGAGACTTTAGAACAGCAGCCAGGCCATGCCCTCTTCCCCCAAGCCCCACGCCCTGCAGGGGGGCTGTGGGAAGTCTGGAAGCCGCCTCCGCTGTTCTGTGGATGGTGACCCTTAGCTCTTGTCTCTCAGTTGGCTTGGAGCAGGGTCCCCAGGTAAGCCCCTACATTAGTTCATTCTCACGCTGCTATAAAGCACTACCTGAGACCAGGTAATTTATAAAGGAAAGAGGTTTAATTGACTCACAGTTCCACAGGGCTAGGGAAGCCTCAGGGAACTTACAGTCGTGGCCAAAGGGGAGGCAGACGCATCCTGCTTCATGTGGTGGCAGGAAGGAGAATGAGTGCCCAGTGAAGGGGGAAGCCCCTTATAAAACCATCAGCTCTCCGAGAACTCATTCCCTTTCATGAGAACAGGATGGGGGAAACCGCCCCTGTGATTCAATTACCTCCACCTGGTCCCTCCCCGTGACACGTTGGGGGTTATGGGAACTACGGGAGGAGATTTGGGTGGGGACACAGCCAACCCATATCAGCCCCACATTCCAGGTGGGGCAGCCTCCCTTGCTAATGCAGTTCACGACTCCGCCATTCCTGGAATGTTGACCGGGCCACACTGAAGGGCACTGAGGCCACAGGAGGGTGTGCAGACACTCACTGCCCTTGGTGGCCATGATTAGGGTGTCAGCTGCCCTCCTGGTTCTGGCCCCCTCTTGTTCTTCATGTTTCCATCTGTTTTCTGGTGGCTGTGGGGAGCTCAGGATGCCCAGGGTTTCCATAAAGTTGTCCTGCAGAGTGAGAACTCCAGGCTTCCCACATCCCTGTGAACAAACAGGCCTGTCCCTGGCCCAGAGTAGCCAGGGCCTTCCCACTGCTTGGCCCCACTTGTGCTGGCCACAGAGCACGGTGGCAGCCTCAGCTACTTGGGGCCACTATTGTTTGTCATGAGATCTGAGCTAAGAATATGCTGTGTGCCATGGTGAGGTGTATTTGCAGAGTAAAGCCTCAGAATATTTGCTTTGCATGTGTTGTTTGGAAACCAAAGCCTTTGAATTGTCCGTGAATTTCTTGGGCTCCTCCCGCAGTGTGGGGTCTGCAGGCCCAGGGGTCTTCTCTCCCTTGCTGCAGAAACACACCTTGCAGCCATAGTCTTCAAGCCCACAGGGTACACTGTCAAAGAAGAAATGTGTCCTTAACTTGGGTACAAATCTGTAATCCATAGAGTAGAAGGAAACCCACATCTCTGATCATCCCTGATCATAAAATCTCATCCTAACCCTCTCTGGACCTGAGAATCGTGTTCGTGACCCACACTCAGGGTCTCCCCAGGTTCACTGTGAATAAGCGGGATGTTTTCACTGAGAAACTTTGTGATTGTTCCCTCCATGTTAGACAGTGAGTCATGTGGCAAAAACCGAGTCAGGAGGAATTCTGCTGAATCAAGACTTTACTCTGATAGCATTAATCATGAGACAGACCTGCTAACACTTTTGGGCGTTCCCAAGACAGAAACTTACAGGCAAGTGGGAAAGGCAGCCAGGAAACTCAGCCTCCTGCATCCAGACTCCTCCACGGTCGCATTCTGCAGGGTTTGCTGGTCCCCTCTGCCAACCTTGTGGCTCAGCCACCCCCAGCAGCAGAGCCGAGGGTGTGTCTGCTCCAGGAGACGCTGGCCTGGAGGTGCTGTCTAGGGCAGGAGACACTGGCCTGGGTACTGTCTCCCAGGGAGGCTCAGCTCTGCCCGCCTGGCTTCCTCTGTGTCTGGTCCTGCGCAAGACATGGTCCCTGCCACACCCATGGTCCTGGTGTGGCAGGGATCCGGGGGGTGGGGACTGCATCCACGCTTCTGCTGTTCCGCTGGGACCAGGGCCCCTCGCGTTGTGCCCTCTGACGTGGCTTCACCTTCACTATGGCGGGGTTGGGGAGACGGAGGGTCCGCAGCAGCCCCATGCAGGCCACCTGCTGCTCCCACCTCAACCCCCTACCCCGCCCCCCGCCCCCCCCAGGCCAGGTCGTCCCGGGGGCTCTGCACCAAGTGGGTTCTGGAAGTTTCTAATTGCATCTGGGTGGGAGAGGGAGCTGCTTGGCAGCTCTATGCTGCTTCCTGCACTTTTCAGAAGAAAAAAATCATCTCCATCCCCATCTGTTTTCTTTTTGAGATAAAATCTATTTTAGGACAGAAGTATGTGCCCTGCTTTGCCCATGCTCACCTCCCCCACAGCTGGGACGTGGCTGCCTCTGTGGGTGGCTGCAGCTGTGCCCCGGCCGTCCCTCCAGCGCAGAGCCGGGCAGGGGGTCAGACCCTAGGAGCGCCTCTCACTTTGGCAGCCCCAGGAAAACTCATAAATAACAGTGTGCCCGCCCCCACCGTTGGCCCACCCTGTCCAGGGCCCTGTCTCCCTCAGGCTCCAGCCTCCAGGCTGCCAGGGAGGCCCTGGCCTGAGGAGTGGCCTTGCAGAGACCTCCCAAGGCAGCATGTGGACCCCCGAGACGCAGAGTGTGCGCTCAGAGATCCTCCCACCACTCAGAGTGCACACTCGGAGATCCTGCCACCACTCAGAGTGCACACTCGGAGATCCTCCCACCACTCAGAGTGTGCACTCAGAGATCCTCCCACCTGCACACGTGTTTTTCTCTCTTAACTCCATTGCAGAGAGGGGGCCGGGTCCCAGCGACACAGAGAGGGGGCCGGGTCCCAGCGACACAGAGGGGTCGGGTCCCAGCGACACAGAGAGGGGCCCAGGGTCTCAGCGACACAGAGGGGTCGGGTCACAGAGACACAGAGAGGGGCCCAGGGTCCCAGCGACACAGAAGCTGTTTTAGCTGAAATCACTTTGCCTTAAAGGCTTCCTGGGTACATGACGGATGTCCTCGTAGTTCCAAGCATGAGTTATTCTGGTCCCTTCTGGAACACGTTTCTAGAAGGAGGCCAGGTGAGAGGTGAGGCAGCACCGGGGCTGTGTCTGCCTACAGCAGAGACACCAGCACATCCTGGGGGCAGAGAGGGACGAGATCTGTGTCTGCCCAACCAGGCTGTCAGCTCCATCCATCCACACGGGGCTCTCTTCCCCGCCAGGGCGTCTTCCCCGCCACAGTCCCGGAGCACCTGCAGCACAGCCAGCTGCAGTCATGCTAGCGCCACCCGAGCCAGCACAGGCCTGTAGGTCGCGTGGCCTAATCCTCAGCCTCCCTGAGTGGAACGGTCCAGAGCGAACATTACTAGACGTGCGTTACAAGAAGAGTGAGTGGATAGCTCAATAGATGATGAGAAAAGATCCCTCGCAGCCCACACTTAGCATGCTCCCCCTGTCAGCACACTCAGTGCATTCCTGGGGGCCGTTCCTGGAAGTTGTCAGCAACAGGAACGTGGCGCTGGAAGCAGGAAGGGCCCAGATCCCAGAGAACCAAGGCAGGAGAATGTCATGCGTGGAGAGCCTCAGATGCAGCCCACCCTGGGCCGGCACTCCCAGCCGGTTTTATTGTCCCCAGGTCACAGAGCTGAGTTTGACAGGAGCTGCGGGGCGAGTTTGAATCTGATTCAAGGTGATGTTTTCTAAAATATTGGCAGGGTTTTTAGGACACTGAGAAAAGTAGGAAAAAATAAAAATAACAGAGGGTTTTAGACAACAAATAATAGAAAAATAAAGAACTGGTCTGAGCCACCCAGGATCGCTGTCCCTCCCTGGTGACCTTGGCAGTGCTGCATGAGGACCAGGCGTCACAGCCCTCAGAGCCCGTGACGATGCTGGCCTCGTCTGCCTGAGGACCCAGGGCGAGCATGGCGCCGGGGAACGTCTGGGGTGATAAGAGGATGTTCTCCCCACCGCTAATGAAACTGAAGGAGTTATGGACCCACTTCCAGGCCTGCGTGTCTATGCCACGTGTCAGCCCTGCCATCCCTCATGTCAGCACCATTTCAGCTCCAGGCCTCGGGTGTGAATCTGGCATTTCTCAGTTTCTCAGCAAATCTCCCACAGGGCCCCCAGCAGTGGCCACTGCACTCCAGGAGGTCCTGCCAAGCAAGTGGCCAGGACGGCGGGTCCCTACCGGTGGCCTTCAGCAGCTCCCGAGGACCGGCACGCCTATGGAGGGGACGCCATAACTCCAGGCCACCAAGCCCTTCCCCTCACTGCCCCAGAAGAGTTTTAATCTTTAGGACAACGCAATCAGAACCAGATGTTCCCCCAAACAGGGGCCGGGCCAAGGCGCGCCCTACACACAGCGCCGCTGAGCCAACAGAGTTGCGTCTTTTGTCTGGCGTGGTGGCCCACGCTGCGCGCACAGCCAGGGACCCAGCTGCCGACACCTTGTTTCCCCCCAGGCATGTTGACCACAAGGCACAGAGCCACGCTCGGGTGGGCCCAGGCGCAGCATGGGGCTCGAACCCTGCTGGGCAGCCCAGGGGACCAGCGGCTCCATCCTCGGGATTCTTCTCCTGGCTTCTGGGTTCTGTCCCTCCTCTCGCCCTGCCCTGTGGCCACGGGAGCCTCCCAACCCCAAACTAGCCTCATGATTTTCAGCTCAGCTTTCCCAGGGACTGACTCAGCCCTTGGTCTCCCACTGCCAAATTCCCAACCCAGGTTGTCGCTGGGAGCCAGGTCCTGGGGGTCAGAGGGTCAGGGTTGCTGGGCAGCTCATCAGAAGGCTGTCCTTGGGGCATGGGCCCACCTGGGACACAGGTGCCACAGAAGGGACAGTCCATGGCAAAAAATCCACAGCAGAGATTCCCTGGAGTGGCAGCAGGCTGTGCTGACAGAGCGAGTGTGTCCTGCCCGTCCCAGCTGCACCCCTTTGCTCATCAAATCCCAACTTCATCCTTCTCTCCAGCTCCAGTTGCTGCCTGCTACCACAGAGCCCTCTCACCCACGTCACCGGCTGTTTTTGTTTGTTTGTTTGTTTTTTGAGATGGAGTTTCACTCTTGTTGCCCAGGCTGGAGTGCAGTGGTGTGGTCTCGGCTCACTGCAACCTCCACCTCCCGGGTTCAAGCGATCCTCCTGCCTGAGCCTCCTGAGGAGCTGGGATTACAGGCACCCACCATCACGCCCAGTGAATTTTTGTATTTTTAGTACAGAAAGCGTTTCACCATGTTGGCCAGGCTGGTCTCAAACTCCTGACCTCAGGCAATCCACTTGCCTCGGCCTCCCAAAGTGATTACAGGCGTGAGCTACTGCACCCGGCCTGACGTCGGCAACTTTCAAGGCCCTGCCCTCCTCCGTGCGAGGGCCCTCGAGTCATCCCCTCCTTTGGGAGTCGGTGACAAATACCTGCTCCAAACCCACTAAGGTAAGACACACTCACCTCAGAAGTCACTTCTCAAAGGGAAATGGACAAAGAACTGCAGAGGACTCACAGTTGCTGCTGTGAGCCCGTGTGCAAGGTGCCAGGCGTCTTCTGCGGTGGTGGATGTGTCCTGTCTCTGAGCTGTGTGCTCCGGCAGCCACAAGCCACATTGGCTATAAAACCCTCAAGATGTGATTGAGGGGCTGAGGAACAGGACTTCTCATTGAATTTCACTTTAATGAATTTGGGTCTCATCTGAATAGTCACCTGCAGCCAGCGGGACCGTGTGGGACAAAGCCAGCCCTGGAGGACCCAGGGGAGCCTCATACTTGGGGTGCCAGAAACAGCACGAGAAGGTCAGAGCCAAGACGTCTTTGAATATGGGGCTAAAAAATGTGAACACCTGGTAAAGCTCTGAAAATGAAGTCGATATATGACTGGAGAATGTCAGTAGCGCCAGTGCCCTGTCCATACGGTACAACAGCATCAATAACCGGCCAGGAGTAGCCCCGTGCCGGGAAAACAGGCCCTGAGAGGCGAGTGATACATGCAAGTGAACATTTGACCCAAACAGACAATGTTCCAGTTGGCCAGTACTTAAAACCTTGAGCACAGGACAGTGCTAGGGAAGCACTGACTGGACGTACCTTCTCAAAGTCCACATTTGAAAACCTGAACGCAGACCTGAAGCCACAGCATTACGAGGGGCGTGCAGGGAGGCCCTCTTCACGGACGTCACAGAGAACAGACTGAGTGAATGCTGTTCACACCTTCCCTGGCCGCTCCATTCTAGAAGGTGCCAAAGGGATTTGGGGGTGCAGGGTGGTGGTGCATACAGACCATTTCTTTCCACAGAAAAGCATTTATTTAATGAGTAAATGAACACTCTATTGATGTTTCCAGGAATTAATTTTTCCCAAATAAAATGACTTTATCCATAAACTCTCATCACCATTCCCCGATGCCGGAGTGAGGTCCCACAGCACAGAGGTTAAGAGCGACGCTGCGGCAGCCACCCTGGGCTCAGGAGGGGCCACCAGGTACCAGCGTCGCTCCAGGGCTGTCTCTGAGATAAGCGTGAGGTCCAGCTGGGCACCTGTGACTTCAGCCCTTTCACAATGATAAGCATCTCATTCCATGCACTGACATTCTTCCTTAAAATAACTTGAGTGATTTTGGTTTCCTGCCTTCAACTATGACAGACTTGGTAAAGTGGAATCCCACGGAGCCATGAATAATAAAATCAGATCTGCTGATGAACCCATTTGAGTTTTCACTCAGACTATGACAGAGCCTAGAAAAGCTAAGGCAGTGATTTTTGTTTGAATGCTGATCTTATAGAGAAGATTTATTTCTAACATAATTTATTCTTATTGAGGTTCATTTAGGTACCGTGCAATCCACCTGTTGTGACAATTCAATGATTTTTTAGTCAATTTCTAGCGTTGTGCAACTGTCACCACAGTTTTATTTTCATGTTTCAAGCATTTCTATCACCCCAAACCAAAAAGTTCCCTTGTGCCCATTTGCAGTGAATCCCTGCTCCCATACCAGCCCTACCAGGCACCTGCAGAAATGCCTTCTGTCTCCATAGATTTGCCTTTCCTGAGCACTTCAAATCAGTGGAATCTCATAATGTGAAGTCTTTTGCATCTGATTCTTTCATTAAGCATGATGTTCTTCACACACATCCGTGTTGTAGCATGTGTCTGTACTTTGTTCGTTTTGAGTTGATGAGTAATGTTCTACTGCATAGACAGACCACCGTTTGCTTATCCACTCACCAGCCAGTGGGCATTTGAGTCTGCTGTCTGTTGTGAATCATGCCGTTGTGAGCATTCTCGTACAAGTCCTTGGGTGGGTATGTTTCATTTCTCTTGGGTATGTACCCAGGCATGGGGTGCTGGCTAATAAGGTAACTATGTTTAGCATTTTGAAGAAAAACGGCCAAACTATTTTCCAAAGTGGCCGCACCATTTCAAATTTCCACCAGCAGTGAACGAGGGTTCTGATTGCTTCATGTCCTCACCAATACTTGTGATTGTCTCTTTAACGACAGCCATTTCAGTGGGGGTGAGGTGGTGTCTCTGATTTGCATTAACCCTAAGACTAATGATATTGGGCATCTTTTTGGCTTATTAGCCATTTGTACAGCTTTGGTGAAATAGCTGTTTATATCTTTTATCCATTTTTAATTAGGCTGTTGATCTTGTTATTGAATGATGAAAGTTCTTTATATGTCCTGGATTCAAATATTTCACCAGATATATAATTTGTAAAACATTTTCTCCTGTCTGAAGCTTGTCTTTCATTATCTTAATCATGTCTTATGATGTATATATAAAAGCTTTCAATCTCGATGAAGTCCAATTTATCATTTTTATGGATTATGTTTTTAGTATCAAATCTAAGAACTTGTTTCCTAACCCAAGGTCCCAAAGATTGTCCCCTATGTTTTTTTTTCTCAGAGTTTTATAGTTTTAAGTTAGGTCTATGAGTCACTTTGAGTGAATTTTTGTGTATTACATGCAGTAAAGGTCTAATTCGTCTTTTTGCCTGGGTATCTAACTGCTCCAGCACCATTTGTTGAAAGGACCATCTTTTCTTTATTGACCGTCTTGGCAGCTTTGTTGAAAATCAGGTGACCATAGACGTGCTTATTTCTGAACTCTCGATCGTCTCCCATTGATCTGTGTGCGATGATTACCATAGCTTTACAGAAAGTTTTAAAATCTGGTGGTGGAAGTGCTCTCATTTTGTTCTTTTTCAAAATTGTTTTGGCTATTCGGATTTCTTTGCATTTCTAAGCAAATTTTATGGTCAGTTTGCCTACTTCTACCACAAAAATCCTGCTGGGTTTTAGCAAGATTTCATTGACTCTATACATCAATTTTGGAAGAATTACAATCTTGACAACATTGAGTCTTTCAATCCATAAACACAGAATGTCCCCGCCAGGTTATCTAGATCTTTAATTTCTCTCAGCAAAGTTTTCTAGCTTTTAATTTAAAAGTCTTGCACTTCCTTTGTTGGTTTCATTCCTAAGTAGTTTTATTCTTTATTAATACTATTGCAAATGGAAGTGTTTCTTAGTTCCATTTTTTGATCATTCACTGCTAGTATATAGAAATACACTTGATTTTTATATGTTGATTTTGATCTTGTATCTAGTAATCTTGCTAAACTCATTTACTAAATTTATTAGTTTTGTGGGTTCTTCAGGGTTTTCTATTATATGTCAATAAAGAGAGTTTTACTTCTTTTTCAGTCTAGATGCCTTAGTTTTTCCTTGCCTTATTTCATTAGCTAGCACCTCTAGTAAATGTTAAATGAATGTGAAGAGAGTGGACCTCCTTACCTTTTTCCCAATCCTAAGTGGGAGGCATTCAGTCTCTTACCATTAGGTATAATGTTAGCTGCAGGATTTTTATAGATGTCTTTAATAGAAATGAAGATGTTCCAGTTCATTTCTAGTTTGGTGAAAATTCTTTTCATGAATGGGTGTTGGATTTTTTGTGTGTGTGTGGGGAGATTTTGTTAAGTGTTTTTTTCTGTGTTTATCAAGATGACCATGTGGTTTTTTACCTCTATTCTATCAACATGATGTATTAAATTAATTGATATTGAAATGTTAAACTGACCTTGCATTCCTGGGATAAACCCCACTTGGTTGTGGTGTATCATTCTCCTTATATGTTGCTGGATTCAGTGTGCTAATGTTTGATAAGGGTCTTGGGGTCTAAATTCATGCCTGATATTGGTCTGTAGTTTTCTTGTCATAACTTTAGTTATTTTTTGTATTAGAGTATACTGGCCTCAGAGAATAAATGTTGCCTCTTTGTTTATTTCCTATGTTTGTGAAGAATTGGTACTATTTTGTTAAATATTTGATAGAATTCACCAGTGAATATTCTGAGCCTGGGCTTTTTTGTGGCAAGATCTTCAATTACTAATTCACTTTTTGCACTTGTTATTGGTCTATTTTGATAATGAGTCAATTTTAACTTTTTTGGTGATTTTCTTTAATGTTATAATATTGGTGGTATAAAGTAGGTTTTTAAAATAAATTCTAAGTCTATAGTAAGTAAATAAATATAAAAAAACACTCTTTCTCACCACTAAGAATATTCAACTGTTAACATTTATTCACTTTTTTTGCCAATATTTTCTCAAAATACTTTATTGTATTTACAAAAATAATAACCAGGGCCGGGCATGGTGGCTCATGCCTGTAATCCCAGCACTTTGGGAGGCTGAGGCTGGTGGATCACCTGAGGTCAGGAGTTCAAGACCAGCCCTGCCAACATAATGAAACCCTGTCTCTACTAAAAATACAAAAAGTAGCTGGGCATGGTGGCACACGCCTGTGGTCCCAGCTACTCAGGAGGCTGAGGTAGGAGAATTGCTTGAACCTGGGAGGTGGAGGTTGCAGTAAGCCAAGTTCACACCACTGCACTCCAGCCTGGGTGACAGAGTGAGACTCCCTCTAAAAGAAAAAAAAATCTTGAGCTTAACATCTACAGAGACACATTCACAAGTTCCAGAGACTATAGAACATGGACCTATCTTTTTGGGGGGCACCCCTCAACTCACTACAGGGAGTTTAGACAATAGAACCTGCGGTTGCAGAAGAACACGTGGACACGCCCAGAACAGTAAATACCTGTTGGTTATGTTCCTGCCCCAGGCTCTTCAACACCACACAGATTGGCTGAGCATCCCTATTTGGGAGGCACCAGTGACCTAAAGTTCTGTAATTCCATTTGAAGTACTTATTAATTGAAAATGTCCTGAGCATTTTTCAGGTCTTCTAGCTCAAAAGAAGTTGCTAATGAGGTGCAAATATGCAAATGGAAATATGGCTGGGGCTGGAGGCCACCTGGCGGGTACCTACCTGGGGCTTTGGAATCAGGAGGCAGCCCTGGCACCAATGGTGGCGCTCCTACTGAAAACCAGTTGCTGAAACTTGGTCAAGTTTCTGGACCTCTAGGAGCCTCAGTTTATTCTTCCATAAAGAGTAACACCTACTTCTCCAGGCAGGCTGCTGTCAGTTTGGATGGAGTCAATATGTAAATATGTGGCATAGTTCCAGGAAATCGTAAAGCCCCAGTAAACAGCAGGTCTTACGACAATCATGAGGGTGAAACAGACGCGAAGTCCTGACCAGTGAGGCCTGCCCATCGCTCTGGGGGAACCACATCCTGATGGTTGGATCTGGTTCCCAGTGCTGTGCTTACGGTGGAACACCAGGTTGGCGGGTGCCCAGGTGTGCCAGGAGGGTGTGTGTGCAGCACGGAGGAGCTGGGGTGTTGGGGGCTGTGTGCTCATGGTGCTCAATCTCCCGGCTGTTCCTCGGTCCATGGATGGCACCTTCCCCTCTGCTGACCCCTTGATCGCTGGAGCCCCCCACTCTGGGTTTCCCCAGCCCCACACACTGCTCACCCTGCCTGGCCTCCTCTGCCGGTTCCTCTTCTCTCCAGCCTCTTTTTCTGGGGCTCGGTGTTTCTTCTCTTCTTTGTTATTTCGCTCCCTCGTTATTTTGCTCCATGTTGTGGCCATAAATGCCACCTAACTGCTGACAGGCTCAGGATTCTATTTCCAGCCAGGCTTCTATTTCTCAAGCTCTAGGCTCAACTATCCAAGGTTCTAAATAAACTAACAGAGAACTCGGCTCATCCTGTCCAAAGCCAAGGCCCTCCTGCCCTGCTCCCCACCCCCCAGCCTCCTGCCTCCTCTGCACCATCTGGCATGTCCCCAGCAACCCTTCCCTGCTCTCCCTGGCCCACCTACCTGTCACCCCCTGCCCTGCCCCTCCGTCACCCCCAACCTCCCTGCCCTACCTTCCTAGTTGGCGCATCTCCCAGCATCCTGACATACGCCATTGTATGTCTGTTCTCTGTCCCCACCATGAAAGCCCCTGGAGAGGCTGGCAGTGCCTGGCAGCCCATGTAGACAGTGAGGAGTGAAGCAGGTGTTTAGGGCCACGTGGGAGCTGCGGGTGCAGAGCAGCCATCCCGGCCCAGCACGAGGCAGGACGTCCCGGGTCCTCACCGCCCAGAAAGCAACGGGCTGCTCCATGGGGCAGTGGTGGACTGTGCCCTGGGATCCTCTGGCAGAGGAGACCGCAGAGGAGGTCCACCAAAGTGCCCTGCGCTTCCCAGGGGGGTGGGGGGAGTCTCACTTTGTCAGTTTTGTGTCTCCCCAGAATATTGGGGAATGGTTTGAGGCGCCTGGCTTCTGCAGGCCGCACCACTGTCACCTCCATCATTGGCTGGGGTCAGGGTTTGGGACCAGGGCTGGCGGGCACTGGGTGGGGTGGGGCCTCCGGATGAGGCCGCGGTTCCAGGCAGCACCACCAGGTGGCGATGGAGTCCACGAGCCTCCCCAGCGGGGCCTGGGTGTGGGAGCAGCCGGGTAGGGTGGGGTGGGGCGGGGCAGGTGGGGGTCCCCGCCAGGCGCGCCCACCCCCTAGCCTAGCAGCCCCGCTCTCCTGCGGGCTCCCCCGTGGGCCAAGTCTCCTAAACTGGGCCAGCCTGGAGTCAGGTGCGTGCAGCCCTGCCACTCTACCTCCTTGCAGCGAGGCCTGGAGGGCGTTCCACGCGTGGGCACCGCGGCCTTCGGAGGCCTCCAGAGTCGGCCTCAGTGGGCGCGTCCTCCCTCCTGCTGGAGGGGACTGGACACCGTTAATGACAGCGAAAATCGCCTGGAGTTGATGACATTAATCTCCACCAGGCCTAATGAGCAACTCAGTTCCCCAGGCCAGCTGTGGGAGGGGCCTTGGGTGGGGGCAGAGATTAGCAGAGGGGCTAGGTGCCAGTGATGCCAAAACCCCAGGGGAGGCAGCCAGGGGTTAGGGTCAGGGGTCAGGGGAGGTGGGGTCCCCAGGGGAGAGGCAGCCAGGGGTCAGGGGTCAGGGGAGGTGGGGTCCCCAGGGGAGAGGCAGCCAGGGGTCAGGAGTGAGGGTTCAGGGGAGGTGGGGTCCCCAGGGGGAGGCAGCCAGGGGTCAGGGGAGGTGGGGTCCCCAGGTGAGAGGCAGCCAGGGGTCAGGGGCTCCCAGTCACTCAGTTGTGAAACGTGCAGTGTGTGCCACGTTAAGTCTTCTTAGCTCCTTTGCCAAGCAGCCCGAACATTTCAGAGGTGCAAGAGGGCAGAGTGCCACTACCTGAATGCCCCTGCCTGGCCAGGCGTCACTGTCCCTGTGGTGATGGGTGGGATGCAGCTGGCTTTTGGCGGGAAAGAATCTCTGGACAGGGTCACGCAGGCATCCTTGGTGAATCTGCAGTCCCAGCTCCGCCTGGGCCCAGCGGGCTGGGGGAAGAGGGTTTTCCTGCTGCGACCCACAGCAGAGGCTCACAGGCACCACAGTGGGGACAGGGGAAAACAGCGCAGCCACAGGAAGGATCCAGGGACTCAGGCCAGGCTGCTCAGGAGTCTCCAACCTGCTCTTGCCCTGCCCTGCTCTGCCCCGCCCCCTCCTGCTTCCTGCCTGGTGCGTCTGGCACGCAGGCCCGGGGAGGGTGCCCAGCCCTCCTCTGGGGGGCTTTCTCCTTGGCTTCCCTCTTGCCTTTGCACTCCAAGGCCGGCAGGAGGACCCTGCCTCCTCACCCATCAGTCTCCCAGGCTGGGCTGCTGGGCACAGTCCCGACTGCAGGTTTGGCACAGGGCAGAGCGTCGTCCCTGAAGCAGCAGCACGGGGCCTTCCCAGGCTGGGTAGGGTCTATCCAAGACCCTGCACTTGTTCTTCTGTGTTGACCTTGGTAGCTCAGCCCTGACCTCGGGAGTACCCCAAACACTCTGTGAGCACCTCCTACCGCCCCAGGTAACAAGACCTGTCCCTGAACCGAGGTGCCCTGCAGGAGAGAAGGAAAAACCAATGGAGTAGCAGCAGCAGAACAGCCAGCCCCACTGAGGGCCGAGCAGGGGGCTCAGGACATCGAGGATGGGCTGAGGGCTTCAGAATCATCCCGAGACGCGGGGAGCTGACCTCCTTGGGATCAGATGAAGACCCCATGCCCTCCCCCTAGAGAACTTTGCACACACAGGCCCTCCCCCTAGAGAACTTTGCACACAGTGTTCAGGGGGTCCCAGAGCTCTGAAGCCCCCACAGACTGTTGGGGCACCCCAGATGCAGAGCCCCTGGTGTGATGGGCCGTCTGCCGGCAGGTGGAGGGTGCCCTCTGGGGTGCTCGCCTAGGCCGTGTGGGTTCTCTGTCTTTCCTGTTCGCTGCATTTGTGCTGCCCTGGCATCCGGGGTCTCACTGACTGGAGGAGGTGCCTCTCCAGGGCTGGCGGATTCCTAGGGATAGAAAATAATTCCCTCGGAGCATGTGCGTGGTGTGTGTGCAAGCCATCCAGACCCCCAGCCACCCCTCTCTCCCACTCTCCCGTGGTGCGTGTGCAAAGCCATCCAGACCCCCAGCCGCCTCCTCTCTCCGACTCTCCCTTCAGGACCTAATCACCCCCTGTCCTAATCAGCCCGGGCCAGGCTCTGACAACGTGGAGCAGACCCTGCCCCCGGGGTCTGCTGATCCTGCCTCTCCAGAGTGGACCACCAAGAATGGCTCTTCCCATGTCTCTCGCTCACTCCTTCGGCCTCTGACCGCCCGGGGTTCCCCGGCCTACTGTGCGGTGTGCTACGCCTCCTCCTGGGAACGGTGGGCCACGAACTGTCTTCTGAAGGCCAGTGTTCTGCTCCGTTCGCCCCACACCTGAATAGCAATGAGACTGCACCCGGGCTGCCCAGCCCACGGGCACCCAGGACCATGCATTGGGGGATTCAAATAGTGAGTCTGTTCTCTCACAGTTCTTTTAATTTTTTTAGTATTTATTGATCATTCTTGGGTGTTTCTTGGAGAGGGGGATTTGGCAGGGTCATAGGACAATAGTGGAGGGAAGGTCAGCAGATAAACATGTGAACAAGGGTCTCTGGATTTCCTAGGCAGAGGTCCCTGCCGCCTTCCGCAGTGTTTGTGTCCCTGGGTACTTGAGATTAGGGAGTGGCGATGACTCTTAAGGAGCATGCTGCCTTCAAGCATCTGTTTAACAAAGCACATCTTGCACCGCCCTTAATCCATTTAACCCTGAGTGGACACAGCACATGTTTCAGAGAGCACGGGGTTGGGGGTAAGGTTATGGATTAACAGCATCCCAAGGCAGAAGAATTTTTCTTAGTACAGAACAAAATGGAGTCTCCTATGTCTACTTCTTTCTACACGGACACAGTAACAATCTGATCTCTCTTTCTTTTCCCCACATTTCCCCCTTTTCTATTTGACAAAACCGCCATCGTCATCATGGCCCGTTCTCAATGAGCTGTTGGGTACACCTCCCGGACGGGGCGGCTGGCCAGGCGGGGGCTGCCCCCCACCTCCCAGATGGGGCGGCTGGCCGGGCCGGGGCTGCCTCTGTTCTCTCACAGTTCTAGAAGCCAGAAGGCTGGGGTCCAAGTGCCTGGGGGACCATGACCCCTACAGAGGCTCTAGGGGAGGCCTTCCTGCCTCCCCCAGCGTCTGTGGCTCTGAGCACTCTGCGGCACATGGCAGCATCCCCCCCAGGCTCCTCCATCTCCCAAGGCCCCCTTCCCTTCTCCGTGTGTCTCCTCTTCTGTCCCCAGTAAGGATCCTCCCACTGGATTCAGGGTCCCCCTGGAAAACTCAGGCTGAGCCCATCTGGAGAGGCCTTCACCTATAACTACCTCTGCACAGGTGCTTTCCCGAATCAATCCACTTACCGGGTTCCCAGGGTAGGATGTGAACACAGCTTTTGGACGGAGGCTGCCATTCAGCCCACTACTGCCCTTCTCAGTGAGAAGGGGCTGGTTGGCAGGAAGGAGAGGGGGCTCCGGACACACGGTGGCAGTGCCCACCCCCGGCTCAGCCCAGGAAGAGGCCTTGGCAGGACAAGGATGTTGCTAACTTCGGGGACCATCAGGCTCAGCCTCAGGCCTTGAAGTACCTGCCCATCCATCACCCTCCCGGTTACTCCCTTACAGACTCAGAGCACTGGGAGCCACCTCTGGTCCTCAGGGTAATGGAGCCTTCTGGACCCATAGCTGATCTCCCCCTACTGAGAAGTGAACTGGCCATGAGGCCTCATGAACGTCCATACTCAAGTCTACCCTGAGAGAGGCTGGCATGCAGCTTGCAGAGGAAAACGGAGGGCGGGACTCAGGCTGTAGGTCACTGTCTGGAGGAGGCACATGCTGTGCTGAGACTCTGCAGACAGGCCAGGCCTCCCCGGCCACCTCTGTGTCTCTTGAGGCGGAGGAAGCCTTTCCTCCTCCTCCCCGTATGCTGCTGATGGGAGATGAGTGTCTGGGGGAGGGAGGCTTAGAAGGGAGGCCCCACTGACCTTCAGGCTCACAGGATGAAGGGGAGGTCACCAGGTGGGGAAAGGTATTCCAGGCGGGGGAACAGCCTGTGCAAAGGCCTGGAGGCAGGAACTGGTTTGTGCCTTCAAGGAGCCCAGCCGGCAGGATGGAGCTGGCTTTCCCATGCTGGCGGTCAGCGTGATGCTGGTCTCCAAGACAGCCGTGGGCCCACTTGTGTGAAGCATGTGTTCTGTGTCTGCGTGGGCTGAGGAGAGCTGAACAGATGCCAGTCGGATTCTCTTTTGAGGGCAGAAGGCGCGAGGCAGGACTCTCAGTTCGGTGGCAGTGGGCATATGGGTGTGGGAGACCGTTTCTGCCAGGATCTGTAGGGGAATGCAGGAGCCCAGGGCAGAGGAGTTGGGAGGGCTGGCAGAGGCAGGGGGAGCTGGGCGAGGTGAAGCCCGGAGTGACACAAGATGCCCAGTCTTTCAACGCCCCATCCTCCTTGGTCCCAGCCACAGGGGGTTTCTGTCCTTGCAAATGAAGAAGCTTGACTGAGCTGAGAGCTCATAATTCTGCTCTTTTGTCCAAGATGTGCACTTCTCATGTTTTCACCTTTCTAAAATTTATCTTAGAATTTGTGGCACCAAAAGGACGGGGGTGTCCTCTGCTCCCCTCTCTCATGGTGCAGTTTTGGTCTTCCAGCAGGCGGCTCTGAGACCCCGGGTTCGCTGGGGGTGCCGGTGAGCTCCTCCCATGCGAAGGAAGGGAGGTGGCAGAGCCGGGCAGAGGGAGGTGCTGAGCCGTGACACGGTCTCAACAGAGGCCTCAGCCGGCCCCATGGACTCAGCCCTGCCCTGCATGACAGTGAGGGCCTGGCCTCTGTAATCCCACGTGGACTGCTCCTAAAGTGTGGGCTACCCCGAAGGCACCCCTCTCTCTCCAGCTGAGGGTGGTTTCTGGAAAGGGGTGGAGGCTGAGTCCGAGGCTGAGCTGGGAAGTAGAAAGTGGCCTCAGTCTGGCAGGGGCGCTGGGGGTGCATCTCAGTGGCCCCCGGGGGCTCCCCTAAGACTGCTGTTAACTATCTTCCAAACAAGGACTTTGTAGAACAAAGCACGCATTGTGGCGTCCATAACAACAGTGACAATAGCCATTTGTGGCCAGAAACTGAACTTAGTGCCTTTATACTCATTGCCTGATGCCATTCTCAGGACAGTCCCATCTGGAAGAGTGGCAGGTCAGGTGAGGTGGTTCAGCCCGCGTCACCCTCATGCCTGGGGCCTGGCATTCTTACTGTAAATGACTGGAGGCTCCAAGTGGCTTTACTGACTCTCTGGTGGCAAGGGCTGCCCTGGCCGGCCTGGCCAGACAGACACAGCCCCCAGGGAGAGAGATGCTTTGCCCACCTGACTAAGGCCAAGGCCTCCTCTGGGTGTGTTCTGCACATGGGGGAATGGGGACCGGATGTCCTTTGGGATGGGGGGTGAGGGAGCTCAGAGGAATGTGCTAGAAAATACTGTCCCTGCATTTTACCTTTTTCTTTGGGGCAGCTATTGATTCCTTGAGGAAACCGTGTTCTGTGGCCGAGGCAGGGAGGGCAGCTTTAAAGTCGATTCTCAGGAATGTGAATACCATGAATTAAGGGTGGTGTGTACTCCTGACGTCAGAAAAGGGGAAACCTAGGGATCCACAGTCTAGATCTGGAAGAGGATGCTCGAAAATTTCAGCCCCTGTCCCCGCAGACTCCTCGGAAGGCATGGCTGGGTTTTTGTTTGCTTTTCCCTCACACTGTCTTAACACAGGCAGGGTCCACGGGTGGCCGGCCCTCTGTGAGTCTCGCCTCCCAGGGCGGCCTTGGTCAGTCGCCCGCCGCAGACGCTGCCCACTCACCCAGCACCTAAGTACCATCCAGTTCCCAGCTGTTAAATATTCCCAGGTGTTTCCAGTTGTTCATTCAATAATGCTGAAATGAGCGTCTTTGGACACAAGAGGTTTTCCGTAACTAGGTTTGTGTCCTGGGCACAGGTGCCCAGAAGTGTAATCAGGTCCGGGCACAGCCGTTTGCAAGGCTCTGAAGGGCTCTGCAGCCTCTCGTGGTGACGGTCCCCCAGCCATGGTGCTGAGGGCCGTTCGTGTCCACACACCCTCCCCAGCATTTAACGGGATAGATTGTTGAAATATATACAGGCCCCAAATCGTTTTTCTCTTTTACTTTTGCTTGCAATTTTTATTTTGTTTATTTTTTGAGACAGGGTCTCACTCTGTCACCCAGGCTGGAGTGCAGTGGCATGATCACAGCTCACTGAAGCCTCGACTTTCTGGGCTCAAGCGATCCTCCCACCTCAGTCTCCTGAGTAGCTGGGACCACGGGTGTGCACCACCATGCCCGGCTCATTTTTTAAAAAAATTTTTTGTAAGAGTGTCACCATGTTGCCCAGGATGGTCTTGAACTCCTGGACTGAAGCAATCCTCCCGGTTTGGCCTCCCAAAGTACTGGATTATAGGCGTGAGCCACTGTACCCGGCTACTTGTAATTTTAAGAACTACAGACAAAGCTTGTTAGTTTTCTGTATGTTTATCACACAGTTGTGTCTCATCTTTTGGGATTTGTCCATGGTTTTTAAAAAATTTCTACGATCATTGCACAGATTGTCAACACTGGCCCTGGCTGTCTTGGTTTGGTACGTTCCATTCATTGAGACTGGGGTTATTAAATCGCCCTAGAAGTTTTCACATTTCTATTTAGTCACATTTATCAATGTTAAGTCAACCACCCTCCCCGCCTCCACCAGCCTCAGGGCACCCACTCCCACCAGTGTCATGGCAACCTGGGAAGGTTTACATTTGAGTCATGTCGACGCCAGGCCCCACACGTGAGCACTCACCGAAGGTAGTGGCAAGACTGCCACTGTCACCATATGGGCCCTGTGTTGGGTCTGTCACTAGCCTCTCATCTCCGGGTGTAGTGATTCCGGAGGGTGCTCTCTGCTAGAAAAAAATACATCCCATTTTAATCACTCCATCAATCTTGATTTTAAACATTTTCCTGAAAGCTGTCTGGGTGGGATAGTAGGAAGCCGACAGGCTCATGAGGACGTTCTCACTCAAACAGGTTGCAGGTGTAGGGGCTCAAATCTGTTTACAAAGTCAACTTCTGTGTGTGCTTTAAAGAGAATCGAATGGGCCCCTCATTTTCCTTGGAAATACACTTTTCATGGCAAAAGAATGCCTTTGGCCATGTTCCTTTTCAAAATCAGTGTGCCTTGCTGTTTGGATGTGAGGAGTTTGTTAGCCCCGAATCGTATGTTCCTTCTTCATGACTGTCACTGGCAGTGGGGAGCCACCCTCCAGTGCACGCAGAGCTTACACTTTGCATGAAGACACGTCTTCCTAAAACAGACGATATAACAAACCTATTTTCCTGTCGCAGCTTTTTTGATTTGCATGGTTCTTGGGACTACTGGAACAAACTTCCTAGTATCATGGGAACCTCCTCCACCTGCCCACCAAACTTGGCTTTGACTAAAACTCGGTTTTGTGATGGTACAATACAGAGGAAGTCTAGATTTAGAATGAATTTCCTGGTAACTGGTTTGTGAATAGAATATGGTTTGCGTCTGTGCCCCTGCCAAATCTCACATTGAATTGTCATCTCCAGTGTTGGAGCTGGGACCTGGTGGGAGGTGATCAGATCACGGGGGCCGAGTTCCGTGAATGGCTTAGCTCCATCCCCGCTCGGTACTGTGGAGTGAATGAATGAGCTCTCATGGATCTGGCTGTTTCAAAGTGTGTGGCCCCTTTCCCATCTCTTGCTCCTGCTCCAGCCATGGAAGACGTACCTGCTTCCCCTTCTGCCATAACTGGACGTTTCCTGAGGCCTCCCCGGAGGCCGAACAGATGCCAGCCTCATGCTTCCTGTACAGCCTGGGGAACTGTAAACCAATTAAACATCTTCTCTTTATCAGTTGCCCAGTCTCAGGTATTTCTTTATAGCAGTGTGAGAACGGACTCATACGGAATATCTGCAGTTTCTTCTTGCCTTTCTAAAGAGGCATGAGGGCCTCTGGGTTTGGCTGGCCAGCTCTCCATTGCACGGCACACCTGGTGGCTCCTGCCAAGTCGCTGCCAGCTGGGACCAAGTTAGAGAGGCGCCGCTTAGAGAGCTGCCCACTGTGACGCTTCATCCGTTCCCTCTTCAGCAGCCCTTCCCACCTGGAGCTTGTAGGAGAATCCACGATGTTCATCCGTGTGATTATTTTTTATTTCTGCTGTATGCTCCTGTATGCGCCTGGCCTAACATCTCTTCGAAATGTCTTTTTGTATTTCTAGTGATTCCGCTTGAACAGCATCTCATCAGCTTCGCAGCTGTGCACGCAGCCATTACTTGTAGAATTCTCCTGGTACCTGTGTAAATTTTATCCTTAGTCCTCCAGTAATTCACTAGCCAGACAGCACAGTGCCAGCTCCTGGTCTGGCATCGTTTGGTGACTTCCTTCTGGTCATGATACTCACCTTGGACCTGTGTGTACCACCTTCTTCTCTGGGGAAGGCTCCCACGATTGCTTCTAGGAAAGAAGAGAACCTCCGATTGGCTAGAATGTGGTTGTAAGGGCCGGCCACCCTTGCTGGTATCATTAGTTGGCTGTGCCTACCCAGAGAGTCCAGGCAGCACCATCCCTGACCCTCCGCCTTCCCACTGGCACAGATGTCTTTCAGGTAGAGTGTGGACCTCATAGGAAGGCCCTGGGGGTTGTGAGGTACCTGGGTACAGTGGTTCCTCATGTGTTGGTAAGGTTTGCAGGTGTTCTTGGTTCTGTGGCAGAGACTCTGGTGTCTCTCAGTACCCACCCTCCCTTTCTTCTGTAACAGCAGAGCTGCTGTCTCCACTTGGACAGGTGGGCACCTGTGGAAGACTGCACATCCTGGCCTTGCTTGCAGCTGCTGTGGCCACAAGCCCCAGGGGGTCTTAAGCAGAAATGCTATGTGCAGCATCTGGGGAGAACCCTTAAGGAGCCATTCTGGGTTCTGGTGCCAGGTGAGAAGGCCCGAGAAGCAGCTAGGCAGGGGGTGGGCTGTGGTCCCCCCAGCAGGAGTAGGAAGAGAGAGGCGGTGGCAGAGGCTGCCGAGGGCCCCTGGGAGGCTGAGAGCCGCGGCTCCAGCCTGGCCTCCTGCGTCTTTAGGGAGGTGGATTTGTCAAGGTGGTGAGGAGCCCACATTTCTGCATAACACTTTTGGAGCTTGATCTGTGTCCACATACTTGGGCATATGGCGGTCTCCACTTGAACCCTGGCCCCTGGCCCTGCGAATATCTGTGGTTGGCTCGGTAGATGTGTGTCACCCACGCAGACATTAGCTTTGCCATCATCTGTCATTTTGTCATATATCTAACTGCCCATTACTGGGAGTTGTTTACTTTCCAAAGGGGCTTTACTAATAACTTCAACACTGTAACACATTAGTCTGAGGCCCCAAGTACATATTAGGGACTCAGTGTGACTTCAAAGAGCAGCTGCATCCAGATTGAAACTAAGAGTGTGTCAGGGACATACAACTCCCTACAACTGCACCCCAGAAGTTTAAGTGGAACCACTTCCTGGGTCCTCCCAAGCTGCATTATGACCTGCGCTTCCTGAGAATCTGATGTAAAAGACAGCATGTGTTGAAATTATAGCACGATTTACTTGCAAACCCGAATTTCCATTTTTTTGTACACTCAGATATCAGACAAAAACTTTTAAGAAACTGAGAACACCGCAGCATTTTAGTTTTTGTACATAAATCCCAAGACTTGCACGAATTACAATGCCACACTTCTTTTTTCCCACATTTTCATATGAATTTATTTTCCATCACTATCAGAGAAATGTTCTTGCATTTGAAATCAAATCAACAAGTTTAATTGGCCAGAGAGTTCCTTTTAAATAGAAATTTTGAGTGCATTTAAAAATAAACCTTCAAGTCTCATATATTATTCAAGTCTCATATATATAGTATAAGTATAGTATATATTTATATTAAAGTCTCATATATATATAGTACCATATAATATTACCATCCTTGGCTGGGTGCAGTGGCTCATGCCTGTAATCCCAGCACTTTGGGGGGCCAAGATGGGCAGATCACCTGAGATCAGGAGTTTGAGACCAGCCTGGCCAACATGGTGAAACACCATCTCTACTAAAAATACAAAAAAGCCGAGCATGGTGGCGTGCGCCTGTAGTCCCAGCTACTCGGGAGGCTGAGGCAGGAGAATCACTTGAACCCAGGAGGTGGAGGTTGCAGTGAGCCGAGACTGTGCCATTGCGCTCCAGCCTGGGCGACAGGGTGAGACTCTGTCTAAAATAATAATAATAATAATAATACCATCCATAAATTATTGGCTAAAGGATCTCGTATCAATGGGACGCTGAGTGGAAACCCTTTTCAATCTGTAATTCTAACCTTTACGTGTTTACTTTTTTCTAAACAAAGGTGTTGGGCCTAGAAACTTGGTAACAGTTGCTTGCTTGTGGTGAATGTGAACGCGTTGAAGTATTGCATTTGTCAAAATGGGATGGCAAGAAAGCATTGCCGCCTTCAAACCCCCAGTGAAATAATGGGCCCAGTGGCCTCGTGGAAGAAGAGTGGGCCCCACCTCTGAGGGGCTCCTGCTAGGGGTGTGAGCCTGAACTGGCCAGTGCTCTAGGCCCACCCTCCTGTCCCTCCTTTACTTGTCAGAGGAAAGGGCTAGGACACAGCGGATGTACAAATGCATAAATGGCCGGATTTCTTCTGCAAATACATTGCAAGAAAAAAACCAAACCAAAACAAAACAAAACAAAAAAAACCAAAACAGCAACAAAAAAAACCTGAAGACAATCTGAAACAATGGGGAAATCTCAACATTGGCTGAATATTTGATCATGATACGAAACTGCTCACTTTGACAGCATGATAAGATACTGTGTTGTCTAAGAAAAGAGTCTATCTTTGAGAGAAATCTACTGAGATATTTACAGATGAAATGATAAGATGTCTGGGATTTGCTTCTGCCTCCTAACACTCCTGTTTGTGGTGAGGAGGGGGTAGACTAAACACATTTGGGAGTGTTTACAGCTGTTGAGGCAGGTTGATGAGCACACAGGGCCTCAGAACTAGTCCCCTTTTGTATGTGTCTGACTTTTTCAGAGACAGAGGAGAATCTAAAGACCAGAAGATACTAGAAATTTATGGTGGATAAAGGATTAGCATCCCAAAATAGATTTTAAAGCTTTCTAGTTCACAGCCCCAGTAATGAAACAAATGGGCGGAGAACAAATGGGCGGAGAAGACAACCCAGGAATCCTTCATTCCATCTGCTTATTGGGGAGCAATGATGTCTTCATCTCTTGGGCTAGAGGAGTAGACCAGCTTCCAACTTTCTACTCTAGCACATGAGATGGACAAACCCAGGGAGGCGCTGCAGGATCTGAGCCTGAGGGTCCTTGGGCCTTGAGCAGAGGAAGCCTCTCCCGTGAGTGTGGGCTGGCCTCCTGCACTGGCTTCTATGCCCATGGAGATGAGGCTATAAAAAGACTGGCTGTGTCTCCTGGTGCATTCTCCACTTGCTCCTAGATCACGTGCTGTGGGAGACGCTGACGGCAAGGCCTCGAGGCGGCCCTGTGGAGAGGCCCATCAGGCGAGGGAAGGTGGCCACCTACAGCCACAGGCATGTGCCTGGAGGCCAACCCCCAGCCTGGTCCCCCAGCAGCTGGGCCCCCAGAGGAACCCTGGCTGAGCATTTGACTGGACCCCCAGGGAAGACGAGACAGGGACCCTGCTGAGATGCACCCAGACTCCGGACCTTCAGAAACTCCAAGGTAATAAATGTCTGCTATTTGAAGCTGCTAAGTTTTGAGGGAATCTGTTGCAAGCAATAGATAACTAATATACTATAACCAGTAAACATGCCAACTGAATCAGTAACAATAACAAAACCACTCCAGCCTCAGTGGCTTCAGGCTCCAAGTACCTCTTCTTATACTGGGGCCGACTGAGCCCCCCTTGCCACAGGGCTATGCCTTGGGGCCAGCAGGGCCCTCTGCTCCAGAGGCCTCTTTCGGGGGCTCAAGGGCAACCTGGGTGCCGTGGGCTGGGTTTCTGGGATGCAGACTGGGTGGGCTTCAGTGTGCAAGGTGGTTGAGGTGTCCTTGGGTTGGCAGCTGTGACAGGGGAGGAGGGAAGGCAGTCAGCCTAGGGAGGGGCTCAGGCACTTTCCGGGAAGCCAGCAGGCCTTGAGTTGTCCTAAGTTGGGCCAAGGTGGCCTGGTGCTTACGCTGCCCGGCACCCAACTGATTAGTCACTGGATGCGGGAGCCTGGGAAGGGGCGCTGCTGAGGGTCAGGAGCTGTGGCTGGTGTTTGGACTCCAGTCTCAGAGGTGTGTTTGCCCGGCTGTGGGCAGGTGGCTAAGCCTGGGCCCTGGGCCTCTCTCTTTGGCCTTGTTCTCTCCAAGATTATTTCCAGCTCTCTATGGCTTGGTAAGTGTTTTGGGGGAGAAGATAATGTAAAGATTTAAATTACTGGACATTTAAAATGAAGACACTCCTATGGGACCTGATTATGCAGGCAGAGGGGGACGGGCCTGCCGCTGGTCTGGGTCTAGGGGCCGTCCCCATGGGGTCCAGTGATTCCCATGCAGCCATCCGGATGGGACCCAGGGCACTGGCCATTCGGCCCACAGGGTCCCAGACATGCGAGAGCCAATGAGGAAGAGAGCGCACGGGCAGAAACCAGAGCTGGGAGGGCAAGTAACGCAGTCTTTATTTACACCACAAGATAACACGTTGCGTGATGTGGTACAGAATACTGGACTCCAGTGAAGTGGAAAGAAGGTGACCGTCAGAAGAGGATATCATTGGTCGGTGAAAATCCACCCACACAAAACAAGACAAGAATGAGAAAACCAAACACAAAACCTCCAACTCCACTGAGCAAAAGAAAGAACCATCGGGCACGTCCAGACAATCCAAGAGAAACGGATTAAATTACAGAGGTGAATGGTGGCCACGGCCAGTGCGCAGCTCACGGCGGGCGCGAACAGGCATCAGGTAGGTTACAGTGTCGTTACAACTTGGTTTTCTACCACATTCCGTAAGAAGCTCTTGGGTGAGTAAGGTTCAAGCCCCCTGTATAGATAGATAGATAGATAGATAGATAGATAGATTATATATGTTTGTCATTCTCATCAATTGGAAAATAGCGCCTCCACTATGGAGCACACACGGCAAAAAAAACAAACAAAAACTGTTCGCTTTCTTTTTCTTTCAATAGCAGACTTTTAATCAATGCCAGAGACAAAGTGAGGCCGAGCTAAGAACACGCTCAGCTTCGTTACAATGAAGAAATGGTTTCCTTTCGATGCAAAGTATAATTGTAAACCACAGTGCTCGCACAGTTCACGACTGCTTAAAGTGAAATCTTAGCCATACATCACCTAAAAGTAATTAAAAAGTCAACACAGCTGTGCGGAAAAGGGGACTCTTTCGAGTCCGCCCAGTTCTCAATCAGAATAAACCGTCACAAGGCCAGTGAGGGCGGGCGGCGCTCGCCTGGCCCGTGGAAGGAGATAAAAGGAAACAAACAAAACAAAACAAAACAAAATTCCTCCAAATCAACTCGAGAGAGACAGGCAGTTCACTGTGAATTCTGAGTAGTTTCCCTAAAACACTGTTTCCACATAAATACAATAAACTCTATTATTGGTATGTCACAAGTGCTAGATAAACTTTTTTTCTTAATATGACAAATGTTTAAGTAGTCCTTTTTATTTTTCTTACAATAAAAAGTACAATTTCTTAAGAATAAGTTCAATAAGACGCAAACTTCCCCGCCCTCCTCTCCTTCAAGGTTTTGTTTTACAGAAAAATTTCCATCTTTTGTATCTGCAAATGTCATGAGAGGGGAACAGAAAGGCATTTTTCTTCTTCCCCAAAGCTGCCGAGTTTGGCGTGCAAAATCTGTATACAATATAAAGTCATGCCGGTCGTACAGTCCATGCAACCTCCAGGTGTAGGAAACTTAAAAAAATATATTCATATATATTTATATCTATATATTTATATATGTATCAATGCCCATAAAACACGTGGGCCCAAAGTCTACAAAAAGAAGAATGGAATGAGCACGTGGCTGTGACCAGTAAAGAAGGAATGTTCTGATCAAAAAGAAAAACAACAAAGTCCATTGCTAGTGCTGCAAAAATCAAACTTGCTTTTGTGTCAGACCATTACGAAATGGTCCTTCCCCTTGCAAACAGATTTTCAAAAGAAGTAAAGAAAAACTGAAACACCTTGACAAAGTGGCCCTCCAGAACCAGAGCCCTGGGACGCTGGGGAGGGGCGGCCAGTCCCAGCGGGCCACGGCCTCCGGGACAGCCGCCTGCTGGTGGGGCGTGGGCACGTGGGCACGCTGCGGCACGGCGGGAAGCCGCGAGGGCAGGGCAGACGCCAAGAGGCCCAGTGGCGTCATCAGGGTTTCCCTCAAAGGGATATAAAGTGCTCGCTTGCTGACTCCCAGCCAGTGCCCCCAAGGCCTTTGCAAAGGAAGAAAAAGGCTAAAGGTCCAAGGACCCACAGGGAGAACACATGAAGGAACCCTCCCTGACGTGGTCCCGCCTGCAGACGCCGAGGCAGATCCTCTGCCATCTGCCCTGGACGCTTGCTGTGGAGAAGAGCCGAGTGTGTCTTCAAAGAAAAGGCTACACAGTAATGCTCTCAGCACATTTGTGAAGCTGGAGTGAGCTGACAGATGAAACGTGCCTCCCCCTGCCAGGCCTTTGCAGAGGGCGTCTCCATTTGAATGAGATTAGAATTAAGTCCCCCCACTGATAACCTGGCCACTGAGCAGTCCATGTTATCCCATCATCTGCTTAAAAAAAAAAAGTGAGATGATGCATTCCTCCCCATAAGCCACGGCGGGGTAAGAGGGCAGGTGGCAGGATCCCCAGAGGGCTATGCAGAGAATGAGGCCAAGGAGGCCAGAAGAGCCTGCTAGCTGGGCCCTGCCACTGCTCTGTGCCATGAATGGGGAATGGACCAGCTCCTCTTGCCAATCTGGGCTTCAGAGCAAAGAGTGGCCACCAGGGAGGGGAAAGTCAAACAAGTCCCAAGACCGTTCTGCCTGCTCTCAAACCACTGTCTCAGAGCTGACCATCAGCAGCCCAGTGACCAAGTGAATCCAAGAATCTGCACTCATTTGGTCAAAAGTTTGAGTTAATTTCAGAAGCTACCCTGTAAACTTTACCAAACTCCGAAACTCGGCTCTGGGTCCCTCCTGAGCACGGTGTGTCTGAACTTCTGCCCCCAAGTCTGAACCCAATATACACTTTGGAATGAAACTGGTGGCTTCATGTGCTGGAAAATAAGTTACCAGTAAAACGTGACTGTCAGTTACTGTTGAAGAGAAAAAGAGTAAAGACTGGCTGTCCTGGTCAGGCAATCATACCCTCCCTGCAGGTTCACCAGGCAACAAGGGTCCCTGGGTTCCTTGCAGCCACAGGCTCCAAAATCCAGGGCTGGCCACGTGGCTGCAGTGGAAAAACCCAAGTGGGTAAAGAGCCCCACGTGTGCCCCATGCATTGCTGACATGCTCAAAAGGTCTTTGGAAAACTCAAGTTAGAATTCTATCCTGACGATGTGGTCAGAGAAGTTTAAACATGAGTTTCATTAATGCTGACTGCCCCCGGCATCTGGCAAGCCTCCCAGGGTGGCCGGGCATCCTAAGCAACCCTCCCTGCCCTTGCCACGGAGGGGAAAAACACACCACCCCTCGTAATACTACTAGTGTTGAAAGTTAAAAAGAGCCCCTGGGCTTCTTTATACAGCTCCTAGGACAGACCAGGAAAGACACAATCGTTGGTGTCACTCCGAAAAGACCTACGGTCCCTCCTCTCACTTTCTGAAAATAGAATCTGACAGCAACAATTCTGTACGCTGCAGAAAACTCATCGTACAAAAATAAAAACAAAAATAATTAAAAACCTTTGAAAGGTAAAAAAAAATGTACAAGCAAGAATTCAGAAAGGAAAAAGATTTAGACATTATTACCATTCAGAAAATTGCTAAATGGTGAGGAAAAATGTAAAATTCATAAAACAATGCTTATTCAGGATCTTTTTGTGAAAAAATTCATACAAAAATCAACAGCAAATTTATATTCTTTGCTATAAAAACTCATTAGGTACATATGTGCATGAAGGCTTGGAGACGGGAGCGGTTCTGTTAGAAAATAATTAAAATGAAAGTACAAACTTGTAGGGTAGTTGCCCAGTGGCGAATGTGTTGGCGATCTGAAATCTAGCCAATCTGGAGCTTGAGAAAACATGAATTTCAATCAATCAGGATCCCTTTCCATAAGCACCTTGAGAGCAAATTCACAAGCCATCCATTTGCAGGGACCTTCGCAATCTGCATTCATTTTATATATATATATATACTTTTTCTATAAATGCATTATAAATATTTTATCAAGATTTCATAAGAATCAAGTAAGTTTCTTAGCTTGGAATACATTGGAATATATATTATACATATATATATTTATTTATACCTAAAATTTAAGCAATACTTCATGCTACTTGCTTTTAATAAAAAGCATTCCGATCGTAACACTGCAAGTGTGCCTACCACATGCTTCACGACCAGATGGAGATGCTCAATCGTATGTGACGTGTGAGAACACTTTGGATTCGTTTAAAATTTGTTGGACTTCAAAACCTCCAACGGGATTTGCCACTTTTTTGGAACTACCTCCATTTTTCTTAAACAGCAATAAAGCAAAACAGGGACCGCCGGGCTGCAGCCCCTGGCCCCGGAGATGACGGCTGGTGCCCGTGCTTGAGGCGTCAGGCCAGCTCGCGGTGCCAGCACTGCCAGGCTCGGCTGGCCACAGGAAACTGTCCCACCGATTCCTGCTGTTTGTTTTTTCTTAAGGCATTGTTCCTCAGACTTCAGAAAACCCAGCCACAAAAATCCACCAGAGCAATAAAAAAAAAGGCACAAACTCGCATCTTCCGATGGCTTTTGAGAAACTCAAGCCAGCTCCCCCAGCTCACATTCCTGTTTCTGTCCAGTTTTGTTTTCTTTAAAGGTCCCTCTGTCCCCCACCCGGGTGCAGACCCCCCGCCGCACACCGCTATGGTTCACAGAGGCGGGCCACAGCCGTAGAAAACGTCCTCTTTAAAAAAAAATAAGCTACAAGATGAGTCGAGTGGTTTACACAGAGACTGTGGAGTTGTGGGTAATAAACTTTAAGCACCAGTTTTAATCAAGTTTGTTTTGTATTATTAGATCTTTGATATTTGTTTTCTGTGCCTCGTGTCAACTGAATTCGGCAGCTCGGCCGCCTGTTGCCACAGGCTCCTTTCTTCCACGGCGTCCCTTGCGGGACCCGCCAGAGTGTGCTTGGCTTCCGCGTGTCCGTGTGTCTGCGCGTCGCCGGCGTCTGTCCCGTGTTCCCTGTGAGGCTGCCACGCCCAGGCGTGCATGTGCGTCTCGAGACCTGTGGGCCTGGGCGGCAGAAAGGCTTCCCGTGGCTGTTGCACGCTGGGTGTCCCTGGGTGCTCCAAGAGAGCCCCACGGTGGGACGCAGGCGTGACACGGGAAAGTTTCTTGGCTGAGCTTCAAGACAGAGACAGACAGACAAGAGAACAGCAGCTTCGAGGGAGTGCTACAGGGGCGGCTCCTCTTCCATGGGCTCCTCATCTGGTCTGTGGATCCCGCAAGAGAAGGAGATGGGGGCGTGGGGCAGGTGCACCACAGAGAGGAGAGAACAGAACGTGGGTTAAAGGCTGTGTGCTGCCCCACCCGCCAGCCTAGCCCTGGCCTGGCAGCCCCGGGTCCATCTGTTCAGGATCTAATGCTCCTCATGCGTCTCTAAGGGGCTTTGGCACTGGAAGGAGGGGGCCACACTGGCCTGTCTCTAGTCTGTTGGGCAGGGCATGTGCCATAAAGGTTCTGACCCTGAATAGTGTGTCAGTGGGCACAGTGGGGCTGGGTGAGCCTGCAGGCGGGCGGCAGGGCAGGTGCTCACCTCTTTTCGGCGGGCTTCACGCCCACGGACAGCGAGGCCATGGCGGTGACCGTCTCGGCTTCTTCGTTCTCGCAAGTCTGAGCCTCGATCAGAGAACGCCCCGCTGTGGAGGTTGTGCGCTGCAGGCAGCGCCAGTACTTGCCTGGGGTGGTGGGGTGAGGAAAGTCGCTCAGTGACTACAACTTAGCAGGATGCACTGAGGCCCGGGAAGGTCCTGCGGGACCCTGAGCCTCAAACCAGATTGATCCCTTATGATTTTAAAAGCACCCGTCTTTGAAGAGACACGAAGCAGAAGACTGCATGGCTACAAACTCACAAAGACCCAAAAAATCTCTGGAAATGTTTCCCCATTGTGAGTGGCTCGAGTCCCTCCAGGAGCAGGCCCACCTAGGACTGCAGAGGGAGGCTCCTGTAGGCCTGGCTTTCCACGCTCACGGGCCCCTTTCTGCCCTGGGTGGCCAGGGCAGGGGGCTGCCAGCCTGCTGGGTTGAGCCTTCCTATCTCTGGGAGCAGGTGAGCTGGGGGATTGTCGCTGGGGCTGAGGGGTCTTCTGCCTGGGCCCTCACAGAGGCTGGGGGTGGAGGGGTACTGCGTCAGGCGCAAGGGGGTGTATGTGGAGGGCTGGGCCTGGCCCAGGGTCAGCTTCAGGGCTCTGAAGCCAGGACTCCCTCACACAGGGAAACGGGGAGCTGAGCTCTGGACTACCCCTGCTTCTGTGGACAGTCTCAACCATCTGGGTCATCTCAAAGGCAAGACAAGCTGGGCTTGCGACAATGACAGGGTGTGGGAGGCGCCTCTGAGATAGGCTGCGTGCCACGCCCTTGCACCCAGGACCTGCTGCTTGAGGGTCGGTGCCAGAACTCAGAGGGCCTACACCCTGCCTCTCTGCAGGGCCAAGGGTTCTTTGAGGTCAGGACGTGGGCTTCTCTGGTCCAGGGAAGAGGCCGGAGTCCCCAGGGTACAGGCTCACAGCCATGGCCCCCGCTGCTAGCTGGGGACCTAGAGCAAGTGACTCCACACTGAGACTGTCTGGGCCTTGATTCTCTAGACTTACAAATTGGGCTGATGGAACCATCCCAGCAGGCCGGGGGAAATCCAGTCGGGGTTAAATGTGAGTCTCTACCAGCTCAAGAAATGCAGCTGAAAGCAAGGCCTTCTGCTGCAGGCCTGGGGAAGCAGCCGGCAGTGGGATGGAGAAGAGCTGGGGGTATAGGGGGACAGGGATGGGGTGTGGTGCAGTCCCACCCCCAGGGGCGTGTCCCCTGTGAGCACCCAGCCAGGCAACTTACTGTGGATCTCCATGACTTTCTCCATGGAACGGACAGCGTTTGCATTGGGTCTTTGCTGTAAAACCTTTTCTGGGAGAGGATCAAGCTGGAAGAAAATGCATAAGAATATAAAGACTGCCAATATAATCCACACGTGCGTTAGACGGGTGTTCCGAGACTGCAACTGTTTCCTGAGCACAGAGACCCTTGTGGGGTGCATTTGCCCACAGAGTAGAAAAAAATAACTTTAAAAAGCCAAATGTGCCGTGGTATTTATAATTTTTTTGTAAAAGTGGATTTTTTTTTAGGACGCTATAAGATATTTGTGGGTTCCTACAAGTAGCAGGAAGAAAGACAGTCCCCAGGAGTGGGGCTGGCACCTGCACGTGAACTTGGTATCTGCCATCGACGCCACAGGGTTCCATGAGGGGGAGTGACGCTTACTTCATCACTTTTCTTTCCTTTGTCTTTTATTAATAAGTAAGAATGTCTGAATATCCCCTGATCTTGGTTTTCTTCCAGGGCAGCGGAAGGTGGGGTCGGGGGAGATGAAATGGAAGAAGTAGTCAGATCTCTCAGAGGGAATCCTTCACACCGAGTTTTTCCCTAAGTACTGGCAGCAGATAAAAGCAGGGAAGAAGTTTACAAGTCAATGACAGGGCAACAGGGCAAAGCATTTGCAACACAACAATTAAAAATGGTTGACTGGCCGGGCGTGGTGGCTCACGCCTGTAATCCCAGTACTTTGGGAGGCCGAGGCGGGTGGATCACTTGAGGTCAGGCGTTCCAGACCAGCCTGGGCAACGTGGTGAAACTCTGTCTCTACTAAAAATACAAAACTTAGCCAGGTATGGCGGTGGGCACCTGTAGTCCCAGCTACTCGGGAGGCTGAGGCATGAGAATCACTTGAATCCAGGAGGCGGAGGCTGTAGTGAGCCAAGATTGTGCCACCGCACTCCAGCCTGGGCAACAGAGTGAGACCCTGTCTCAAAAAAAAAAAAAAAAAGGTTGAAATGGATTATAAAAATATAGAAATACAACAGTTCAAGAACCTTTAAATAACTGGAAGAGCCCACAAAACCAGGGGAAACCTGCTGGGTCTGGAACAAAGCTGGACCTGAGTCAGAAGGCCAAAGCACCCATGTCCCCAGGTGTCCTGGAGCCAGCCTTGCTGGGGCTGGAAAGACCACTGTCAGGACAGGACGGGTGAGCGAGGACAGACGCACGACGACGTGTCAAACAGAGGCCATGGGAAGGAGCGTTTGGGTTTTAACTCTGGCTTCTGGGTAGAGGTGAAAAGACAAAGTGACCCTGAGAATTTGCCTGCTTCTAGACACTGGGAGTGGACAGCTACTATCGACAGTGGCAGCTCCGCCAGGCCAGGGCGCCAGGCAGAAACCACAGCAGGGCCTCTTTGGAGGCACACATACCCACAGCAGGCTTCAAATGAGCACAGCCGGTTAACTTCCAGGAAGCATGAGTTCCCAAACACAAAAACCCCAAACAACACGGAAGTGAGTCAGCACGAGCCTGGGTCAGGAGGGATGATGAGCGAGGTTCCCAATCCCATTCTCCAATGAAGGGAAGCAGGCTCCTTGGAGAACAGCTCGGTCCAAGGCTGGGGCGGGGAAAATACAAGACACGAGAGCCTGGAGCACCTCGTGGTGCTGGGAAATCAGGACGTGCCTGAAGGTCAAGGGACGGGGCCATCACAGGACATGCAGGGCCAGTCTGAAAGGTGCCCCAGGGCCAGAGCAGGAACCAGCTGGGCAGCAAAATCAACACCGTGGTATTGAAGCATGACCCAAAGTGTAAGAAAGACAGATACACAGGAGTTCACCGGGATATGAATAAATAACGAAATACACACACAGGGGAGCAGAGACAACTCCTTGAGCATTTCAAATAATGCACGTATCTACTCCCCTCTCCAGGAGGTGGGGCTTAAGGCCTCTCCAACTCTGTCCCCCTGAGTGTGCACTGCACTGTGACTTTCTTCCAAATAATACATTTGGAAAGGCGGTAAAAGCGTAACCCGATGGTGGAAGGACCCGGCAAACATCACTCTCAGCAAATGATCAAGGTCAGTGAGCCGTGCTGGCAGCACATCTGACAAGCGAATGGCATTTCGATCCTATGATCTTCCTCCCCAAAGCACAGAACCAGGAGAAGAAACTCAAACATGAACTGAAGGGCAGTCTGCAAAATCTCTGGCCAGTGCTCCTTGAAAAACCATGAAAGACTGAGAAAAAAGACACGAAATGACTAAATGTGACGTGTGATCCTGGACGGGACCCTAAAATGGAGAAAGGGCAGTTGTGGTAAAGCTGGTGACATCCAAATACATTCTGGAGTTAATAGTCATGGACCAGCATTGGTTTCTAAGTTGTGACAAACGACTCATATCGAAGTAAGATGTTCACAGTAGAAGACGTTTTCTGAGGGGGGATATGAGGAACTTGTACACGATCTCTACAATGTTTCTGTAAATCTCAGACTATCCAAAAATAAAAAGTTTATTAACTTTTAATAAGTTTTAATTGATTAGATCCTTAAAGATCGCAGTTACTGAAATGATCAGTTATAAATTATAAAAAGTAAATATAGTGAGTATGTATTAAAAATAAATGACATTTCTGTATGATGAAACAACCAGAGATTTATGAACGTGACATGGAAGATGTGAGACCCAAGCCAGGGGCAAAAAAACCCAGGAATGCACACCTAGGTACATCAGAGTAAAACTGCAGAACATCAAAAACAAAAAGAAAATTCTAAAAGCTGCTAGAGAAAACAGAATCTTCAAAGAGGTAGCCATTAGCCACACACCAACTCCTTAACAGCAATGGAGGCAAGCAGACAGTGGCTTAAAATCTTAAGCCAATCAATGTGTCAAGAGCAAATCCTTGTCAACCCAGAATTGTTTATCCAGTGAAACTATCATCCAAGAACAAGGGTGAGATAAAGACCTGCCTCCTCACAAACGCGAGCTGGGGAAGTTGACCACATGAGTGTTTTCCCAAGGGACACTCTAGTGGATGTATTATACTTAAGGCAGTATGAAAATAATCCTAGAAGACAGTGTGAGAAATGAGAAGGAATGATGAGCCAAGAAAATGACATAAGTACAGGAAAGCCTGGATGAACAGGGATGACATAGAGCAATAATAATGGTGTCTTATCAGTGAAATCAAACAAAAGAAAGAAGGAAATGAAACACCAGTCAGTGATATAACCTGGGATGGGGCACTGAGGCTAGGGCTGCCAGATTTAGTAAAACAAAAACAAACAAAACCATTCACGGCCCTGGTTAAATTTCAGTGTCTGATAAACAAGTAGTTTTGCAGTGGAAGGATACCCACCTGGGTGCTCTGTGTCTACTCTGGCACCCTAATTGGGGCTGGCCCAGTCCGGGCTTTGGTTTGCATGGAGGTGGGAGTGAGGATGCTGACTGTGTTGACAATACATGCTCCAATTGTTAAAGATGACGAATGAAAAACAAGAAAATAGGTTGCATATCTTTGGACTCAGTAGAGGGAACAAATGGAATGCAGGAAACCCTCAATTACCCCAAGAGAAGGCGAGAAAAGAGAAAAAGGAAAGAGCCACAGAAACTGGGGACAAACAATGAATAAGATGCTAAGAAGGCATCTGAAAAAAGGGATCAAACTAACAGCAAATGACCCACGTTTCCACTTAAAGCACAGACCACAGGATAGGACGTGAAAATAATATATTGCCCAGGCTTTTGCTGTTTATAGGAGACACATCTGAAACTTCAGGGGAAGGCTAAAAGTCCCAAAGGAAAACTGACGCTAGGCAGGCAAACCTGGCCAAAGGGCAGCTGGGGTCACAGCTCCAATATCTGGCACAAAAGATGTAAGGGAAAGGCCATTACTGGATATACAGGTTATTGTGATAAGACTTCAATTCATCACGAAAGGGCATAATGATGTCAAATGTCTATATTTAGTAAAGCAGCTTTAAAATGTCTAAGTAAAAATGGGTGCAATGGAAAGAAGACAAGAATATGTGTGTCCCACCATCGTGGGAGACTTTGCCATGTCTTTCTCAGATCCAGCAGACAATCGTCGGTCAGGAAAACCAAAGCGTGAACAATACAATTAGCAAGTTCTGTTTAATGAACACAAACAGAACTCTGGGAAACAGACGGAGAGGACACATTATCCCAAACACATGTGGAATGTCTCTGCAGGCTGACCACGCACTGGCCCGTAAAGCAAGTCGCCACAAAAAAATAAATGCCAACCACACTTCCTTTTCTTACCACAGTGCAATTTGTTAGAAATTGATAGCAAAAAGAGAACCATGAGTCCTTATGTTTGGAAATTAGAAAACACACCAACTCATGGCTCAAAGAAGAAATCATAACAGACATCAGGAAATGCTGAGAATTAAAAAGTAATGAAAAGTGCTACCTATCACGATGTGAGATGCGGCTGGATGCCATGTTGGAGCCATTTACAGCCCTAACTGCACACATCAGGAAAGACTAAAAATAAATATCCAATGTAAGAAGTTAGCCAGAGAACACAGTGGTCCTAAAGCAAGAAGGAAAGAAGATAGATGGGAAAGCAGACAAATTCTGAAAAGAAAAAAGGATGCTGCAGTTGAAAACTGATTCTCGGAAGTGCTTGAGTAAACTGACAGGCTCCGGCAGGACTGACGGAGGAAACCCAAGTTCGGGGGGGTACACAGGGACAACCCCAGGGATGAAAGGGGGCCCCGGCTACAGGCAGAGCAGAGACGTGAAAGGCAGGAAACTGGGGACACTTAACTCTTGCCAAGAAATCTGAAGAAATTCTGGTTGAAATGGAGACATTTCTGGTAAAATGTAACTTCTCAAAATTAAGAAGGAATAGGAAACTTCAATAGACCTATAACCATTAAAGTCACTGAATCTGTAATTTAAAATTTTCACCCAAAGTAAACCTGCGGCCTAGGAGAGTTCTCCCAGTCAAGGAACAGATTATCCTGATCCTACCTCCACTCCTCCAGAGGACAGGGAGAACACTCCTAGGGAGCCAGCTACCACCCACCAGCCTGGAGCACAGCTCTCCTGGGGGCCTTGGACCCATCCACCAGCCTGCAGGACAGTCCTCTGGGGGGCCTTGGACCCACCTACCAGCCTGCAGGACAGTCCTCTGGGGGACCTTGGACCCACCCACCAGCCTGCAGGAGAGCTCTCCGGGGGCCCTTGGATCCACCCACGTCCGTCACACTCGTAGTTCTCGAGAGTGACCGTGGACTGTGCTGGGCAACACAGCCTGAGATGTGAAGGACACGGGCTGGCCAGCCTGGCTCTGTCCCAGTCCTCCGCCGGTGGAAACAGGGCACCCTTCAGTGCTTCAGCTCAGTGTGTCACATGGCACTCGGGGTACAAAATTCAGGACAGGCTGTTTCCTAGAGGAGCGCACTGATGGGACTCCATCCACTGGGGCATTTCTGAGCCTTGGGGGACTGGCTCATGGTGCCCTGGGCTTCTGCCGTCCCCTGCTGCCTGTCTGTAAGTAGTAAATCTGCTGCACAGAATGTGTGTGTGGGTGTTGTCTCCCTGGACTCACACAGGCTGGTCACCAATGTGTGGAGAACCTGCTTCACACCACCGCTCTCTCCTTCTCTCCCTCTGTCCATCTGTCTAATTCACCCCACTAAGAACAAATAGGGAAAAGACAATCCAATAGAAAAACGGGTTGACATGAACTTCACAAGGAGGGAAAGCCCAGGTGGCCAATAGGCAGATGCGGGGCTGCTCTGCCGTGGCGGTCATGAGGAAGGGACCCTGGAGCCCTGCAGAGGGGCCAGTTTTACCCCCGTCCAGCTGGCAAAGGTCAAGGGCAACAATGCCAAGTGCTGCTGAGGTCTGGTCACGCCACTGCTGAAGACAGTTTTAACCCTTAAAAAGCCGCTTGATGTTATCTCCTAAAGGTGAACAAACACATCCTGGGCCATCTCCCCTCCTGGACGTTTACCGGAGACACGGCCACCTAGGTGTATTGGGGACTTGCCCGGAAGTTCAGCGTAACTCTGTCTGTCACAAGCAAACCCGGAGCAGCCCGCACCTGCCCCGGCCCGGGCCCGTGTGGGATGCACGCAGGCTCCTTTACAGAGGGGGCCCCAGGGAAGGGGGAGCGCTGAGATGTCCCTTACATCCCAACACCCAGGTAACAGGGCCCAGAGGGACGGCCCCGCTGTGTGTGGCCACAGCTCCTTCAACTCTGAAGGCCACGAGGCTGGGCTCTGTCTTGCTGAAAGTCGGCCAGGAAGGCTTTGGCAGCCCGGATGGAAAGAGGAGCAAGCGGGACACACGACGTGGACCCTGTGCGCGCCACAATCGGCTGCATGCAGATAAAACATTCACCGTTGGCACGGGGGGAGTGTGACTGAGTGTGAGTGTGTGGTGTGTGTAAGCATTCATGTGTATGAATGTGCGTGACAGCATGTGCTTGTGGGGTATGTGTGCGTGTGTGGTGTGTGTGTGCACGTGAGACTGTGTGGTGCATTCATGAGTATGCACGTGCAGATGTGAGACTGGTGCTTCTGTGGGTGTGCAGATGTGTGGTGTGTGCATGCACAAGAGGGCATACCTGTGTGGTGCATGTGATGTGTGAGACTGTGGTACCTGTGTGGGTGTGCGTGTGTGTGGTGTGTGCATGCACAAGAGGGTGTGTGGTGTGTGCACGTGTGACTGGTGCCTGTGTGGGTGTGCGTATGTGTGGTGTGTGCGTGCATGAGAGGGTGCACGTGTGTGCACGTGTGACTGGTGCTTGCGTGGGTGTGCATGTGTGGTGTGCATGAGCAAGGATGCACGTGCATGTGAGACTGTGGTGCCTATGTGTGGTGTGTGTGTACAAGAGGGTGGCCATGTGGGGTGTCAGTGTGAGAGGAAGAGTGACTGGAAGCAGGCAGCCAGCTCTCAGGTTAATCCAACTCAGTCCCTCACACACACTTGGTTTTCGTTACTTTGTTAGAGCTGTTTCACAACCACACCTTTCACAAAGCATCAGGACATAACTAATAAGCTAAACTCCCGGGGGAAAACCTTTTCCACACGACACCACCCTCCTGCTCCACGAATGTCTTCCACGAATCCTGGAGTGGGTTAAATGAGATGGTGGCATTTTAACCCTGAAATGCCCCATGACTAAAGTAGAAAATTGGCCCAAGCAAAAACCTGCTTTGGGCATGGTCTCAGACAGGAGAGACGGTCCTTTCCTAACCTCCCGGGGGCACGGGCCTGGGCCACAGATCCCCGTGGCCGTCTGGTGCAGGGTCTTTGATGGAAGTTGGCTGGAGGCCCGACTCGGTGCTGCGCCCACACGACTCCACGGCCCATCTACACTGCAACATGCAACACTCGTAGGGAACTTTTCACTGCCCATAGTCACTGGCAGTTGCAGATAACTGAACATGGAAACTATTAAATAAAATGGTTGCTGGGAACAGCACAGGCCTCCAGACCTACGCGCTGAAGACAGAGGGGTCGCTCTGATAGCGGGGACGCCAAGGCCCCTCTGCGCTTCCTGTCCCGCACACCCTATAACTCAGCCACTTCTGCAGCAACAGGGTCCCCGCAGGCCACTGCCGTCACAGCTGGCGGCCCCGCCTGTGTGTGCCAGATCGCCTGGCACACTGTATATCAACCTTCATCAAAGGCTGCCGGGCAGAGGGGCGGGGCCCAGGCCAACTCTTGTGCATTAAAGAGACTTTTAAAGAGACCTTGATAAAACTAGTGCTTCCTCCTTTTTGACGTGTTTAAGTAAAAGAACATTTTCTTGTTAGAAGCGCAAACACGCATCAGGAAGCAAGAACAGGCCACGGCTGAAAGCGAAGTTCCCTATTGTTATTTAAAATAACTAGCCAGAAGAACCATAAGGCTTCGGGATGGTAGAATATATACGTCAGTTGCCTTTTAACTGGAGCAAAAAGGGGGAAAAGACTGTTTGATGTGAAGAAAGGACCTGTAAAGTGCTTTGGACATTTTAAACAGCAGCCCGGTCTTTTATCCAGCCTGTCGCTGGCCAGCTCACCCGCTGCAGGGATGCCACCTGGATCTTTGATCTACTTGTGATTTATGTTAACATGAACACCATCCCTGACCAGCAAAGATGGCCAGAAGGCAGGGCGTGTCCTGGTACCTGCAGCCACTGCCCATGTCCCCTCTCGGCACCCCTCTGGCTGGCGCAGGCCCCTGCGATGGCCCAGGCTGCAGGTCCCAAGGGGCTCCCCTTGGCGATGCAAGGTCCTGACCCCGCCAAGGCCCTGACCTTGGCCATTGCCTGCTGTCGCTCCTCCGGCTAAGTCTTGTGCCCTTGGGGCTTGGCACACATGGGGTCTCGCATACTCCAGGTCTGCTGTCCCGGGGTCACGCACCCAGGGGTCTTGCTCTGTAGTGGGTCATGGAACCGTTCCCATCCCCCATCCTCCCAAGCCGGGCCGTGGCCCTGCAGTCTTTTTTTGTTTTTTTTTTTAGGCGGAGTCTCGCTCTCTCGCCCAGGCTGGAGTGTGGTGGCGCGATCTCGGCTCACTGCAGGCTCCGCCTCCCGGGTTCACGCCATTCTCCTGCCTCAGCCTCCCGAGTAGCTGGGACTACAGGCGCCCGCCACTGCCCCCGACTAATTTTTTTTTTGTATTTTTAGTAGAGACGGGGTTTCACCATGTTAGCCAGGATGGTCTCGATCTCCTGACCTCGTGATCCGCCCGCCTCGGCCTCCCAAAGTGCTGGGATTACAGGCGTGAGCCACTGCGCCCGGCCAGCCCTGGTCTTTAAGGCAGCACTGTCAGCTGTCGGCGGAGGTGTGCAAGGGGACGTATGCGCCCACCCCTCAGAAGATCCAGGGGTTTCAGTGGGGCCCAACAGACCACCTCAGGCCTGGCCATGCGTCCCTCTCTCCCCTTTCCCCTTCTGCCTCGTGCTCTTGGCTTGGCCAGCCCAGCCTCCCCCACACCTGCGAGAGCCCAACTGTCCTCCCGTGAGGTGCCTGCACTTCTGGGCTCTCACTGACCCCCAGGGTCACCCTGCCCTTGGCGTCCTCTACTTCTTCAAGCCACCGAACCTCCCTCCTGTCTGGGAGACCACTGGCCAGTGCCCACTTCCCTGACCGCCAGCTCCCTGGCTTCCCAAGTCTGGGTCAAGGCCCCATGGGCCCCATGGCAGCCTTTGGGTGAGCCGAGGCTCAGCGCTGCCGGTCCTGGGCCTCCCTCAGCGGCTGCGCATGGTCACCGGGGCAAGGCACTGAGCCCTGCCGATCATCTGCAGGCCTCACCCACGGCCCTTAGATCAGGAGTCACTGCAGAGAGACGGAGCCTCGTAGGTTCTAAGGAAGCTGCCCCTCTCCCTCTAATGGCAAGGGCTGGAGGAACACACAGCTGACGCGCACCGCCCTGGCTTCCCTGGCCTGGAAAAGCTCCCCTTGCTGTGCCGGGCAGTTTGTGTCACCTGGAGATATTGCTGGTGTGCTTGGCCTTCAGGCCTGTGTCTGAATGAGACCTTTCCTGGAAAATAAAGCAGGTTTGTCTCAGAGTGAATCTTTCAAAATTTAGGATTACAGTGCTGGCCTTTCTGGGAAAGCCATGGCAGCAGCCCTGCTGGGGGCGGGGGAGGGGCCCGGAGGATGCCCTGTGCTGCTCCCACTTCTGGCGCAGGGGGAGACCCCTGACTGGAGTGCCCCTGGCTGGAGGCGGGACCTGCAGTCCCAGGTCCCACCTCCGCCGTCTCTGATGCTGCCCCTCACATCGGCCTCAACAGAAGGGGAGGGAGGAAGGTTCTGGTGCTGTGGCGGCCTGGGGCCCTAGAAAGGTGGGGGTCTTGACTGCTCACAATAAGACCCTGCTCTCAAGAGCAGACCCAGGTCAGGAACGTACGGCTTCCTCGGCTAAAGCAGCACCCAGTTAGCAGCGAGTTACCAACCGTTTGGAAAGCAACCTGCTTCCCAGGGACAGACGGCAGAGGTGGTGGAGGTGGGAACTGGCTGTGACCAGTGGGGTTCCTCTCATAATGGGGTTTGCACTGGGAAGAAGACACCCTTTTGTTCTAACGCTCACAATGAGAATTCCAGCACCCACGCCCATGTGCAGGAGGCGTCCTCTGCGAGGTGCCCTGTGTGCTGGCCACCTCGAGGCCCACTGCGCATGCTGAGGCCACTCACAGACAGTGGGCCAGAGAGTGGACCCTCCCTCTGCATTTTCCAGAACAATGCGAACGATGCCTGCACACCAGACCCCGCGAGCGCCGTGCTTAACTACAGGGGTCCGTGGCCTCCTGTGCGGCCTGACGTTTCCCCACCGCTCGTGACCTCGAGTGCCTCTGGGCGCTGCCCTTAGTTGCACGGCACCCGGACCGTCCTGGAGTGAGCAGGGCCAGCTTTCCATCGGGGGAGGCTTGCACAGAGTGTCCTGGGATGGCTGCAGTCCCTGCCATCCCTCTGCCCGCCCCACAATGCCAGGCCAGAGCGCCTGTCAGTAAGAGCCATCAGACACCAGAACCCAGGGGCGTGCAAGGCACCTGTAAGTGTGTGACCGCCTGTCTGGTGAACAGAGGGCCTGGGACCAGCACCTTGGTCTGGAGCACCCACAGGCAGGCAAAAGCCAGCACTGACCCGAGGGCATCTGAGCTGCTGTCCCACTGGTTCCCCAAACATAAGGGACTGGGGAGATTTTTTTGTAAAGACAGGTGAGGTCGGATGGTAGAGTGCTGCCTTTTCCTTGAGCTGAAAATGAGGATGCTGCTTCCAGAGAAGTCCCCCAGAGTGGGGGCTGAGCATCAAATGGGGGTGAAAATGCAGGTTTCCTGCAAACCGCTGAGCACCAGGACACCCCCACTAAAGTGCCCTGTCACCCCGACTCTACTGAGACTGTCCTCAGGACTGCCGGGCTGGGGAGGGCAGTCCCAGAGGGCACAGGAGGCAGACTCCCACCCTGCCCCCTGGCAAGGCCTCTGCATCTGGTGTGCTGGAGCCTCAGGCACTGCCCTGCCCTCCGCTTCCTGTGGTCAAGTGATCTGGACACATGGCCCTTGAGTCCCCCACGTGCCAGCTGGCTGTTCTCCGGACCTGCACTGGACACCCAGCGCAGGCAGCCAGGCAGAGCTCTGCGTGGGGAAGCCACCGACTGAGTCGTGTCTTGGGGATCTGGACTCACACCCAAAACCCTGTAGACGGGTTCAGAGGCTCAGGAAGAGCAGGTGTGGGAAACTCAGAATGAAAGGTACCCCTCCACTTTGTGTCACACACTTCAGACACTCTTGGAGGTGGATATGACATTGGTAGCTGTGGCACTGCCTCCTCCTCCCATCTCACTGGCCCACGCCTGGTGGAGGCCCTGCTGGGAGCAGGGAGGCCCGGGCCCCAGCGTCATGCTGGAATGGAACGCTGCAGGTGGCGCTCTCACCCCGAGCCCGTGGAACATTCTTTTTCTCTGCCCAGGTCTCAGAGGCCAGCTGTACAGACCACAGCGTCTCTGACTCCCTCCGGCGGTGTTGGTAGGGACACAGCAGGGAGCCCTGTCCCTGGGGGCTCAGAGCAGCAGACAGGCCTGCTGGGCAGAAGAGCCCCAGCCTGCCTTGGGGCCACTGACCGAAACCCACATGAGGACTCCCTAGAGAAGCTGACTGTCCACAGAGGAAACGAAGAGAGAAAGAAAAAGAAAACCTCTGGTCACAGTGTGCTCCACGTAATGGAGAGAGGGACCCTGAACTGAAAGGGTGCAGTCGCACCGCAGAGGACCCTGAGCCATCTTCTCACGACAAGAGGGCTCCTTCCAGTCCTGCCCCCTGCACCTCTTCCAGCCATCGTCACGGTTCTGCCACATTTAGAGCTATGCGGGGGTGGGGGGCAGGTGCAAGGCGGAGCTGCAAGCATCCACGTGGTCAGAGACCCACTGGCTTTTTCATGCTCTGGGGCTCTCGGGCAGCCAGGCCACAACCCCGAGCCTGTCAGTGTGGAGCATCCTGTGGGGTCTCTGGGGTCTTCCTACCTCGTTTCCCAGCAAGGCAGAAACACATGCTTCCGAGGCGTCGCAAATGGCGGTCAGGTCGTGGCCTCCCTCGAGGGCCAGGACAATCCGGCCGCCAGCCAGGCCCATCAGCTGCTTCGTCAGGTACCCGAAGCCTGCAACGGGAAACGGGAGACTGCAGTGTGAACGGGGGAGGACCGCAGCCAGCACAGCCCAGAAACGCGTCTCATGGCATCGTAAGAAGACTGGGGGCTGGGGTGTCGAGACACATGGCCAGGCCGGGTTTCGTTTAATAAATTCGCTGAAGAGTTTCGGCTTTGGATTTCCTCTTTGATCTGTTTGAGAGGAGGAATTATGGCTTCAATGCTTTGATTTTTAATCAGCAAATCATCTGCTTTAGGGGACGAGGGCAGCCAGCCCCACCCAGAGGCTGCAGGCCACCTGCCCTTCGGCCCCCGCAGAGGGGCTATGGCCATGCTCTTGTGGCCGTGGCCCAGCGGGCTCTGGTTATCTGACATGCTCCAAACATGTATGTGTACACATGTGCACAGGCTGCATGTGCTCCTGAAGCGTTCTCCCACGTCCAGGTCTGAGCGTTTGGCTTTGATCAAGAGCCACAGTCCCGCCACTGCACCCACATCACTCACCCCAGGAGGGAATGCCTGGTGGATGAGGGTAATCACCACCCTCAGCCAGGCCAGGCCGGTGCTGATTAGAGAGCCCGGAACCACGCGCCGCTAATTAGTGGCCCCGATCATGGGCTGGCGAGGCCGTAACTTCCCAAAGCCTCGGTTCATCCCATCTGATGGAAACAGTGACAGGGGCTTCGAGGCAGCTGTGCGGACTGAGGAGGAAGCTGAGGATGTGGTGGCCGCGGTGCTCCGGGCCGGGTGCTGTGGGGCGTTGGGCACAGTGGAAGCTCTTTGCCCTCTGTCTGGTCACTTTGCTGGCCACTAGGCTGCACGGCCTGGTGGACTGTGGGAGGCCCCAGGGGAGCACAGCCACCGAGGGCTGCCTCAGGTCTCCTGGGTGAGCCACACCCTCCCCACGCAAGGACCTGAGAGACGGGCCCCTCCTTGGCCGCCTGTGCCGACAGGAGTGGGGAGGGCCATACACTGTGGACGCTGGGGCCTTGAGGGCATCACCAGGGCTAGGACCAAGGCCACAGGATGCTTGGGCCTCGGGAGGCTCTCCAGGATCCTCGGGGACTCCAGGGTGGGGGAGGCGGCCAGGCCTTTGTGTGCGCCAGGTTTTCATCTCCTTGTGAGTTGCTGAGGCACAGCAGGAGCACTGCTGGGCAGTCCCTCCTCCCATCCTGACAGCATGGCCCCTAACGCTGATCCTGAGAGGACACACACATCCTGGGCTCCCTCATCCAACTCTGAACTCAACTGTGCCCCCAGCAACTTCCCTTTACAGTTCCAAGGAGCACCGCCTGCCAGAGAAGCGGCATGGGGCACATCTCAGCTCTTGGTGGGACCAGGACCTGCCCCTGGAGGTGGCCTGCAGGTCCCTAGGCACCCGCATCCCAGAGAGGGAGCCTCGTGTGCCCTAGGCCCTTCCTGGGCAAAGAGTGCCCGAGGTGCCTGGGTCTGAGCTCCCGCTGCCTGCTCTGGGCTCTCTGGGGCCTCCCAAATGGACTGGTTCCCAGTACGGTCAGAACCTTGGTCATTAGTAAAAAGGTGCCCTTCCTTATCTCGTTATTAAAAAGGGGACCTGACACGCGGAACACAGCGGATCATGGACATGAGCAGAACCGGCTCCTCAGTCATATGCAGAACCACTTACATCTGGCGGAGAGGTTGTAGCCCCCAAGAGGGGTGGGGTGGCCCTCCACGGCATCGAAGCCTGATGACACCAGCACCACATCCGGGGCAAACTCGCTGGCGATCGGCATGACCACCGTTCTGCAAAGGACAGGAGAAGGCGTTACTGGGTCAGCTGAAAGAGGGACGGGACGGTCACAAAACCCCAAGGTTCCCTCTGGCATTGATAATGCCTGCCCCGCACCCCCTCGGCCACTGGCGGGCTGAGGGCTCCACACAGCAGGCTGGAATCTGGCGACCACGCTTAATTAGAAGGGAATCAACCCACGTGTGATCCAGGCTCATTTCACATCTTCACAGTGCAAGCCAGCAAGCCCCACGACACTTGCTTGGTGAGAGGGAGTCACGGTGCAAGCCAGCAAGCCCCACTGCACTTGCTTGGTGAGAGGGAGTCACGGTGCAAGCCAGCAAGCCCCACTGCACTTGCTTGGTGAGAGGGAGTCACGGTGCAAGCCAGCAAGCCCCACTGCACTTGCTTGGTGAGAGGGAGTCACGGTGCAAGCCAGCAAGCCCCACTGCACTTGCTTGGTGAGAGGGAGTCACGGTGCAAGCCAGCAAGCCCCACTGCACTTGCTTGGTGAGAGGGAGTCACGGTGCAAGCCAGCAAGCCCCACTGCACTTGCTTGGTGAGAGGGAGTCACGGTGCAAGCCAGCAAGCCCCACTGCACTTGCTTGGTGAGAGGGAGTCACGGTGCAAGCCAGCAAGCCCCACTGCACTTGCTTGGTGAGAGGGAGTCACGGTGCAAGCCAGCAAGCCCCACTGCACTTGCTTGGTGAGAGGGAGTCACGGTGCAAGCCAGCAAGCCCCACTGCACTTGCTGGGTGAGAGGGAGTCACGGTGCAAGCCAGCAAGCCCCACGACACTTGCTTAGTGAGAGTGAGTCACGGTGCAAGCCAGCAAGCCCCACGACACTTGCTTAGTGAGAGTGAGTCACGGTGCAAGCCAGCAAGCCCCACGACACTTGCTTGGTGAGAGGGAGTCACGGTGCAAGCCAGCAAGCCCCACTGCACTTGCTTGGTGAGAGTGAGTCACAGTGCAAGCCAGCAAGCCCCACTGCACTTGCTTGGTGAGAGTGAGTCACAGTGCAAGCCAGCAAGCCCCACTGCACTTGCTTGGTGAGAGTGAGTCACGGTGCAAGCCAGCAAGCCCCACTGCACTTGCTTGGTGAGAGTGAGTCACGGTGCAAGCCAGCAAGCCCCACTGCACTTGCTTGGTGAGAGGGAGTCACAGTGCAAGCCAGCAAGCCCCACTGCACTTGCTTGGTGAGAGGGAGTCACGGTGCAAGCCAGCAAGCCCCACTGCACTTGCTTAGTGAGAGTGAGAGCATTGCTGTTTCTTGGTATGCTGTTTTCTGTATAATTTCTGTAACCCCCATGGGACAAGCTGCATTAACCTGGGGGAGTGAAGCCAGCTCCCTGTCCCACTAACACCCCTCCTTGGCCCCGTGCCCACCCACCCTGGCCCTGTCCCGTCCTCTCTGTCCTGGTCCTCCCTGCCCATCCTCTCTTCTGAGACTGGGTCAGCTCCACTCGCCCCATCAGGCTGCTCTTGCTGCGACAATGCACTTTCCACAGCTCCCACTGAAGACACGTGCAGTCACCCACTGCCCCTAGTGCTGGGACTGAGTGTGGCCGAGAGGGCGGAGAGCCCTTGCCAGCCCTGCTGGGGGAGCCCACGTGTTCCTTACTCACCCTGGAACACCAACACACACAGGTGTAAGGGAATTACAACACAAGACACTTAAGAATCTTTAAAGGGAAAACTGATGACAAATGTAAGAGAATTCACTGGAAAAGACAGAACCACTGAGAAATTCTTTAAATTATATTAGGGAAATAAGGAAAGTATTCTATTTGGAAAGGGGAAAAAGCACTCCTTAACACAAAAGAACTTATCAGTCTTTAGTCTAATGATCTTATCAGTGTGTGCTATGAATCCATGCGTATGCTATGAATCCATATGTGTGCTCTCCGTGAGTAGGGAAGTTCAGCAGTTTCATGTCTCCTTTAGGCTGCCGCCTTCGATCCTGAGTTAATCACCACCACTGACTTTCAAAGTCTCCTTCACTCCCTCTGTGGGTGAGGGGAGCAGAATCAGGGCCTCCCTTTCCTGGCGGACAGCAAGGACCTCATGAGACAGGTGGTCTGGTGTCTTCCTGCAATGACGGCCCAGGTGCAAGGGGCCTGTGCAGGTGAGGACGGTGGAACAGAAGTGGAGCCTTTAAAAAGGGGCTTCAAAAAGTTCGTGGAAAAATTGAATTAAAAGATAAAAAATATAAACTTTATTTCTCAAGCTCCATCAAGTCCAAGACACTTTTGCAATGGTGACCGCAGCCATTTAGTCCCTCCCGAAAGGACTGAGTGTCCTGGGAATCTAACCATGTCAATGCAGTCTCTGTTGTTTTTTTTTTTTTTTTTTACATTAAATGAAGAAAAATAAGTGCCCTTTACAGGTTTTTCTAAGATTAGGAAAGAAGAAGCAGCCAACTCAGGACTGGAAGGTGGATGCCTAATGGTTTCTCTTCAAAGCTCTTGCAAAGGTTTTCTAGTTTAATGGAGTGAGCAGAAGCATTGTTGTGGAGGACTCTTGGTGGCGGCGGAGGGAGGGGTGCTGGGCACGGTGGCTCACGCCAGTAATCCCAGCACTTTGGGAGGCTGAGGTGGGCAGATCACCTGAGGTCAGGAGTTTGAGACCAGCCTGGCCAACATGGTGAAACCCCATCTCCACTAAAAATACAAAAATCCGGGTGTGGTGGCATGCACCTATAATCCCAGCTACTCGGGAGGCTGACGTGAGAGAATCGCTTGAACCCAGGAGGCAGAGGTTGCAGTGAGTCAAGATCATGCCACTGAACTCCGGCCTGGCTGATAAGAGCAAAACTCCACCTCAGAAAACAAAAAAAGACTCTCGGGGGAAACTCTCCCAGTGATTTTCTGTGAAAGTGCTGAGGAACTTTCTCAAAACACTCTCACAATAAGCAGGTGTTATCATTCTTTGGTCCTCCAGAACAGGCAACATGCCTTGGGCATTCCCCAAACCTGCTGTCATGACCTTTACTCCTGCTTGACCAGCCTGCTACTGCTGTGACTGGGCCACCTCTGGCTCTCGGTAGCCGGTGCTGTGGTTGTGCCTTGTCTTCAGGATGGTCCTGGGAAAGCCGTGCTCCATCTCCTGTTATGACACTCAGGACCCTGAGTCCACCTGTTGAACATTTCCACCGAAAGCTCTGCTCCTGTCGGCAGCTGATCTGGACGCTGTGGTTTTGGTGCCCACTGACTGGAAAGTCTGCTCAACTTTAATTCTGCAGGCAGAGTTGTGTAAGCTGAGCCGGTTGAGACGCCCATGGTGTCAACTGTTGCTTCTGCTGTTAATTGTGGGTCCTCTACAATTAGGGCATGAACTGGATGAATTTTTTCCTCACAAATTGATGTGGATGGTCTGCAGCTGGGGGCTTCATCTTCAACACCATTGCACATTCCTTCTTAAAATGAGTCATCCATTTGTAAACTGCTGATTTCTTTGGGGCATTGTCCCCATAAACTTTTCATAAAGTATCAATGATTTCACCACTCTTCCTACCCAAGCTTCACTGTAAACTTGCTGTTTGTTCTGGCTTCAGTTTTAGCAGAATTCACGTTGCTCTGAGAAGGGCTCTTTTCAAACTGACGTTTTATCCTTGGTGCCTCAAACTAGATCCTGTCCAGATATAACACGTTAGTGCGAATTTATTTTGGTGCAGAAACATTTTGAAACCCATGCAGTTTTTTTCAAAATATGCATTTTCTACGAACTTTTAAAAGTCTCCTGGTATTTCCACCATGAAGCCTAGTTTGCACGATTCCCACTTGTGCTGTGAGCTCTGGGGGTCCCCTCACCAAGCCCTTGTGTGAGTAGGTCCATGTTTTAGGGTTTCACCACCGCCTACTTCCTGGAGCTGCTCAGCCCAGCCTGTCCTGCACCGAAGCACACTTCTGTGTCCCCACGGCCTCCCCAGCACACGCGTGTGGGCCAAGTGCATCACCCGATGGGCGCCTCCCTTCATATGGATTTTCAGAGGCCCCTCCCTGGGGGCAGCCAAAAATGCACTCACCGGGCCCAGTGTCCCTTCCCACCACCAAGGACCTTCCAGAAACATCACGGCAGACGGCAGCAGGGCTGGCCCTAAAACTTTTTCATTCAGCTTTTATTACAAATGAAATTCCCCACTGATGTCACTGAAAGTATCAACTTTGACCAGAAGAAACAAAAATGCTGAAAATTCAATGTGACCCCTTTTCGGGGATGACCGCAGATCAGAATCTTATTGAAAAGTTCCTCTGATTTCTGGTGGTGGAGGGACACAACCCCCAAGGGCTTAAACACCAGGTGAAGATCCCGCGGGCTACTCTCTAGAGGGCCAGCAGTCATGAGTCCCATCAGGGACGCTGAGGCAACGGGAGGGCCCATCTCAATGCTGGGAGCACGCGGTGCCTGATCCTGGTGCCCCGCGTCCCATGAGCAAGCTCAGACGGGAGAAGAGTGATGCGTGGGACTGTGTGGCTTCAGCCTGTTCAAGTCAGTGCTGACAAACTCTGCCCTCCAAACATGCGTCAAATCCACACCTAGGCACCTTGCCCGCCAAGAAACTCACTTCTGGAACTTAGATGGGAGTCACAGGAGACCCTGGGTGGCTTCTGAGCAGTCTGCTTCTGTTCTTTTTTCTGAAGAGAGCCAGTCCACACAATTTCCCCTAGACCTGCCTCTGCGGCAGCTGTAGAAAGTGCTTTCCAAGGACACAGGAGCTGTGCCCCGAGGGCCATCGTTAGGGGCTGAGGAAACAAGGTGAATCTAGACAGGGGCAGCGAGCTTCCTGCCACGGGTCAGATAGGAGGCACCTGACCTCAGTCTGTGGGCCACACGGTCTCTGCCAGGACCACGTGATGCTGCCCTTGTGGTGCCCAAGACAGGACAGACAGTGCATCGGCGTGCGAGCGTCCCTGTGCTCTGATAACACTGTGCCAAGAGCACAGGCGGCAGGACTTGGCCCACCAGCTGGAGTTGCCCAAACCTCTGCTCTGGTCCTGTCCATACAACTTCTGTAACATTCTTCCATGCATGATTCTGGTCCCAGAGTGAGAGGTTTCTTCTCACCTACTGGGACCCCACCACAAAGCATGGCGATTTCGCAAACATGGTGTACAACACAGGAAACACCGCACTGGCCTCAGAGCGTGCGTGGAGTTGGTGTCGGCACTCCCGCCGCAGGGCTGGGAGGGGAGAAATCAGTCTAGTCAGTGGCAGGATGGAGAGAATGCCTTGGAATCCAGGAGTCCTTTGACTCTTGCTGGACCCAGGGCCCTGCCCTGGACACTGGAAGGCACTGGCCCCACAGTCCTTTCTGACCGACATTCCGAGGCTTCCTCCATGGCTCTGACCAACCTAATGGGCAGCAGGACTGAGGGGGGCCGCAGGACTGAGGGGGCCGCAGGACTGAGGGGGGCAGCAGGACTGAGGGGAGCAGCAGGACTGAGGGGGGCAGCAGGACTGAGTGGGGAAGCAGGACTGAGGGGGCCACAGGACTGAGGGGGGCCGCAGGACTGAGGGGGCCGCCCTCTGCTTTCAACTGTCCACATCATCCCAAGGAGACTCGCTTCTAATTATTTTAATAAAGTTCTTGTCATAAAACCTTTTTCTTTGGACAGAAAAACACATTTCCAGCCATGCTTTTGGTGTGGATTTTAAAGCCAAGACCTTTTTCAATGAGAACCACAGGCGTTTTGTGTGGACGCTGTGTCCTTGGCGAGGCACTCTGACTGCTGCTTTGCAGCGAGCGCACGTGGAGGCTTTACTTCCCCACTTTGAAGTGCTGCTGAGCTATTTTACTTCTAATCCCCCTCCAAAAAGAAGTCCTGTGAAAATCGCCGTTAAATGAAGTTCATACCAAGAGAGTCTCTGCTGTCTAGGCTTGGTGTGTGGTGTTGCCTCAAAGCCAGTCAAAACAAAATGGGAAAGATGAGCCCAGGCTCGTGGGCACTGGCACGTCGGCCACACGTGAGGCTGCGTGGGGCACAGTCGGATGCACGTGCCCACACACTCATTTTCATTTTACTGGGCTCAACACCCTCTAGGTTGTGATCCCAAACACCTGCTAGACATAAGAAGGTCAGAACGTGAGGTGCATGAGTGCACCTTCAGCACCCGTTTGTGGCGCGACTAAGAAACGTCCCTTCTCCTCCATGGGACATGACTTCTTTGCCTGTAAAAAGGAAGCTGAGCATGGCACTCCCTGTGTCTTCAGGACTGTGCTTACCCTCCACGACTTTCCTACAAGAGGAAGCTGAAGGAATGTCCCTGTTTAATAGATGCTGCAAAAAATGGGAAACTGGACTCACATTTTATTCCCAGAATTAAACTTTTAATAAAGAACTCAGTCTCGGCCGGGCACGGTGGCTCACACATGTAATCCCAGCACTTTGGGAGGCCGAGGCAGGCGGATCATGAGGTCAGGAGATCGAGACCATCCTGGCTAACACGGTGAAACCCGGTCTCTACTAAAAAATACAAAAAGTTAGCTGGGCGTGGTGGCGGGTGCCTGTAGTCCCAGCTACTCAGGAAGCTGAGGCAGGAGAATGGCATGAACCTGGGAGGAGGAGCTTGCAGTGAGCCGAGATCGCGCCACTGCACTCCAGCCTGGGCGACAGAATGAGACTCCGTCTCAAAAAAAAAAAAAAAAAAAAAAAAAAAAAGAACTCAGTCTCTAAAAAAATAAGATTGAGATGTTTGCCGTGGGCCTCTCAAGCCATCACTTTAAGGAGAGTATTTCCATGAGGTCACTTTTGGCCTTTCTTGGGGCAACCTGAGGGGAGAGAGGGGTGGGCTCGCAGTTTCCCAAGGCAGTAGGCCCACTGATCGTCCACTGATCGTCAGCTCAAGAGGCAGGAGAAATGGGTGGAAAGAGGGGATCTTTAGAGAAGGTGGACAAATGCCTGTAAGGTGCACCCCTGGGGCCGGCAAGCCCAGGGAAGCCATGACTGTGGTGCCCAGAGGGTGCCTGTGCCCGTGAGGCACGTACAGAGGGAAACGTGGTGCTAAGGGGAGAGAGCGGCTTCTCCTCGCGGTGGCCTCTGCATTTAGGGAGGTCCCGTGTGAAGCCGTGGGGTGCCACGCATCCCCTTCCCGTGGCCTCAATGTGGCTTCTCTGGCACCTTCGTTACCGACACAGCACTGCACCCTTCACTCGGTCATCAGCCAACCTGCACCTGCAGCCTGAAGACGACATCTCCCCTCAGCTTCCCAGGGAATAGAGCTGGGCTGGGACAGCAGACAGGTGCCAGCCACTCCCCTTGGTTTCCCGGGAAACAAAGCTGGGCCGGGATAGCAGGTGGGTGCTGGCCACTTTCCTCGGCTTCCCAGGGAGACAGAGCTGGGTTGGGACAGCAGGCGGGTGCCAGCCACTCCCCTCAGCTTCCTGGGAAACAGAGCTGGGCTGGGATAGCAGTAGCAGGCGCGTGCCAGCGAACTCTCCTTGGCTTCCTGGGAGACAAAGCTGGGCCAGGATAGCAGTAGCAGGCGGGTGCCAGCCACTCCCCTCAGCTTCCGGGGAAACAAAGCTGGGCCGGGATAGCAGTAGCAGGCGGGTGCCGGGCCACTCTCCTGGGCTTCCCAGGGGAACAGAGCTGGGTTGGGTTGGAACAGCAGGCGGGTGTTGGCCACGCCCCTCGGCTTCCCAGGGGGAACAGAGCTGGACCGGGACAGCAGGCAGGGTGCCGGCCACTCTGCTTCCTCGAAAGGCCATCGCTCGTGCAGCCTCCCAGCTGTGCTCTGCGCAAGGGGCTGTGTCACGGGGCACGTCTAGCTCTAAACCACCACATACCATCAAATTATGGCCTGTACATACCATCCTCAAAAGCCACAACTGCATCTAAATGCAATAATTCACTTAACAGCTGGGTTTCAACATCTGGAAAGAAATGACCTTCCAGTTCATTCCCCTAGTAGGACCCTAAACAAAACTCACCACACCTTCCGTCAACACAAGCCTCAGAGCAAACCGAGCTTATGGGGCCAAGAGGCTGCAGTCCTGTGGCCACCCACAGCCGGCAAGCCTCTGGGGACTCCGTGGGAACTGGGCTCAGGGCTGGCACGCCATGCTTGAGTTTCTGGCTGCCGTTCTGCCCCAATAAATGCCCTGGGGCATCGTCCACACAAACTGGCTCCTCACTGGCTCTCCCTACTAAGGGGCCTCCAGGTGGAGATGCTCCCAACCACCCACTTGGATGGACACTTTCTCACTTTTTCCTGAAAACAGACTGAAGCAAAAGCGTCCCCACTGAACCCTCATCCACCCCCACCTGAACCTTCTCCCGCTGGATCTCTGCCCAGCACCCTTCAGCCTCCTCTAAGCCAGCACCTCGAGACCTCACCAAGTGCCCTCTCCCCCAAAATCAGCCCCTACTCCCCTCAATCCCATCTCACTTCAACCTCTTTGAGATGGCCCCACCTCACCAGCCTGTGGCCCTGTCCCAATCTCTGCCGCTGTTTTCTGGGCTTGTCCACTGGCCCCCAGATCCTACCCTGGAATGCTCTTTGCCAGGTCCAAGTCTGTCACCTAAGCTGCCACAAGACGGGCCTGTCCAACATGCAGAGCTGGCCGTGATGCTTCTTCATTCCACAGTCAGAGGCCCCGATAGAGCCCCTGCCATCAGGGCCAAGGTCTGGCTCTGTGGATGCAGCCCAGGTGAGCGGGTTTGCACCATCGGGCTCTGTTCCTTCGGGACGGCCCTTCTCCCATAATGTCCCGTGCCAGGCTCGTTCTTCCAGGACTCAGCTGGGGGCTTGCCTCCTCCAGAAACTTCCTTGGCCCCACCAAGTGGGCAGGTCCCCTGAGGTCTTACCGGGCCTGCCTAGAGCTTGTCCTCCCAGTCCCCCGCTATCCTCCAGGGCAGGCACTGTGCCGGCTCCACTGTTCGCTTCTTACAGGGCCGGCCCCACAGGCGAGCGAAGGCTGGCGCAGGACGAGCTCTCTCAGCTCTGAGGCTGTAGCTTATATGCTTTTGCTTCTTTTTGCTTCTCAGATAAATTTCTACATAGGAAAATACTTGGATGCACTTAAAGAGACATAATTGCTTTTAGAAAAGAAGGTGGCACGGTCTGTATGAAAACTTCATAACCCTGACTTCCTCAGGCAAGAAACCCAGGGACCAGCGTGGTGTGTGCAGCGGGTGCCACTCAGCAATGGTGAAAACAGCAGACATCAGGCGCTGCGACTCCTAAAACACACCTGTCTACAAAAGGCAGCAACAGCAGCAACACAGCAACACAGCTTACGGAAGGAACGAACATTCAAGAGCCTCAGCCTTCCCGTCTTACTTGAAAGTTTGGGGAAAGTGAAATAGCTTTGCCCAGTTGCTCAATTTCAAGGCTAATGCCAATTCGTGAAGCTATCACAGTTATTGCTTGAGAAGATCCAGTTTCAGAGACATCTTTGATAAACTTCGTAATATCACAGTGGAATCTAAGCTACGAACCACGGGCATCTGGATGTGGCGCTCATCCCTGACGGAAGAGTCCCCATGTCCCCGCGCACAGGTGAGGGATGGGTTACAGAGCACCATCTTCATCGTCATCGTCATCTCCCTACAAGCCCCCACCCCCAGCGGCTCAGACTTTACTCAGCAACTTCAAAGCCGCGTCTGGCACCGGGACTGGTTTGAATTAAGGTTCCCTTTTCTCCTACGAGTCTCCGGGCCTGAGGAGAAAGTGCCGGCTGCTTCTGGATTTCATTAGGGGCAATTTTCTTATCTTTTCTTCGTCTTAGGCTTGATCCCCTGAAAATGCAATGTGGCAGGCAACGGGTCTGAATAACAAGGTGCTGCCTGGAAGGCATGCATTGTCCCCGGGGGGCCCCCGTGGGGGAGAAGAGCAGAAGAAAGGGGAAAACCAATTTCTGACCCTTCTTCCCCATCATCGGATGCCCAGGGAACCATAAATTGTAAACTTCAAAGTGCTATTTTACATTAAAATCAATAAAAAAAAAACCCTGAAACAATTTTCCTTTTCAAAGATGCTATTTAAGCTTTAAAAAGTTCACTTGATAAGGTATTATCACGGACACACTTGGCAGGAGATTAAAGCACACGCCAAGAGCAACTCAGAAAGGCACGTTCATCCTAAAGGCTGGCTGGGCCGGCCGGGGCCTGGGGAGGGGGAGTGACCCTGACGGCAGACGCCCATTGCTGCTTTGGGCCTGGGCTTGCCCGCCAGCAGGGATGCCACGGGGTGAGGGTTTCACCCCAGGACCCAAGAGCCGAAGGCACCACTGAGAAACGCCTATGGGGTGAGGGTGGCTCCATCAAAACCTGGCCTGGGACCACTGACCTGAAAGAGGGCAGCACCCCCTTTCTCCCCGTCCACCAGGAAAGCCCTGCCTTCTCTCTCTGCACGGGAATTTGGCCACAGTGGGCCCTGGGTCCCCCGGGTGGCACCAGTGTTCACTCAGGCAGGAAGTCCATCAGGCAGCATGCACACCTCTTATGGTGGCCAGAGACTTTGCTTTCAGAGAAGCCTCCAAGGGGGGCCAGTTCTCTGGGGTGACAACTAAGTGAGGGGCAACGGGAGCACATTCCATGAGCAGATGGTGACACGCCCACGCCAGGGGTCCGATTTCATATGAGCTCATTTTCGGAAGTGGTACACATTGGGGGACGTCCTTCTCTCTTAAATTAGGCAGGGCATCTGTCAACATTACATTAAATCTGATCAAGAGTAAGAAGAAACATCAAAATCAAACCGATGAGATCAGGGGAAAAGTGGTTCAGGTACAGATCAGGGCAGGTCCACTGAGGAGCAGATGAACTCCCACCGGCACAGCCCGGGCTCACTGCCGGAGCAGCCAAGCAGCCTGGGCTCCGTCAGATGGGGTCTGTTCCCTCTGGGAACCACTGAGTGCCTGGGGAGGGGGGCCCACGTGTCCTGGGCCAGGGCCTTTATGTTACCAGATCTCAACAACCTTTCCAAGGAGGGCAACGGACCCCAGTTAGAGAAGAGTGAGCAGACACTGAGAGGGGTCTCGTGACTTATTCACCGTCCCCAGAAAGCATGTGGTAGAGTCCACACAAGACGTTTACACATGTCCTTGTGAAGGGCCTCACCTGCCGGAGACGTGCATACTCAGGTGCACACGAAGACATGTGCATGCAAAGACACACAAGCACACGTGTGTGTACTCATATACAGATGTGCACACACACACAGAGATATACACACAAAGACGTGCATGCAAAGACACACAAGCACACGTGTGTACTCATATACAGATGTGCACACACAGCGATATACACACAAAGACATGTGCATGCAAAGACAAGCACATGGGTGTGTCCTCAGAGATATGCACACACACGTATACTGCATGCACACAGACATGCATCCACACCCACACAGATGTGTGTAACACACATAGGCATGGACACACACCTGCAGACATGCACATGGCTGTAGACACCTGCACAAGCACTGAGAGACATGCACACAGATGAACACCCACCCACACAGACACACACACAGATGAACGAACACCCACCCACACAGACACACACACACAGATGAACACCGACCCACACAAACACACACACGCACGTGGACACACACATATGCAGACGTGCACTCACATCCATACACAGACACATGCACACACGTCACAAAGACACGTCTGCACACGTGCGTTTTATATGTATGTAAATCAGAACAAGACCATGGAGACAGAGAAAGAGAAAAGCGCTGAAGACTGTATGGGGCTTTGACACCATACTGACAGCGTTTTCTAACAGAGACACGGCATGTCAGGCTCAGCCACGCTAATAAAACCCTTCTCCTCACGTGGCTCTGGGAACCGATGTGGGCTGTGGGCTGCTGCCCTGGACGCCCGTCACTCCACCACGGCAGGTGAAGCTGCCATTTTAAAACGATGACAAGAAAACCTGCGCTGCTCAGCATCCCATTTTGGGTCACAGGAATGACCCCAATCTGGCCTAGACCAAAGGAGAAGGAACCGCTTGATGACAAAAGCAAACACTGCGTCTTTAAACGGCGCGCCCTGCGGCTAAATGCTGAAGGGTCACAGCCACACGAAGGAAATGGGAGGGAGGGCGACAACTGCCTTTGATTTTTAGGAATAAATAAAGAAGAAATACTTATTTCCATTGGACATCACATCACAGGAGGTTTGCGGAAGAAGAATTAGGAGATCATGAGACCCTGCAGGTCTTTGCCTTCGTTTCTCATGAACATAACACTCTGCACAAAAGTCCCTGCCTCTGTCTCCATCACTCTCTCACCATCGACCCAAAGTGAGCTCCTGGTTTTATTTCATGCACAAAAGGGAGCACTAAGAGCTGATGGTAAGAAGATAGTCGCCAAGATTCCACGCTTGGCACTGAAGAATGAACTGAGACAGCTCCTCCGGACCCCACAGCCCCGTTCAGCCACAGACCAGTTTCAGACACGCTCATCTCCAACAAGTGCTTCCTGGAATGTGTGCACAGAGGAAAAGCTGCTACTTCAGGTGTCATGTGAAGCCGGGAGGCTCACCTGAAGGCCGCCAAGTACTCAGCGTCTCCCATGGGGGGGTCCAGGCCGCCGGTGAAAGCCATGTTGACGTTGAAACCCACGCCGGGCCCTGTGCCCACCTGTGGCCAGAAGGAGAGAAACACACGTCATGGACCCCGAGCGGGACCTGTCTGACAGGAACGCCTGATGCAGGTGGCACCGGGATGGGCTCGGCCTTGGTGGGCCCCTGGGGAGAGCCCACGTGTCCTGATCTCCTGGTGCATATTCATTAAGACGCGTGTGAAGGGGCCCCACTGACAGGGGCACACTGACATCAGCAAGGGGGCCCTTTTCCTGGCTGCTGTAGGCTCTCGCCGACCCTGCCCTTGGCACACCAAGGCCCTGCACTGACATTTCTGCGGACCCGCCGCCCTGTGTTGTGTGCCGTGTGTTACATCAGGGAATCAGACCTGGGTCTCTCTGGGCAGAAAGTGTCTCCGATGAGCCTGTCATTTCCTACTTCCTCTAAAAAAATAATATCCAGAGGCAGACGGAGCGTCTTCCTGGATGAAAGCCCTGCTGTTGGAGCCTCTGTTCAGAGTGGGCAGGCTCTGAACGGGGACCTGGGGCGTTGTCAAGGAGCCGCTGGGCCTGCCGTTCCTGGGGCCGCCATGCAGCCCCGCGCCGGGCAAAGGACAGTGGACAGAGCCCCTTGCCGGAGGGTGTCCTGTGGAAGACAGTGGCCTGGGCCCTGCCCGGAGGAAAACGGGCACCACACACCTCCTCCTTCACAAACACCTCTGTCTGCCTGGATGGGAACCAGAAACAATATCCAGCCTCTCATTTGTACTTCAGACAAAACACAGGCCACCTGTGCACACGCGATACGATGCAGGCTGACGTCTGACTGAAGTTACTGTCTGGGCTTAAGTGAGCACGAAGGCCGCACTCACTGCTGCCGGGCAGCTGTGGACCGTCTGCCCCGTGCCCCCACAGCGGCTCCCCGCAGTCCCCCTTTCCCCCCAGAGGCCCTTATATACCCCACCTACCTCATCAGGAGCCCCGCTGCCTGGGAAGAAGTTCCCATCGTCGTAGCGGTGGAGGGACATGTACAGGACGCTGGGGTCGCTGTAGAAAGCCTGCTGGGTCCCGTTTCCATGGTGCACGTCCTTAAAGAGCAGGGACAACTACTTCAGGGCTGAGGCAGGTATTGGAGGGTGGCCTCCCCTGAGGGCCGTCCCCAACCCCAGTTGTGCTTAGTGACAACGGCTCCTGCTCAGGAATGACATTACCCTCCAGCTGGGCCCGTACCCGGCAGGCGCGATTCTGGGGCTGTGTGGGTCAGGGCTACGTGGTGCAGGGTCGCAGGGGTTCTAAGGGCCAATGTTCGCGTCTGCAGCACTGTTTCCCTCGCCCTTAGCGCCATGGCACAATCCTGACTCCAGCAGCCGATGGGGCTGGAGTTCAGCCAGGCCTAGAGGCCACCATTTCCCAGACGAAGCCATCTGATCAATTTCCTACACCTGCCGTGTCTCTGACAAGTGAGCCACTTCCTCAGCCTCTGTCAGGAAGGAGGTCACTGGCTGTGGCCTGCCCGCTTGCAGGCACGTGGGAGGTGCCAATTCCATGCCAGGCAGGGCGTTCGGCAGGAGACAAGTCCCAGGTGTCCGTGAGTGACAGGCACACACAGTACGGGGTCCAGGCCCCTGTGCCCAAATGGCAAGCACCGTTTCTTAATCACAAAACCCACAGGTCAGATGCAGCAGAGAGCACAGGCAGCCTGGGGCTTTACTGACCGTGGCTGTTCTGCCCCGGGCCACAGGGCAGGTGGTCACCAGGATGGGCGGGCGAGGGGGTGGCCCCGCTGAGAACAGCTGTGTGCCTGAGAAGACAGCATGCAGCCCTGATGTTCCCAGCACGAGAACTTGCTGCTCCGTTATCTGTGCTCATCACAGAAAAGGCGGAAGGGCAGCTACAGGTGAGGAGCGATGGACAAGAACCTTCCACCCCACAGAGTAGGTAATCGCTGTGAAGACGCACATGGAGGCTTTCCCGACATGTGGCTTCACACTGAGATGACCCTGTCCGCATGGTGTGTACATGGGCAATATCACAGCTCAGCGCGCAGGGAGCACGCCACACAGGGTCTACGCAGCCTGTCTGCGTGTCCTAGCGCTTCACTCTTTTGGGGATGGGTCCCCAGTCTTTAGCCATCAGCGACCTCACACTGCTCTCTTCCCAGGCACTCCTACCTGCTCCCTTAGGAGGAGCTGAGGGAGGGCTCCCGGCTCGCAGGTCCTTGGGTGTGGGGGACCCGCTGCTCTGCCGCATCCCCTGACCTGCCTCTCCGAAACAGCATGGCTGTCCTGGCTGTGCCATATTGTTTCTTTACCCAAACTCAGAAGGACTTCTCCAATTCAAATCATAACCCTACCTGACAGGGCCTGCTTTTTTCCCTTAAAAATTATGAAATAAATCATAAATACCAAAGAGAACACTAAATATGTATATATCTGGCTTTAAAAAGAGTAATAAGATGAATATCTTGAATATTAATTTCCGGTATAAGAATGAGTATACCTATTCGTGGAATTCAGATTCGGACATCATATAGCATTATTTAAAAAGAGATGACTCTTTTGGGGGCAGTGGCACCCCCCATTCCAGCAGGACCAGGTGCCCACACAGCAGCAGGAAGGCACGGGCTTCACTGGGGTGACTGAGAAGCAGACTGCCGCCTTCGACCAGGGTGAGGGTCCTCCCAGGCTCCCAGGCCACACACGCAAAGTAGATGTGGACACAGCCTCCTCCCCAACACCTGTCTTCCAAGAAGATCTCGTCGAGGGTGGCCCTGGCCGCTGCCGTCACCCACAGGCACATTTTTAGACACGCCAGGACCCCATTCGCCAGGGTCGGCTGACGGAAGCTGTACAATGACTTGTAGCAGGTTTGGGGCTTTACTTCTCCGCATCTTTGAGACCGTTTCCAGAAACCTAAGCTTCCCACATCCAAGAGCCCAGCTCCTCTGTCCACACGCTGCTGTCCGCTCGGGGACGGCAAAGGAGCAACCTGAGCTGCGCTGGCCAAGGCGGCTCTGCTTACCCAGTCCACGATGAGGATCTTGCTCACGCTCAACCTCTGCTGCAGAAGCTTGGCTGCCACGGCCACGGAGTTGAAGTAGCAAAAGCCCCTGCGGGAGAGAACTGACGCTGGAGACGAAGCGCAGGTGGGCGGTGGCCAGTTTCTCCACGGCCCGCCAGAGAGCCACTCGGGGTCCACGCAGACCTAAGAGGTCTCTGTGAGTGCAGAGCTCCTGAATACGTCGCAGGGAACCCTCAGTGATGCCGGAGAATCGGTTAACAGACAGACACGTACACACCCCACATGCAGACACACTCACACGCGTGCGCGCGCACACACACACACACACACACACAGCTCCCAAACAAGCCACTGGGGAATCTTAGCCAATGCCATAGGGTCGGCTAACCGACACGGACATGCACACACCCCACACAGACACACACACCACAGACAGAGACACACACACACCCCCCACAGACACACACACCACAGACAGAGACACACGTACACCCCACACAGACACACACACCACAGAGACACACCCTCCCACACAGACACACACACCATGCAACACGCCCTACACACATACATGCCCCACAGATACGCCCATACACCACAGACACACACCCCACACACACTCCACACAGACACACACCCCACACACACCCCACACCCCACAGATAGAGACACACACACCATGCAAACGCCCTACACACATATATGCCCCACAGATACGCCCATACCCACCCCCCCCACGTAGACACACATGCACAGATACACATGAACACCCCATACAGAAACACTCACACACACACAAACCACAGACACATACAAGCACACACACACATATACACATAAGCATATACCTATCACACACATCCACAGTTCCATACTGAGACAGACAGACACACACACACACACACACACACACACACACTCTCCTGCTTGGAGGTCCCCCACGCTCCTCTGGTAGGGAACCCTATTTCACATGTTACCAACATTTCCCTCATCTTCACCTGGAACCCTTCCTCTCAGGAGCTGCCGCCACGCCCCAGGAGACATGGCAGCCGTTCATCTCAGTTGCTTCCTGCTGACCTTCCTATATTCCAATACATAAATTACCTTTAATTTTAGAGAGTCTTACTCAAGAGACCAAGAAAACAAGCTATGAAAGTGATTCAAATAACAACGAAAACCTTCTTGATCTCAAATTCCCTTTGTCCGAATGACCACAGAAACGGAGAAACACTAGTTGTTTTGTTTTCAGAATCCGGGCTGGCATGGGGAAGCCCACACGCCCCAGGACATCCTAGACGCTGAGCTCCTGCAGCGGCTCACGGGGAGCACAGCGAAGAGCTGCAACAAAACACAATTCGTTTGTCTCCTCTGAGGTTTATTATTTGGAATATCCAACAACTCAGGTTCAAATTAGAAAAGAAACTTCAGAGAAATGAAACAAACAGGAAGCCTGGTGCCCAAGTGACTGTTCTGGGATGTGGAGCAAACACGTGGTTTTCAGGTAAAGCTACAAAGATTCCAACAAGCATCCCTCCCTGGCGGTTACAATCTCCTCCCTGTACACGAAGGACACTCTGCTCTAACACGCGGATCTGACTATCTCTCACGTACAATCTCCTCCCTGTACATGAAGGAGACTCTGCTCTAACACGCGGATCTGACTATCTCTCACGTACAATCTCCTCCCTGTACACGAAGGAGACTCTGCTCTAACATGCGGATCTGACTATCTCTCACGTACAGTCTCCTCCCTGTACACGAAGGAGACTCTGCTCTAACACGCGGATCTGACTATCTCGCACGTACAGTCTCTTCCCTGTACACGAAGGAGACTCTGCTCTAACACGCGGATCTGACTATCTCTCACGTACAGTCTCCTCCCTGCACATGAAGGAGACTCTGCTCTAACACGCGGATCTGACTATCTCGCACGTAGTCTCTTCCCTGTACACGAAGGAGACTCTGCTCTAACACGCGGATCTGACTATCTCGCACGTACAGTCTCTTCCCTGTACACGAAGGAGACTCTGCTCTAACACGCGGATCTGACTATCTCTCACGTACAGTCTCCTCCCTGCACATGAAGGAGACTCTGCTCTAACACGCGGATCTGACTATCTCGCACGTAGTCTCTTCCCTGTACACGAAGGAGACTCTGCTCTAACACGCGGATCTGACTATCTCGCACGTACAGTCTCCTCCCTGTACATGAAGGAGAATCTGCTCTAACACGCGGATCTGACTATCTCTCACGTACAGTCTCCTCCCCGTACATGAAGGAGAATCTGCTCTAACACGCGGATCTGACTGTCTCTCACGTACAATCTCTTCCCTGCACACGAAGGAGACTCTGCTCTAACATGTGGATCTGACTATCTCTCACGTACAGTCTCCTCCCTGTACGTGAAGGAGATTCTGCTCTAACACGCGGATCTGACTATCTCTCACGTCCTGCCGGCCCCTCCGTGGACGCCTGACTTCCCAGGGGTGACAGGGAGGCCCTTTCCCGGGCCCCTGCGGTTCTGTCTTGTTCTGACTGCTTCCTGGCCACAGCCTGATAGTGAACTTGTATCTGCACTTGTTCTTGCGTTGCCATCTGACAAACTGCTGCTCCAACTCTCCAAGGCAGAGCCCTATGCCACCTCCTCCTCACCGAAGCTGGCAAGATCAGGCACGCCTTCTCCATCTCCAGAGCATGGGGAGACGCTCTTTCTAGCACCACCCCTCCTCACTAGAGCGGCTACCGTCCCAGGAGACAGCATGCTCTTTGACGGGATAGATCATTCATTCACCACCCAGGCTGCAAGGCACTCCACAGACAGCTGCGGGTCTGTCCTGCCACTGGCTCTGGACACACAGGGATGGATCCGGGAGGACCCACACCCCACACTCGCCACCCTGCCCAGATCCTCAGCTGTATGGACCGTCGGCAGTCTCTGAAAGACCCGAAACAGCATCAGGATAGCTGCCTGCATGGACGTGGCTCTGTGGCTTGCTGCGTCAGTACCAGGCATTCGGCAGGCAGCTAAAAGGCCATGCGCAAAATGACCTGAGTCCTCTAGACAAGCAAGTGCTGCAGTGACTCACTTGAGGGTGAGTGGTGTTTCCTCTCCCAAGTGTTGACAACTACTCAACAACCAGAGGCTTCTCTGGACTAACCTCCACAGACCCTTTCCCATCCTTTCCTCTGATCTGTCTCCGTCATAACCGAGCAGTGATGCTCGCAGACTTTGGCATCTGCACTCCACACCCAGGAGCTGGAGCCAAGCCGGCATGCGGCACATCCTGGGTGGCCAGCAAACAGCAGCCCAGCTCCCCGCAGTCACTCACACACCCACCCAGCCCTAAGGGAGGGAAGGAAGACCTGGGTTCCCCTGCTGTGCGGGGCTGCGGCGTGTACTCACATGGGCGTGCTCTCCTCCGCATGGTGTCCAGGGGGGCGGACCACAGCAAAGCCATTCTGCAGGTGACACCAGACAGCCAGGAGAGAGCAACAAAAGACACACTTTGTAGCCACGGGAAAATGGTTGCACACTCAACTTTTAGCAGAGTTGGGCTACACAGGAGGACAGTTTCTTGCTGCACCCTGGCCACAGTGATGGGGACAGGATGCAGGGCCAGCTGGGAGCCTTTCCGGGAAGCCTGGGCCCTTCTCCTAAAGAGGTCTGGGGGCTACTAATGGTTCCCCCGAAACGCAGTCACTAGGATAACAGGTGGGTGCCTGCCCACTCTCAGAACTGTCGGTGAGGCGTGGTGCCCTTGGCTCAGGGGTCGGGGTGATGTGGAAAGGATGTGCTCACTCCCCGTCGGCTCGGGACCAGGACCCGCTAGGTGGCCACTGGAGGAAGATGAAGCAGAAGGGGCCCCACTCAAGGACTTGGCCGCGGGGCAGAGACGTTGTGTCCCAGCTTGGCCTTCACGTGACTGCCTCTGTCCTTACTGCAGTTCAGCTCTCAGGATGGCGGGCAAGTGGGCAGCCCACGAAACAGCTCCTCTCACACTGGGCAGAAACGCTGTCCTCTGCCCCATCACTTCTGCGTCAAAAATCCATCTGCAAACCACTCTGTAGTTGCTGCCATAAAAATGGATTCCAGTCCTCTCCTGGTCTCACCAGCAACAGGACACTGTGTGGTCAAGGTCTGTAATGAAGCCTCAAAAAAAGTGCCGGCCAACCATGAGTGACAATGCCATGGACGGGGTGAGCCGGACGCCGCAGGGACCAGGCTCAGGAAGGGGCGAGGGCAGCCCATGAGGTGGCGGCAAACGCTCTCAAGAGGCCCTGGCCTCCCTGCGTTTCTGCACTCAGTGCTTCCGAGTGTAGGCTGCAGACCCCTCGGTCCCGACCCCTGCTGAGGGTCTGTAGTCCACGTAGTCCTGAGGCTCTATGTACTCTTTTCACTGCCCTGACACCTGCGCCGATGGTGCTGAAGCACCGGAGGGTAGACGGCGGGCAGGGAACAGCACCAGGGCGTGTGTGTGTGTGTGAGCAGCTTCTCTTAACAATGTGCTCGATGAAGCAGTATTCAGACATTTTAGTAGATCTCCGCCCTCAAACACGTCCTTTTAACATCCCGAGTAAAGAGACGGGAAGGAAGCGTGAGAAACTGTGAGCTTTCCAGTGAAAATTACAAGTTTGGAACACACGGCTCTGCCCCTGTGAGCCTGCTGGCTCTCTCACTACTTATAAGACTTCTGGTGAGATGGGGGTGATATTAATGGTTTCAAAAATTAATGACTTTTTTGATACTGTATGGGTCAGAATATGGAAGATCCATGTAACTCCGTGAAGCTAAGTTTCCAAATGACCAACGCACGGTGCTACCAATCACCCATGAACGAAGGATCGATTTGATCTCCAAGAAGGGCTAATGGTTCAGTTAAACAAAACGGAGGGGGAGGAGGCCACGATTTGATTTCAGATCCACACTGCAGCTAATTTTCAAGACACTACCACTTGCTGAATTTTTGGTATACTGTCAAAGAATACCCACAATTAGAATACCTCTGAAAAGTCTATTAAAATCCTGCTCCCATTTCCAATTACGTATCTGTGTGGGGCCAGGATTCCTTCATGTACTTCAACATGTCCCAAGAATGACGCCGGGCAGGTGTGAGAACCAGCTGCTGTCCACAGGCAAGACATTAGTGCTATTTTTATTTTTTTATTACTTTTTAATTTTTTAGTTTTTTTTGAGACGGAGTCTCACTCTGTCACCCAGGCTGGAGTGCAATGGCGTGACTCGGCTCGCCGCAACCTCCACCTCCCAGGTTCAAGCGATTCGCCAGCCTCAGCCTCCCAAGTAGCTGGGATTATAGGCATGCGCCACCATGCCCAGCTAATTTTTGTATTTCAGTAGAGAAGGAGTTTCGCCAAGTTAGCCAAGCTGCTCTTGAACTCCTGACCTCAGGTGATCCCCCTGCCTTGGCCTCCCAAAGTGCTGGGATTACAGGTGTGAGCCACTGTGCCCGGTCGCTATTTTTAAATTAATAAACATTTTGAAAATTTCTCAGTTGTAATCTCTAATAGAGTCAATATTGTGGATATAACTCATGTAAACAGAAGCTCTTTGGAGCTTTTTTTTTTTTTTTAAGAGTATAAATTTTTAAGAGTATAAAGGGTTCTTAAGACCCAAATCATTGAGAATCTCTGTACTATGCACATACCCTATCACAAATGTGGGCAATGTCTCTTTGATTCAATAGCGAGGCTGTGCTGACAGAGTGGGGTCCACGCCTCCCCATCACAGCCGCCTCCCAGCCTGATGAGAGGGAGACGGAGTGGGCGGCCCCTCCCCACACTGGGAATCTATGGCAGGCCTCCTGGAGGGCCACCACTGTCCAGGCCCCGACTGACCTTCAGCTCCCCTGTGGCCACCTTGAAGACCAGCTCTACCACGCAGCCCACAGCCAGGCGGGCTGCCCCCGCCGAGTGCACCTCGTTCCATATGGTGTCACTGTCCACCTGTGGAAACAACACCCCACAGTGAGGTCACCCTCCCAGGCCACCGTCATCACCAGCCCTGGCTGGGCAGAGCAGCTCAGGTTCCGTGGGCTCTGCTTCTGAAACCCCAGGGCCTACCAGAGCCAGGGCAGCTGCAGCCCACGTTCAGCCTTCAATCTTTTTAAGACATGCCAAAAAGTTTAAACAGGAAAATACAAGAGAATTTACCAGAAGAAAGATGCATGTGTCCTGACCTGTTCTGAGGCATCCTCCTTTCCCTCAATTGCTTCAGTATACTTCCATCTAAAAGTAATGATGTCAAGGTGATCTATTTCCTTTTTTTTTTTTTTTTTTTTAACTGGAACTGTAGTTAAGAGAGTTATTCAGCTTGAGTATCTCTGATCTGAGAATCTGAAATCCGAAATACTACAAAAGCATTTTGTAGGCTGAGGCGGGAAGATCACTTGAGCCCAGGAGGTCGAGGCCGCAGTGAGCCATGAATGCACCTCTGCACTCCAGTCTGGGTAACACAGTGAGGCTCTGTCTCCAAAAAGGAAAAAAAAAAAACTGGAAACTTTTTGAGCGCTTACGTGACGCTCAAAGGAAATGCACTCTGGAGCATTCTGGATTTCAGATTTTTGGATTAGGGATGCTGAACTGGTAAGTACAATGCAAATATTCCAAAATCTGAAAAACACCAAACTCTGAAATACTTCTGGCCCCAAGCATTTCGGATAAGGGATAGTCGACCTGTCAAATAATTAGCAGCAAAATGAAATGTAAGGGGAATCACGACCAGTCTCTTCCAATAGTGACTTTCTCCTGTGCCGAGTTTAACTGGAAGCTCCACATGTTGACCAGCGTAGCTAAGCGGGACTGGCCGTGTGGGCGGGTGAGGAGAGCTGCCCTGCTCTGCCCTAGTGACGGTACACGGCTCTGCCTGGACACCAGCAAGTCAGCCCGCTGGCCTTTTCCACTTCAGACAGAAAACGTGTTTCACACAAACACGTCAACAATCCCCGATTGTGTGTTGGCTCATTTATTTATTTAGGCACACCAGAAATTTCTTACAGCCCTGGCTCAATTCAGGAGGAAAGTCGACAGACAGAGACCTGGACAGCCAGTTCTGCACAGAGCAGTCTCCTATGGGAGTCTGGCCAGGGGAGGGAGGTGTTAAGATGAAATACACAGCCCTTGGGCTGGCCCCAGGGAACCTGAGCATCTGTCCCCAAGTGTGTCCCTTGCCTGCAAGCTGCTGTGGGGTAACACACCGGGGACTTGGGGGTGCCCAGCCCGGTGGAGGTCTTAGAAGCCGTGTCATAGGTTGCTCAGCTTCCACACGGTGCTGACCAGGGCGATTGCAGGTCCATTGCAGGACGCCTCCTTCTCAAACTGAGCCCCTCTGAGCGCCGAGTGCTTTGGGGCTCCTAAGCAGGAGCCAGGCGTGTCCACCCTGCCTCTCCCTTCCCCAGACCAGGCCCTCGAGGGCTCCTGTCCACCACCAGGCAGACTTGCCACTTGATAGACACCGCTCATTATGTGGGGAGGGAGGATTTCTTTCCAGGCGGTCTTGAAGCTTCATCATCAAAGCAAGGTGAGTTAAAATGCATTTTCAAGGGGCTGAAGACATTTCCTGAAGTGTATTCGGTGATGGTTTTCTTTTCAAAAAATTAGCCAGATGTGGGCCGGGCGCAGTGGCTCATGCCTGTAATCCCAGCACTTTGGGAGGCTGAGGTGGGCGGATCACAAGGTCAGGAGATCGAGACCATCCTGGCTAACACGGTGAAACCCCGTCTCTACTAAAAATACAAAAAAAAAAAAAAAAATTAGCCAGGTGCCGTGGTGGGCGCCTGTAGTCCCAGCTACACGGGAGGCTAGGGCAGGAGAATGGCGTGAACCCGGGAGGCGGAGCTTGCAGTGAGCCGAGATCGCGCCACTGCACTCCAGCCTGGGCGACAGAGCCAGACTCCGTCTCAAAAACAAACAAACAAAAATTAGCCAGATGTGGTGGCCTGGGCCTGTAGTCCCCACAACTCAGGACGCTGAGGCGGGAAGATCACTTGAGCCCAGGAGGTCGAGGCTGCAGTTAGCCATGAATGCACCGCTGCACTCCAGTCTGGGTAACAGACTGAAGCTCTGTCTCCAAAGAGGAAAAAAAAAAAAAAAAAAATCCAAGGTGACATCGCAGGAGTGAGAGCTGGGCAGGGCAAGATTCTGCCACCTGCTCTGTGTCAGCCAGCAGAGGCGGGGTCCCAGACAGGCCAGGCCCCGAGGCTGCCCCTGTGGGGACAGCACCCAGAGATGGTTTCTCTCCAACATACAATGAACTAGGCTTTGGGATTAGGCCAACACTGCAGGGAGCGGAGGGTGTACTACACCCGTGTTCTGAAGGGTCTTCTGGGGATTCTGCACACCTGGGGTGCCAAGGAGCTGCTCGGTCTACCAGGTGCCTGTGTCTGTGCCCCCTCCCATGGGACCCTGGGGTTCAGAAGCTTCTGGAGTCTTGCACAGAGTGAAGGACAAAGCCCCAGCCAAACTGCAGGACCCCAGTCCCCAGAGAACTCAAGAGACCCTCCTTCGCCTGCTTCAGGACCACGGCTCCAGCTCCCAGGGACCAGCCTGGAGCTCCAGGCCTCTTGCAGGGAGCCTGGCTCAGGCGTGCAGCGCCACCACTGAGCAATAGCCTGGCTCAGGGCAGGCGGCCGCAACTGCTAATGCAGGAAGGAGCAAATGGCTCACTCTGTGTTTCGTTTCTTTTTTTTTTTGTTTTCTTTTCCTTTCTTTCTCTCTCTCTCGCTTCTCTCCTCTCCTTTTCTCTCTCTTTCGCAATAAAGACAGGAAAAAGGCGGGGGGAAACATGGAGAAAGCTTCCCACGGATAATCCCATGGAGTCTAAAAGGGACATGCCGAGGGCTGGCAGGGCTGGGAGGCCTTTGGGAAGCTCAGAGGAGCCGCGGGGAGCCGGGCGTACGAGAGCAGGCCAGGACTCCGCTGGGCGAGGCCGAGCAGGGACACCAGCTCCTCACCCAGTTGAAACTTGCGGTCACTGGAGAGGAGCAACGCAGGAGCTGATCTGGTTTGAAAAAGAGGTCAAAGCACTTTACAGCTCCCATTTCCCAGCGCCGAGGAGTGGTGAGTTTTCCGTGTTCCAAGCCCCACTGTTCTGCCTCCGGGAGAGTTTGCAGCTGCTTTCGGGGAAGGTGGCTGGCTCTGCTCACCTGCTCTGCCCTCCCTGACAAGAGCACCTGCTGTGTGCCCACACTTCGGCTCCCGAGGTCTACTTTGCTCCTCCTGACACCCCAGGAGGCTGGCCCCTCCTGGCTCTGGAGGAGACATGAGGCTCAGGAGAGCTGCATCTGTGCCAGCGACAGCAGGTGCATCCCACACCAGGGCAGGGGTCTGCACCGGCCTCCTGTCTGTCTTCTTCCTTTTGGAAAACAATGGGAAGAAAACACATCCTGCCGGTGGCTGTACCTCAGGAAGCCCCACGGCCTGCACTGTTCCCTGCCCATGCCAACAGGCTACCCTCTCTGCCCGCGTCCACGTGGGGAGCTTTTCCATCAGCATCTGCACACCCAGACGTGAGGGTGCAGCTCTCATCTGCTGTGCCTCAGATCTGGATTTAACACTTGGGAGGGGCTGCTGGGCTCACCCCCTCAGCTCTGAGTCTGCACTTAGCTTTCATTTGCAAATGATAAATTCTGCCTTGCACAGGCGTGCTGGCTGCAGGGCAGTGCAAATTCAATCCTTTTCAAGTCTGGCCAAAAACATGCCCCAAATTAAGAGATTGCAGCCTATTTACAATACAAAATAAAATAACTCTAGGAGGGCTTGGTGGTGGTATGAATAAATGCCGTTTATTCTCTTTCTGACGGGATAATTTTCAAAGCAGTGATTTTTATAAAAACTCAGGAAGAAAACAATTTTGTTTCATTTCCATAACAGAATCCAGACCTTGAGCTTCACCCTGCGATCAGTGATTACACACACACTGCACCGTTTCGGCTGCAGCGGCTCCTGCTGTCCACCGGCTCCCGTCCTCCCTGCCTGTAACCGTCTGTGGTGATTCGCGGCACTGCAGGACCATGATGGCCCGGATCTGCTCGGACGCTCCGCCTCAGCTTCTCATGGCCGCCCTCGCTATTGCCACCCCTGCCCAGGCTGCATCAAGGAGGTCAGGGGCCAGGGGAGAACTCTTTTGTTATTGAGAAGTTTGATTGCAAGACCTGACCCTTCCTGTGTGGACGGATGGGCAGATGCCCAGACTGGAAAGTCCTTGTGAACTTATGCGCCCAGGCCAGGTCCATATCATCAGCTCGTAGAAGCCAGCACAGCCCAGTGATTCATATGCCCAGGCCAGGTCCATATCATCAGTTCGTAGAAGCTGGCACAGACCAGTGATTCATATGCCCAGGCCAGGTCCATATCATCAGCTCACAGAAGCCAGCACAGCCCAGCGAGTAGCCCTACAGACTCCACGTGGCCCATGAGTATCACGGTCACTGCACTGGGAGCCCCACCTGTAGCTTCGGGTGGAAACTAGGTACAGAATACAGAAGCACGCATCCTACCCGCACCATACTCGTGGCCTGATGTGAGCAGATTACTGCCACAGACTTCGAAGGGGATGAGATGCTGGCTGCATACAGGATCCTGTTTCTTAAAGCGAGAGCCACTGCACCCCAGAGCCCCAGCCACCTGCGCCAGACAACCTTCCCCAGAGAAAGGTGCCCGAGTCGGCGATCAAAACGCTCTCGGCTCACACGGCCTTTGAAGCCGCACATGGGCAGCCCCTGCGTATGGAAAACACCTGGCAGCAATTATTCACTTTGAGGGAAGCAAGGCTGCGATTTCTGTGACCACTGGGACTCGAGAAGAAACAGGACATTATTTACACATTAAAGGAACACTTACCCCAACACCACCGCAAGGGAGCCGGACGAACACGGAGGCGAGCGAGCCTGTGGGGGGGAGGGAGACGGTCAGAGAGGCCAAGGGCACGCGGCCAAGGTGCTCGACAGGCCCTGGGCGCACTCCGGGGTCTTCAGTGGCACTTGGGCATTTGTGGGACAACGAGGGGCCACTGCTCCCCCTTGTGACACCCTGTGGCCCTGCTGCAGGGTCAGTGTCTGGCCCTTAGAGGTGCCTTGACTCCTGTGAGGGCTGAGCTGGGTCACAGACCCTGGTGGGGACACCTCAAATTGTTGTGGCATCAGCCTGTCAGGGGCCCAGGAGAGGCACCAAGCCACTGGGGAGCACGAGGTACCCCTGGTGGGCGTCTGCCTGCAGCCCGTGCCCCTGAGGGGCTGTATCTAACAGCAAATCCTGCTCCAGGACCCCGAGCCTGGCTCCTCAGTGAGCTCCTAGGGCTTGTCTAGCAGCCCCCTCCCATGGCAAACAAGGGGCAAGTCCCGGGATTAAACATGGGTCCTGAGGCCTCTTAGACCCTGAGATCCTCGGGAATGTATGCAGCGACAGCCCCTCCCTGCGACACAGGCGGAGCGTGTACAGCTGACTGAGGGCTCCAAGGACGCTGCAGCTGCACGCCAGGCCTCCTCCCATGGAAATCGGGGCCCTCGAAACCCCCACCCCACTGCTCTGGCACCCGCGCCTGCTCCGGCAGTGAAAGTGCTCCCAGGACAGGGGTGCTGTCTTTTTCCTGTTTGACCCAGTGCTGGCTGAATGCACGTCACCAGCTTAAAACCCATCTGTGGAGGACAAGAGACCCCCACTAACCAGGGGCGGGACCTACCATTCCTAGCGGCTGCCTGGGCCCCAATCCCTCACTCTCCGCAGCCCCCGGCCCCTTCCTGGGCTGGAGCTGGAGTGACATCTCACATGCTCCAGGGAGACTGGCTTGATGTAACAGGCTCCTTTATCCAACGTGGGACCCCACTTTCTGGCCTCAGCTGGGCTGTACCCCCCGCTGTGGGGCTCCTCTCCCATTCTCAGCCTGCTCCAGAACAGTAGCCTCCACTCTGTGTGCTCTGGTCCACGCTCCTAGGGCTGGCTGCCGGGGGCCATAGGAAGGAGTTGGCCATAGGTCCATTAGGGCCTGTCTGCCTCTTGCCTGGAGGGCTTGCCGGCCCGGTTAGCACGAGAGGAACCCTTCCTCAGGGAACAGCGTGCCTGGCTGGGAAGAGCAACTGCGATGGCCCCAAGCTGCAGGAGAGTGGCTGGCACAGACGAGAAGCTAAACAGAGGCCTGCTTGCCTTAGCCCACGGATGCCCGCACCCCCTACGGACGCCCACACCCCACCGACAGATGCCTGCAACCCCCCCCGACACCTGCAACCTCCCCACAGACGCCTGCACCATCACCCCACCACGGACGACTGCACCCCCATCACCCCACCACGGATGACTGCACCCTCCCCATGGATGCCCGCCCCCCGCCCCGCCCCCATGGACACCCACACCCCCCATGGACGCCAGTACCCCCCACGGATGCCCACGCCCCCCACAGACGCCTACACCCCCCACGAACACCTGCACCCCCCACGAACACCTGCACCCCCCACGGATGCCAGCACCTCCCATGGATGCCAGCATCCCCCACTGATGCCCACCCCCCCCATGGACGCCAGCACCCCCCACAGACACCCACCCCACCCCACGGACACCAGCACCCCCCACGGACATCCACACGGACACCAGCACCCCCCACAGACACCCACATGTCCCACAGACAGCCACAGCCAGGCCCTAGTGTGAGGCCCGATGCACAGAGCTGACTCAGGCTCTTCTCACTCTGTGGAGGTCACAGATCTGCATCAAGGCCGGAGGCTTGTAGAATGGCCACGTCCACGGCCCGGGGCTGGGGAGCTGCCATGCCAACAGGGAGCAGGGCAGGAGGCAGGAGGCAGGGGGCAGCAGCTGCAGCCACTTTCAGAAGGGGCTCAGGGGCTCCCAGGCCCCCCAGGCAAAGGGAGGATAGGCCCGGCCCCCATCTGCTAGGAGGGCCCGGCCAGCTGAGGGGCGCAGGCGCCATGCAGATGCTGTGACGTTTTCCAGACAAAGGCCTACGTGCTCGGAGGAGCCAGCCTGTGTCGGAGGGAGCCCGCGCTCCTCTCCACCTGGCCTGGCTCCAAGGGCAGGGTCTGTGCCCGCCTTGTCCCTCCTCCCTGCCTGGGCTGTACAAGGCATTGAGCCAGCAGGGGCTTCAGTCGGCCCTGGCTCTCCCTGCAGCGCTCAGCAGGCATGCCTCGGCCTCTGGGTCCTGGCCCTCACGCCCACTGAGGGCAGCAGCACCAGCATGCCTCCCCTTCCTGGGCGCTGTCCTGGGCCTACTTCCTCCGTGTCCATGGCTCACGGACCCGCCACTGCCTGGAGTCGTGGCTCCTGACCCTGGTTCCCGTGTCCACATGTCAGCGTGGCACATGGGACAACATCAGCTAACACTTCTCGCCTGAACCTCATGGTGGTCAGCCCTCATCCCCGCAGGCATGTTGGCCCTGCTCTCCTCTGTGCCTTGGTGACAGCAAGTAGTGGACGTGGGGCTGACCATGCGGGGAAGCGGCCTGCACGCCGGACCCCTTTGGGAGGTGCTGGGGCTGGGCAGGAGCTGGCGGGATGTGGTGGGCAAGAGAGCTAGTGCGCAGGTGGAACGAGACTGAAAAAGGAGGAGGGCGTGGGTGCCAAGGTGCCAAGCCACCTGCTGTCCTGCTTGCTGCCCGTCGTCTGTAGTGGGGTCACCTAATGCCAACCTCACCACAGTGGGCGGGTGCTGCCTTGGAAGGGCGGTCATGGCCTTGGTGAGTGGCTGAGTAGCTGGGGCTGGGAGTGGCTCCGTGGGCCACGTCCTTCCATCACTGACTACTCCAACGCACGGGAAAGACACTGCCAGAAACTAGGGAGCTCGTTTTCCAAATAATGCACGCGCTCAGCTATATGAATTCACAGTAGACACACGTGTCCAGGTATCTGCAAGAGACTGAATCTCTTTGAAATCATAGCCAACCATGTCTACATTAAAACCACAAGTCATCCGACTGTTTTGAGTTTGCTCATTATCTAGCAAAGACCAAAACAACAAAGAAAAAGTACACGATTATGCATCCAAATGCATGCGTATAGGAATGGAGTTATAGGCAGAGTTTTGGTGACAGTTGTGAGGAGCCCAGCGGCCTCCTGTGGTTTGGAGCCACAATCACCAAGCCCAGGCCACGAAACGTTCCAGCCTGGTGACAGGGCCTGAAGCTCTGCAAACGACCAGCCTTACTACTTGTCTGTTTGCCGCGGGCTGGCAGACAGGCGTTCTGTGCCTGGGGCAGGGAAGGCTCGGCTCCAGCCATCCTCTCGCTGCTGCTCCTGCTCCCTGGCTGGGAGGAGGCCCTCGCTGTGCCAAGTCATTTTCCTGCCGCACCCTACCCTGAGCATCACCGGCACCCACTCGCCAGGGGCCCAGCTCTGCCCGGATGCAGCACCCTGCCAGCTGACATGAGCAGATGAGCCACGTGACTTTCAGTGACGCCTAGGGCAGCGGCCAGCCTGCCTCAGGCCCACGAGCCAATTCAGCCACGCCTTATGTGTGGCATCTCACCACATCAGAAAGGAAATATGAAGGCCCTTGCACACGGCTTAGCGGCTTGTGGATTCCATTAAAAGAGGAAAGAAAAAAAATCACACAGTAGTGTTTAAACACCTCATTAGGGTTATGTTCACAAAACTCAAGATAATCATCAGCTATTACCATGTCTGAAATACTTAGACTGATGATAATGAAGTTTCTGGGTTAGGACAATTGTCGGAAATTCAAAAATCGATCTTGAGTTGTGAGAAGGTAATGGGAGAGGCATCCTCACAGGAATGTGAACAGATTTTAAAGCACAAAGCTTTCCAGGAAAGAACAAGAAATAGAATGATCAACCTTCCTGTAAACAAAAGAAACTGACTAGAATGGTTGCCTTCGGAGAACAGGAATGGTGCAAAGGGATGCTGCAGAGACACTTCAATAAAGAAACCAAAAACAAGAAAGGGGTCTTCCTTTTTGATCATCTCTCTTAAACTTTGTTTGAAACTAGCTTAGAAACCTAAGCAAGGTGGTGGAGCTAAGCCTGCCTTCATCCTTCTGCTGGTGGAGCTGGTCCTGCCTCCATCCTCCGCCCACTGAATTCCACAGGTTTGAAAGACTGAAGGTGGTAGGGGATGGACCAACAGCCGGTCCTTTGAAAATGGATGAAGGTGTCAGGAGCAGCCGCCATTCTGAAAGGCGTGGAGGTGGGCGCACAGAACTGCGTGTGTGCAGGACACGGCCTGATGAGCTGATGCTTTGAGGCTGCTCAGCAACTCCCACGCCTGCTGAAGCCCCTGCTGTGGCAGCCCCGGTGACATCGAGGCAAAGATCTTGTCCCCTCATGGGGCCCACAGGCAGCCCCTCCCATGCTGGAGAACCCGGCCAGAAGCTGAGGTGTTACATGGGGAGGCAGTGACGTTTCCTGGTAAGGACTGGAGAATCCTGAGGGACAGCACACTCTAGCCTCAGTGCCTCGATGCATGGCCTTTGTCCACCCAGCTCCCGGACAGAAAGCCGCCTGCCCTCTCTGCCGCCCTTGCCCTCTAGGGCTCCCTTCCCCAGCCCCAGCGGTGCTCCCCGCCTCCGCTAGGTACTCCACAATCCATGCGCCATCTTCTCCCCAAGGAGCGCGTGCCCCCTTCCTAGGGGTAGCTGCATCAGCTTCTCCCTGCAGGGCGATCTCAGACTTCCTGGCCGCCACCCTCTCACAGACCACCCAGTAGAGGCCGGCCTCCATGATGGGCCTCCCAATGTTCTTTTGCCCTGGGACAGCGTGTCCTCCGGTGGCTTCCTGAGGAAGAACAGCTGGAGGGTGAAAGCTCTGGCCCTTGCATGCCTGGAATGCCTCTGTGCCACCTTCCTACTCACCCGGCAGTTTGGCGGGACACAAACTTCAGGAGGGCAATGAGGCGCCCTTAAAACTGGCATGGCCGCAGGCCCCATGGAGTCTGCAGGTGCCCTGGCTCTCACCTGTCCCTGCATTCTGAGGCTCTGCTGTTTCTCCCTAAGAGGGTCTTTCTTACCCCTGGTGGGTCCCTGCAGCCCAGAGACTCTGCCTTTGGCCTGGGGCCTTCTGAATTCCAGACACCTCCTCCTGGCCTCTGCCTTCCCTGGGAACTCCTGCTGTTTGGACCCTGCACACTGCAGTGAGCTTTGGCCTTCTTCTCCATCATCTCACTTCCCAGTTTCCCAGAGCTGTCACGTTTTGCTCCAGTTTCTGGGAGATGACATCACCGTATCTTCCAGTCTGAGGAGGATTTTCTTTTTCTGCGGTCAGGTGTTTAATTTTTGTCTTCTCTGAACGTTCTGTGCTTTCCCCTTTTCCACTGAACTTGTCCACGTTACGTGGATGTGGCATCCTCTCTGAGGGTGCTAATGGCAGCTGGGTTAGTGCCTCACACTGTCTGCCCCCAGCCTCCTTCCCCTGTGTGGCTCCAGCTCCAGGTCCCTGTCCAGCCGTTCCTCGGGCCCTGGGTCCTCCTTGGTTGTCCGCTCCTAAGGGGGAAGTGCCAACGGCTGGGTGGAAGCTCTGGGCCCACAGGGGGTGATTAGCCGTGAGTGCCAGCATAAGGGATCTCAGGGGCTATTTGTTGGGAACCCCTGATGTCAGCTTCTTTGGGGCTGGTCAAATCCACAGAGGGGTCTCCTGTCTGCTTGGACGGTAAAGGTCAGCATGCTGGCAGCCCAGTGGGGAGGGGTAGGGGCTTGGCATCCATGCCCTCATCTAGAGCAGCTGTCTCCAGTCCAGGAAGCCCCTGTCTTCCACCGTCCCTTCCAGAGGGACGGTGGAAGGGTGCTGTACCCCTTCTAGAGCAGCAGCAGGCGAAGCCGCTGTGTAGGGAGTCGGGGCCCAGAGGCCTTTCCACCAGCTTTGGCCCAGGCCCTTGACTGAGTGCCTCCCTGAGTCCATAGCCTCTGCAGTTGCTGAGCCTGAGCTGTCGGAGTCTGTGGGGTGGGTCGGTGGCCCTTGTCCCCGGCACTAGCTCAGGATCCACCTCGTGAACCTGCTCAGCCACACCCCGGCCCACCTGCTTCCTACTGCTGTTCACTCCCTTCTCACTTTCCCCAAACTTGAGGCTTCTGTCCTTTTAGAAGCCTCCATACCACAGGGCAGGGGGGACTCCGGAAGCAGCGTGACCGCCACCCCAGGCCAGAGCCCATGCGTGTCCTCACAGCCCTACTGGCTCCATGGTCTGTGACCCCGTCTGTACCTACAGGGCATCCAGTACAGAAGGTGCCCTCGGCGAGTGGATGAAGGCGTGAGCGAGTGAGTGAGTGAACGCATGAAGGACTAGGAGTGCAGGTCTCTGTGAGGCTGAGTCTGCCGGGCACAGGCCTGGCACGGAGGACACCTCCTGCAACGTGTGCCCTGCCAAATGCAGTCAACGAGCCAGGCACGGCCCACCCTCTCCTTGCCCCTGCAACCCCTGCGTTCATGGTTCCTAGTTCTCCCTCTCTGCCTTCCTAGGGTCCTGCTCAGGGAAGAGCCAATATGCTCTTCCCAGGGCAAAGGCACAGAAGATGGGGAAGAAAACCAGTGGGCAGTGACTGTCCTGGTTCAGGGTGGCTGGGAGGCAGGGAAAGACGTTATCGAGGAACAAAGGGAGCCCTGGGATCCCCCATCCCCAGGTCCGTGTTCTGTGCCCTGGGATCCCCTGGCCCTCGGTCTGGGTTCTGTGCCCTGGAAGCCCCCGACCCTGGGTCTGGGTTCTGTGTCCTGGGAGCCCCCGGCCCCGGGTCCGGGTTCTGTGCCCTGGACACCCCCGGCCCCGGGTCTGGGTTCTGTGCCCTGGGAGCCCCCGGCCCCGGGTCTGTGTTCTGTGCCCTGGACGCTCCCCGCCCAGGGTCTGGGTTCTGTGTCCTGGGAGCCCCCAGCCCTGGGTCCACGTTCTGTGCCCTGGAAGCCCCCGGCCCCGGGTCCACGTTCTGTGCCCTGGAAGCCCCCGGCCCCGGGTCCACGTTCTGTGCCCTGGAAGCCCCCGGCCCGGGGTCCACGTTCTGTGCCCTGGAAGCCCCCGGCCCGGGGTCTGGGTTCTGCGCCCTGGAAGCCCCCGGCCCCACGTCTGGGTTCTGTGGCCTGGGAACACTGGAAGCCCCATGGAGCTGGCTGGGAGTTCACCTGCCTCTGCTGAAGATCCCTGTGGAAAGCCTCTCACCAGCTCCCCGGGCAGAGGATGCCCATTAGAAAGTTCTCTCCATGAGGCTAAAATTCCCCTCCACCACCTGTGCAGGTGCTTTCAGCCAGAGCCAAGACACCAGCAGCCTTTCACCCCTAAGCAGTGGACACTCCCTAGGCCTCCTCCTGGTCTTGCTCTGATGGGCCTTAAAGCGGAGCTCAAAACAACTTCAGGCTCCCTGCAGGGCAGGGCGGGCAGCATGCTGGCTGTGTTCCTAATCAGCCTCTCAAACCTAAACTCTGATTCAAGATGCTTCTAAACCAACGGTTCTCAGCCCAGTTTTTACACAAACACACCTGCTACCTGGCACGTTCATCAACAACCAGTGGCTTGTGAACAGAGGGTGAAAGGTTCCCTTTCAGGCCCTTTACCTTATAACCTGGCAGGCGACACCCACAGGTGCCCCAGACACAAGGGGTTGAGAGCTGGAAACACAACCTCAGGGGACTTCAAACCCAATATGGGAGGAAAGGAAGGTCCTGAAATACCTAGAAGTTTCTTACTGTCCAGTTTCTGCCGGTTGAGGGGGTTCGTGCCATACAGGAGGGTGTGGGCTTCCGAGTGCACCGTCTGTAGCTCCTCCAGGGTGGCCTTGCGTCCGCGGATGCACTGTGGGGACAGGCGAGAGGACACTCACACGTTCTGCAGAAGCTGCTGCTTCAGCTCCACAGACAGAAACTCCAACTGAAACCATTGCCCAAAAGGAAACTTAATTTGATACAAAAACAAGCATGTTATTTGGTTACTGCAAAAGAAGAAGCAACATCACCCAACGTGATATTTTAAAATATTTAAGAAATATTTTAGAGGGCTTACACTTAATTATAGCTTTGAAAAAACACTTTAAAAGATAATTCCAGCCTTCAATGCATTACCCTTCACTGTCGCACGAATGACTTGGCATCAAATTATTACTTTGCTTTCCAGCTGCCAGGGTCTGGTCTTAAAATAGAGGTGAGCTGCTGAGCTCCCTCACGTTCAAGGGAAACCCCAGCCGCGCTCCCGGAGTCTCTGAGCCCCAGGATGAAGCAGCCTTCCTTGGACCGCCCGGGGCCACAGCTGCCAGGGTCTGGCATCTGTCCTGGATGGCTAGCTGGCATCCGGCTGCGTCTCTCTGAGGTTTGGAAATTCTTCAGATTGAGATCCCTGGGCTAATTCAGATTTTCTCCAGAAATTCACAGGAAAATTAGTGTTCTTTAGTTGAGCTACATTTATTTAGCCTTTTAAAGGGGACGATGGCTTTGGACATGAGATTCGAGTTAACATTTCACATGGAAATGGCTCTCAGAGGGTTAGGCCACCACAGGATGAGTCAGACGCCACTCAGGTGGCCCCGGTTGTGGCTGTTACCTGCTTCCCCCAGGCCTGAGCAGGATCTGCTCTCTCCCTCCCGACTGCAGCCCTGCCCCAGCATCCGCTGAGCTCCTGCAGGCCTCGGTGTCCACCCTGTATGTGAGACCTGTGGTGGGCGAAGCTCGAGGGCTCTCTATGCCAGCCCAGCACCTGGGGCTCCTCTCAGACCACCAGGAGCCGTAGCACACAGCCTTCCTGCAGGACGCATTGCACCTGGGGGTCCTGTCCATGCAGGGTGGAGGAAGAAGGGGCGGAGCCAAGAACTCAGTCCCCGCCCACAGGGGAGAGACCTCCAGAGGGCAGGTGCGCTGGGCAGGGACGGATGCTCTGCGGGTTCTCTTCTCATGAACAACAATTCCACAAAACCGGGCTTCCTCTATGAAGGTCTCTTGTTTAACAAAGAAAAGATGTGACACGGCTTCCGGTGGTAAAAAACGACTCTATGGTCCCATCCACATAACCTAGTGCTGCTTCTACTTTGGGGACATAAGTCACATGTCCCTGGAAAGCCAGGCAGGAGGGACGTACTCTCTGGGTAGGGGTCAGGGTGCAGTTGGGGCCCTGGGCGGCTGCGGGGGCTTCTAATTTATTTTATTTTATTTTTTTTGAAACGGAGTTTCGCTCGTTGCCCAGGCTGGAGTGCAATGGCGCAATCTTGGCTCACTGTAACCTCCATCTCCCGGGTTCAAGTGATTCTCCTGCCTCAGCCTCCTGAGTAGCTGGGATTATAGGTGCCCACCATCACACCTGGCTAATTTTTGTATTTTTATCAGACATGGAGTTTTGCCATGTTGTTCCAGGCTGGTCTTGAACTCCTGACCTCATGTGATCCACCCGCCACGGCCTCCCAAAGTGCTGGTATTACAGGAGTGAGCCACCGCACCTGGCCAGGGCTTCTCATTTCTAATGACTTCAGGAAGCCCACATGTGTGTACAGGCACAGGCAGCTGTGGCCAGGGCCAAGTTCCCTCTGGACAGACGGGCCTAGGCAGCCCACGCTTGGGAAGGTCCCCGTAGGGGACCACAGGCTGTGCCCTGCGGTGCCAAGAGGCAGGTCATGTAGTGTGGACTTTGGGTGAAAGAACGGCAGGGTAGCCATGTGTGTCCTCCCCACTCAAAAGCGACCCACTGGATAAGAGACTGAATTGCAGAAAGAGAGATCTGACGTTAGACCACAAATGAAATTCACAAATTAAAGTTGATGTTAGAATAAGGCAAAGAAGAAAAGTAGAAAAACCCTCTCCTTACAAACACATGAAATGGACACAGAAAAGACACAGGATCAAAGCCCCAAAAGCTCTGCGACACCGCGACGGCTGGGGCTGCAGGTGCGCGACACCGCAAGGGCTCGGGCTGTGCGTGCGGGACACCGCGATGGCTCAGGCTGTAGCGTGCAATATTGTGACGGCTCAGACTGAGCACCTGAGAGGCTTTTCCAGAGCCACTCTGGGAGCGGTGGTGATGGTGGCCCCTTCCTGCTTTCTTGGGAGGCTGACCTCGTTATTTCTGTCTCCCTTTAATTCCTAGGATAAGACAGAAGGAGTCTTTGCTCCTTACAGCAAACACAGGCTTGGGGCAGGGTGCAAATCCCAGTGGTGGCCCTGGTCTCTGTGGCATCTGACTTCCAGCCCACCCACTTCTCCTCTCCTTCCTGGACACCGTGCCTGGAGGCAGGACAAACCAAGCTGGGCAAGCAAATTGGCCAGGAGCTGTTCTGGCTCCCGGGAAGCCTCTGCAGGAGGGCGGGGCCCGCACACACACATGGCTATACTCAGAGGACCCCCGACTGCTCAGAACGTGTGAGGCAGCTTCCCAAGGCCTGCTCTGGAGTGAGGCAGGGAGCGAGACAGCTGCACTGGGAGCCACGTCTTGCTGGGCCGGCCTGCCAGTATCGACAGGGTCCCAAGCTTGCAGAAAGTATCTCCCAGCCCACTCTCATCCTTCCTCACCACGCGAAGCCAACTCAGCAGTGTGAGGGGAGGGCCTCACCCCCCAGGCCTCCAGGCAGTCGTCTACCCAGAGAAGGGGTGCTGACTCTGAGGCCCTGCCCTCGGGCCTGGGCTTCGGTCTTGCTGTGGCCTCCAAGTGGTCCGCGGACTGGGGAAGTCACAGCCCCATCCACCCCATCTTCTCCTATCGGGTACCCACTCTAACCATGCCCCGTACCCATGGCCCCTCTGCTCGGCCATCTCAGGAGGCCAGTGACCCCTGGCAGGCTGGCACTGGAAGTCTGGTGGGTGACGTCACGTCCCCCTGGGCTGAGTTAGCACACTGCTCGCTCTGAACCTGGAGGGGCACCCGCACTGGAGAGCTGCCCCACGTGTGGGAGCAAGGCACTGCTGTCCAGGGAGTATGGCCTCCACCGCCTCTGTGGCTGTCTCCCAGCCACCTGTCTTTCTCCAGCTCTCCTCTCCCTGAGATCCTGCCAGGCTCAGGTCTTGTCCCACAGCCCCAACACCTGGGGACCCTCTGCCAGCCCCTGGCCCAGTCGTGGCTGGCACCTTCACCCATGGTGCTGAGGACAGGCAGAGGAGCCGAGGGCGGGCGGAGGAGCTGAGGGCGGGCGGAGGAGCGGGCTGTTTCTTCCAGGGTCTTTGCTTTCTCACTCCTCCCTCCCTTGCTTGCATTTGCTTTGCTTTTCTGGCTGAGAGACCCTCTCCCAATCCCCTGGCCTCAGCGGAACCTCCTGGGGGTGGGGGCACATGTAGGGGAGGGACAAGGAAGCAGGTTATGGAGCTCTGGAAGCCTCAGGAGGCCTTGGGCAGTCCCCAGAAGGGGCAGCAGGACAGCTGTCTGGTCCTGTGGAGGGAAGGGACGTGGGGAAGGAGTTTCCTGCAGCCAGTGTCTGCTGGGCAATGCTGCCCTCCAGTGGCACAGCCGTCCTGACCAGATCCCTGAAGCAGGTGCCAAGAGCCTCTACAGTGGCTCCTCCCCGCCTTCCTCCTCCCTCCTCCCAGAGGGCACTGCAGGAGAGGGTCCTGGGCCTGACTTTTAGAGAATTCCCCCCTGAAAATTATGTATCACCAATAAAACTGGTAAAGGAAACGGGGGGTAAGATGAGGCACAGATTAAAAGTTCACAAATATCCCAGCTTCTAAAGGAGGGCAGGCGAACCTGCAGGGCGGGACCCTGCAGAAACTAAGCCAGGAGACCAGAGGCCCTCCGTGCCACGCCAGCTCCACGTGCTCACTCATCTCTGCCACAGCCACTTGGGCCCTGGGCTGTCGGGTGTCCAGGACTGTTGGAGGGGTGGGTGTGGATGTTCCTGTCCACCCTGTGCGCTATCTGTAGGATGGTGGGATTCCTGGTGTGGGGAGTGGACATAGCAGGTCTCTACTGGTGGGCCCTGGCATGGGTGGGGCCTTGTGCGACCCTGCACAGTGTTGCCAGCCCCTCTCTACAGACAAAGAAATGGAAATTTGTCCAAGGTCACCAGCTCCCAGACGGGAGTCTCTTCTCTTCCTGCCCTCGCTATCAGCAGGGCCTGGCCACACCCTCCTCCCTGTCAAGAGCTCAAGATCCCCTGTGACAGCTGCCTCCAGGGTGAAGAGCACCAGCTGGGACAGCCTCACCAAAGTGCGGCCCCCGTCCTGCCCTCAGGTGTTAATCGGCTGATCCTTCTTGCCTCCTTGGGCCTGGGAGTCCACTGCAGCCAGATTCGGGGCAGGGCTCTGGTTCCTATCAGGAGGCGGGGCCGGGCCCTCCTTGTATGAGAACAAGTGAGGCCGCTGCCATCGCCTGGCGGCCAGGGAAACTGAGGCACAGCCAGAGCTGCAGCATCCCCGAAGCCTCCTCGTGTGACTCAGCCACATAAGGGAGCTGAATTCAAACCAGGCCAGGGCCCTGCCTGCAGCTCCATTCCCTTCACGACCCACTGCCTCGCCAGCACCTTAACTCTGAGGAGGGCCCCAAGGGCCTGAGGTCTCCCTGTGTTCTCGAAGAAGCTTTTCAAAATCTTAAAAAAAGAGAAAATTATTTTAACAAAAAGCCAACAGGCCTGATCTGAGATATAATCGGATCTCCCCGTGGCTCCTTCCTGGCAGCCCTGGGGGAGCATGGTGGGAACTGGTTTCCTTGGGGAAGTGACCCGGAGGCAGAAAGCAACAGCCCTGGACCTTGAGAAGAGCCTGCTAGGTGGGAGGTGGGAGCGAAACATCAGGAAAGGTCACAGACAGAGGCAGCAGCTTCCTGCAGGGAGGGTACGGGACTCCAGGGAGACAGCCCCGGGCTTCTCAGCAGATAGCTGCCCGCCCAAATGCAGACAGTGAAGATGCTTGTGGCCCTTCCCCCGGGGCTGTAAGCCCAAAGAACCACCTGCAAAACCAACACCCTGAATCACGCGGGCCCACGAGGGTCCCCTCTAATGGTGCCCAAAGCCGCAGCTGCCCACCTGCCCCGGTCGGCGTTACCTCGCATTTGCCCCGGAGGCCCGTCTCCTGCAGGCGGGACCAGATGCTCTGGATCCTCCCGGCGTGCTCGGGGTGGCTGCTGCTACTCCCGCAGGTGCACTGGTGCTTCAGCATCAGCGTGTCATACACGAGGCCTGGGGCGGGGCAGAGGGGCCAAGATCAGCGCACATCCAGGGGCGAGCCGACCACCCACTGGCAGGCTGCCCCCGGGTGGTGGCGGAACCACCACTTCCCTAGAAGGAGACGGAAGCTGGGACGGTTCTTTAGAAAAATACCACGTTTGCCAAGACTCCTTGACTGGCCAGGCCCAGAGAACGTGGACGAATGCAGAGGCCAGGCGGGTGGGAGGGCCTGCCTGTCACTCATGCTCACAGTAACGCCCCAGGACCCAGGCAGGGACGTGCGCAGCTGCCCTGCTGCAGCAGGCTGAGGAGAAAACAGTGATGAGGAGGTCTGCCCTGGGTGGCTGGACCTTGCAGGGGTGAGCTCTATGTGGGACTTGTGCTGGGGAGGACGGTGCTGACTTCTAGAAGGAGGCGACTCTAGCCCCCTACCCTCAAAGTCTGCCTGGTCCTGGACCAATAGTAACTCCAGTTCTGCTGGACGGAGAACTGTCCAAGGTACTTGAGATTCCAAAGAAACACCAGATTCGAGCTCTGCCTTTAGAAACTTCCAGAGGGACTGGAACACATATGCTAGAAAACACACGCAAAACCCATGTACACAGGTCTACTTAACCTCTGACTGTGAAAAGAGGCCAGCCATGTGCTCACCACAGCACTGAGCTCAGCATGGACGGGCCCCCAGGGTGCGGCAGCCACAGAAGAGGCTCCTGGTGGGGGCCCCAGAACCAACTGGGCCGGCAGCCTGGGGCTCTGCAGCAGGAAAGGCAATGTGCCTGAACCCGTGTTGGATGCCACCCTGTCTCAGTCAGCATACGTGGGACCGCTGTGAAGGGGAGAGTATCTGACCTGTCTGCAGAGGCTAGAGATGCGAGGGAAGGCCAGGTGGCCCTCCGGGGCACAGCTCTGCCCCGGCCCCTTCTCACCAGGCCTTGGCCCCTGGTGACACCTGGCAGGAGGGCTGCCCCGAGGCCCTGCCGGGACATGTCTGTGCTGCACACACCTGGTCTTCCAGGACTTAACAAAGGGAAGGCCAGGCTGGGTGAACAGACGCCTTCCGCAGGCAGGTCACTGGCCAGGGGCACCTGTGCTAATGTGGGTTCATCCAGGCTGATAAGGGCGGGGCGCACGGTGAAGAGCCTGGGCAAGCTGCCCAGACAGACCTGCTCTATTGCTTCAGTGTGCTGGCCCAGGATGCGGCCCTCCCCACTTGTGTTCCTATTACTGGGAACACAGGCAGCATCCCCAGCCAAGGGGAGCTGAGATTCAAGGTGGTCCAGTGTTTGCAGGGTCCAGCTACAGGATACACTTGGTGCATATTAGTTCCCATACTTCCTGGCTCAGCCTCTTGTGAGTCAGGCTAACAGGAGTCAGTCTCCTGCACTTGAGGAATTCTGGAGGTACTTGCACAACAGTGCTGTGGGATGGGACTTCTGGTAAAAAAAAAAAAAAAGCATCAGGGTAGGTGCAGGCTTACAGGAGTCAATGAAACTAGGACTCACAATCAGTACACTGTGTGTGGGCATGGCTGTGCTTGGGAGTTTGTAATGGCAACACAGACACATAGGCAATGACGGACACTGCCCCGTGAAATACGTAAGTGTGTGTGCAGAAACAACCAGTTGCTCACGGATACAAGGAATGGGGACTGCCCCTACAGTGGAATCATCATGATAAGGTCACGTGCGCTAATATTTACTAAGCACACGGCTGGAACTTACGAGGCAGACACCTGCTTTACTGCCTTTACAGACAGAAAAGCTGGAGCGTAGAGAGATGGAGAAGCGGCAAAGCCCACACAGCTGAGGGTGGCAGAGCCAGCCAGGAGACCACGTGGCTAAAGGAACGCACTGCGTCGCTGTGCACGGACACGGGAAGATGGCTGAGAGTGTGAGGTACTAACAGAAAGCATCAGACACAACAGAGTCCCGTCTCTGTGAAACAAATTATGTTTGTGTCTATCTGTCCATCTGGCTATGCACAGAAATAGATCTGGAAGGTTTAAAGCAAATACTAACAACCTGCCACCACTGGGGAGTGGCATTACGGGCAAACGGCATTTCCTGTGGGTTTCTATCATGTTTTTCTTTACAATGAACATGTACTGTTTTATAAATTTGTTTAAAAAGTAATCAAGACAAACTAAGAAAGGACACCAACGAAGCGGGACTCCCTGCAAGTCTCCTGGGACCAGCCAGGGTGGGCCAGCTTAGTGGGAGGATTCTCCTTGGTGGCGGTGACTGGGGTCTCCCTTGTCTGAGCTGCATTCTTTCAAGAACACACTTATTGCAGTCAGCTGCCCAGGACTTGTGGAGTGGGTCATCTGGCTGCTCCTGTGACCTTCCATGGTTTTCTTTCTGAGAAGCAGCATTTTACTTGCTGGATACCTACTCTGGAAATTTGTCTCTGAATATGAATAGCATCCTTCTAAGACCTGAGAGTGAGAACCTCGCAGACTGCAGAACACTAAGCCACGTGATGAGAATCATCTGAAGAATGAAGCCGTGCTGTATTTACAGAACATTTTTCTTAGTGCGTCATTAACAAGAAATATTAGATCATAACAACATGAAGAGCGCTCCTGCCTCTGTGCTTGTCTCAGAGGCAAGCCCTGCCAGAAGCCAGCCCTCCTTCCCTCCTCTCCCCTGCAGGGGTGGCTGGGTGGCGGGGCGGCCCAGGACAGCAGTCTCCTCCCCGGCTCTGGCTAGCTCCAGGCAGACAAGTCCAGGGCCCGGCCCCTCCTGCCTCCTCAGCCGTGGTGGACGCCTTACTTGCCTCCTTCTTGTGAGGGAAAACCAAGGACCCCTGCTGGCAGATCGCCTCCCCGGGGTGAGGATGGTATGAGGGATGGCACAGACAGAGGACGTGTGGCTCCCACAGCGTGTCCCAGGGGTCCCGGGCTCTGCTCTCGTGTAATCACAGCCCCCCGCCAGCCATTCACAGCCCTGTCACTGGAGCCTCAGCGTCAACGCTGTGGACGTGGGCGAAGTGTGAGGGAGTAAGCGGAGAAGCGTGGGCTCATGATTCCTGAGCCGGACCAGAAGCTGTAGGTTCTCATGGCCCCACGGGCATGGGCTGTGGACTGTTCTTGGAGGAGACCATGGGTCTCTGGGACAGGAAAGTGGGCAAGTGAGCCCGTGACAGGTCCCCAGCATGACAGAACTGAAGGTGTGGGGTGTAGGGCGGGGAGAGGGCCTCTGTGACAGACCTGTGTGGTCCCCACCATCCAGCGTGGCCCTCGTGCCTGCCCAGCCCCTCCTCAGCCTCTGCAGAGCTGGGCCGGGAAGAGCCCCCCGCGCTGTGCCCACTGTGGCCCGCGTTGCACCCTCAGGCTGCACAAAGGCCACGTGTTACCTGTCGTGAACCTCGGCTTGGTGGGGGGCTCCTGCACAGACACGGGGAAGGTGGCAGACGCGGGTGAGGACTGCGCCCGGGACAGAGGCCTGTGGCCGCCGAAGGACACGGGGATGCCGGCGGCCTCCATGGACGCCTGGTAGTTCCTCAGCTGGTGGATCCGCTGCTGCTCCAGCAGGAGGGCTTGCTGCGGGGAAGAAACGGCCGTGTTGGCGGTTGCGGATGTCTCCCGCCCCTGGGCTGCAGGGCTAGGGGTTGCCCTCTCTTGCAAGTCTCCCGTCCACGCACAGGCCATACATGGGCCACAAGGATGCCGGGAGGCCAGCTGCGTGGAGAGGCCTTCCCTGTGAGTGCCCTGAAGCCTGAGTGGGCCCAGAGCCAAGAACGAGGCCAGCACAGGCTCTGCCTCCCAGGACGGTCTCTCTAGGGAAGGCAGGCTGTCCACGTGGGATCCTGCCATGGGTTACGTTAACAGGATAACACAGGTTGAGTCAGGGGGTCCCAGGGAGGCCTGGCCCAGTATGGGGTATCAAGGAGGGCTTCTCTGAGGAGGTGCTGAGCCAGGAGCAGCCTGGAGCAGGTGCAGGGGAGTAGGGCCTGGCAGGTGTGGAGAGAAGCTCTTGCTGGGGCGGCAGCCTGGCCCTCGCTGGTTTCACTGGGGGATATGCGAAGGCCATGTAGATGTGGGGACCACAGCGTCCACTCTGCCATACCACACACATACGGTGAGTGGGCACGAAGCCCAACCCCCTTGTTGGGTTTGTGGGTCTTAGTTCTGACCAACAGCATTGAATCTGCATGCCAAACTTGGGCGAGAAAGCACCATCGGCTCTCAGACTTGAAAGTGCCAACTGGGCTTCATCTGCAGCCGCTCCCCTCCCTGGTCTCACATCCCACACACCCTCGTGCAGGCTAAAAGCAGTAACAGCCCATCAGCTTCTGGGCACCCAGGACCTTTGGGGCCTAGAGCAGGCCTGCTGGTGGGGATGTGCCTCTCTGATGAGATGGAGCTGGGCTGGGCTCTGTGTGTGGGGGGGGCACTCAGCCAGGGGCCTGGGACACCCTGAGGGATTCTGGGAACAGGCTGAGGTGCAAACCCCCATACGAGGCAGAGTGGAGTGGAGGGAGCAGGGCAGAGATGAGGTCACAGCTGCCAAGCCTCTCCCCAGACAGCAGCTGAGGGAGAGCACAGCAACCTGCCACCCAGGCCGAGGCACAAAGAAAGCCGGGCGCCTCCTTGCTGGGAGCTCTGCGCCAATCCTGTCTTAGTTTTGATGAACAAATCCTGTGAACATGGAAAACCAGGTACCTACATCCCAGCTCCTGTATGAAGGCAGAGCCCAGCCCTGTGCTGCCAGCACTGGGGGAAACCAGAGCTACCCGGCCAGGCTCCGATCTGTCCTGCCTTTAGGAATCAGGCTGGGCGTGGTGGCTCATGCCTGTAATCCCAGCACTTGGGGAGGCTGAGGCGGGTGGATCACCTGAGGTAAGGAGTTCGAGACCAGCCTGGCCAAAATGGTGAAACCCCATCTCTCCAAAAAAACAAACAAACAAAACAAACAAACAAACAAAAAATTAGCCAGGCGTGATGGTGGGTGCCTGTAATCCCAGCTACTTGGGAGGCTGAGGCAGAATAATTGCTTGAGCCCAGGAGGCGGAGGCTGTAGTGAGCTGAGATGGCACCACTGCACTCTAGCCTGGGCAACAGAGTGAGACTCTGTCTCACACACACACACACAAAAGGAATCAGAGCCAGGAGGGAGCAGAGAAGAAGGAAGCCCTGAGACAGTGGGAGGAGCTGCAGCAGGAGCTGGAGCAGGAGCCAGCACCCACAGGCCCCCAGTCTGCTGCTGACCAAATTCAGCTGGGATTGCCGTGGGCCCCACGCGGTTAAGTGGTTAATAAGCAATCCTCCCCGACGCGGGCTGGAGGTGCCCCGCCTTATGTTTACCTCGGCAAATTGCTCCGTGTACTACGACGTTTCCCTGATAAGGGGTTCTGCCTATTACTCTCCAGAGAGAACAGAAAATAAGTGTTTCTAATAATCATCTCATGCTTGGAATATAACAAGCCTCTTTTTCTCAAAGTAAAGGCTGATCTATGAGAAACTAGCCCTAAAAATTATTAATGTAAATAGTTTCCCATTTCTTATCAGCCTAATAATAGCACACTGAATTTCAGATCTTCATCAACTTACAAGGCCCGACCACAGGAAGAGGCCCCCACCCTGGGCCTGTCGGACAGGACCTGTGGACGAGTGTTCACCATGAAGCACCGTGTGTGTGCCAGAGAGGCCCGGGGCTTTCTCTCTCTGTCTTTGCCAAGCGTTAGTTCTGCTGGGCTTTGTAGTGTTTAGTGCCCGGGGTGCTAATTAAGAAGGCCCAGAAATTAGAGACAGGCCCCCCTCTGAACAAGAAGGAGAAATAGCACCCAATGCCAGCCACTGGGGGAAGCTCGGTGGAGAAGGGCTCCTGACCCAGAAGCCTCTGGAGACCACTGAGCACTGATCCCGTGTGTGGCAGGCTTGGGTCTAGGTGCTCCAGGTACAAGGCCCCACACTGATTCATTCAGTGGCAAGCATTTAAGAACTGTAGCTGAGAATTAAGGGGAACAGTTTACTGCAGGGCGTCCTGCTCCTGGCTTCCAAGGTGCTGCTGGGGGTGGAGATGCAGCGTCTGGCCACACAGCTGGCAGTCAGGAAGCTGGGGAGGTGCTCAACGGCACGGCCGGCATGGAGTCCAGAGAGAAGGGAGGGAACGAGCCAGTGGCTCCTGCAGCCGAGGCAGCAGCTCTGCTGCTGGAGGATAGAATCAAATCCTACAGAGCTGTGGTTCCTCGGACTGGCTTCCTGCCTACAGGGAGGAAGCCACTTTCCTGAGGGCACTCTAGCTGCAGATACGGGGCTCCAGCTGGCTGCCCAAATGCCTTAGGTATTTCTGCTGACTCAGAAGTTTAATGTTTCAATGGAAATTAACCAGTCATTCACTGGCCTTCTTCATCAGTCTCCTGTGAGTTTGGTTACTGGGTGTCAGTGCCCTGAAGCCTTACTGGCTCTGGGTGCCACAATCGCACCCGTCTGTCTGGATCTGCAGGGCTGCTCATTAGCACCTCTGGGTCACAAAAGGTCTTGACTTCTGATCAGGCCCTGCCTGCCTTTTTGATCAATTAATACCTCTAGTTCCTTCACTTCTTTAAAAAGCATGCTGTATCTCACTAACACATGGATTCTGTGTTCATTTACAGCCTACAGACAGGAAGGAAATCCATTCTCTGGGGCCTGCGCATGGCTGGAAAGCAGTTACGTAACCACCCACAGGGGGCAAACATCTCGTATCCCTAGGAACGGCTGGGACAAAATGGAAGCCACATCAACCTCCCTCACTGGCCAGGACAAGACAGGTGAGACACTGGACAGTGACCGCGCAAGGATGCCCTGCAGCCCCCGTGATCACCACAGAAGATGCCACCTGGGGACCGAGGGTGGCTGTGCGTGCCAGCCTTCTGGTGCCCTCCCCGCCTGCGGTCACCTGTCTGAAGAGCAGCTCCTGCTCACTGGGCTGGCGCTGGCCCGGCTCCACCTCCCGTGGGGGCTCTGCCTCTTCCTCATCGCTCTCAATGGGCTCCTGCTTCACCTGCACGCCGGCCTGTGCGTGCGCCTCCTTCTGCCCCGGCAGCCGGTCCAGGTAGGGCTCGTCCAGCAGAGCCTGGTGCTCACGGAGCTCCTCCTCCGTCTCCTCCGGGTGGCTCTCCGGCTGCCGGGCTGGCTCGCTTGGCTTGGGGATGATCTGCAAGGCGGAGGTAACACATGAAGCACAGAGAGCTGGGTCCTCTGAGCTCATCTGACAGGAGAAGGGATGCTGCAAACCCCACCCTCTGGGGCAGACAATCAGGGACTCAGGGCACCTTATCACCCTGCCACAGGCCAGCAGGCACCTTTATCTCCCAACAGGCACTGGGGTGCCTGAGTGCCTAAGAAAATAATGCCCAGTAGGACCCCAGCCCAGGGTCAAGGTGACCTGGCCCAGGGAAGGAGGCTGACTAACATTTGGGGTTTACTAAGCACCTCTTCTGTGTCAGGCACCGAGAAACAGAAAAGAAGCTGCAGGTGTCAACAGAGTCTGCAGAGGAGAGCTTGAGTGTGAAGGGGAGAGGCCAATGCTGACCTCACAGCCACAACTGCTAAGAGAAACAGCCCACCACCCACTCAGCGGAAGACAACCACGTCCACAATGCTCACTGCCCAATCCCACCAACACGCCACGGCCTCCCCTCCTGCAGGATCCCACCGATGTGCCATGACCTCCCTCCTGCCGGATCCTGGGAACACTCCAGGACCTCCCTTCCTGCTGAATCCCAGGGATGCCACGGCCTCCCCTTCTGCAGGATCTCAGGGACACCATGACCTCCTTTCTTGCAGGATTCCATGGGTGCTCCATGACCTGCCCCGCTATGGGGCCCCAAGAACCGCAACATCCTCCCTCCTGTGGGACTCCCTAGATGCCCCCGACCTCTTTTCCTGTTGGATCTCACGGACGCTTCTCGGTCTCCCTCCCCGGCCTCTCAGTGCGGAACAGGCGGCAGGTGCTCCTCTCCTGCTCCCCGCCTGCTCCTCCGTCTTGGTTTGTCCTGGGCCTGCTCCTCGGCTCATTTCCCCATTCTGGATTCCAAGTATCAGCGACTCCCAAAGGTGGTGCTGAGCCCAAACTCGCTCTTTACCTCCAGACCTAATGGCCTGCCAGACGCCTCAGCTTAGCCTAGAGTGCCCATGAGCCCCAGCACAGCAGGTCCAATGCCGAACGCAGGGCAGCTTCTTCCAAGCCTCTCCCTTCTCTAGGACCTGTTCTTGGCTATTGGGACCTCTCTCTGGCCAGCTGTCCAGTCACACCCCAAGCTCCCAATTCTGTCCGCCAAGCACTGCCCATGCATTGCTCACGAGAAACGCCTCTGGACGGTGCTGCTTCTCTCCAGCCTCGACCTCCTGCCTTTCCTGCTTTGCCCCACCTGGCCTCTCCTGCCTGGATGACAGCATGGCTCCTGGGAGGCCCCCACCTCCAGCGTCAACGCTTTGCAATCTTCTTCATGTAGCAGTGAGGGCACGCTTTCAAACGGGCCAGTGGACCTGGTCACTCCCCTGCTGAATGTCCCCCAAGTGCTCTTCTGCCATCCTGCCTCTGCTGAAGAGCCCCTCCATCGTGTGGCCATGTTGCCCCTGCAGCCTCCCTGCCACCCTGCTCCCGACCACGCCGCTGGCTCTGCATCCCTCATGCCACACTCGCCTCCAGCCCGCTGCTTGCCTTCCTTCCTCGGCCTCCAGCCACTCCAAGAGGCTTTGTGAGCCTCCCGTGCATGTCACCTTTTCCAGGGTCAGCTGATCTTCCTGATAGGGCAATGTGCCCTCCTCCAGCACCCCCCGACCCCAGTCCTCTGGCTTTTCTGTGGTTGCCATTCATGTATCCATCTTTCCTGCAGTCTGCAGTTCCCAGGAGGGTAGGGACCACTTCTGACTCATCCACGTGGCACAGGCATTGCTCATCGCACATTCACTAAAAGGATGGGGCAAATGCAAGGGGTGTCCGCGTAGTGGGGCAAAGTGGAACAGGGTGTATGGCTGACCTCAATGCGCTCTGGGAGCTGTGGGAAGCCAGCAGGGCTGCAGCGTGGAAGGCCAGAGAACAGGAACACAGGGTGCCGGAGACGAGGTGGGGCTGTGGGAAGGGCACTCTGGGCTGAAAACAAGCAGGTGCACGTTCTAGAAGCATGCCCTGCTGCAGACAGGCCAGAGGTTGAAAGGGTGAGGCCAGCCCCACGTCTGGCTAAGGCATGGGAGAAAGAACAGGTTTCCATGACACCAAAAAGGAAGCAGCTCTAGGCCCAGGGACAGACTGCATATGGAGAGGCAAGAGAGGGTGGCCAGGACAACTCCTTCGTTTTGGGCAATGGAGCTGCCCCATCACATCTGGGAGCCAGAAAAGGGATGAATGTGAGCAGAGCAAAGGCTGGAGTTGAGAACAAGAGGGGAGAGAGGGATGCGGGAAGTGGCAAAAAAAAAAAAAAAAAAAAAAGCTCAGGAGAGAGGGCGGGGGTCTGGAGTTAGACTAGGAAGGGCGCACAGGGAGTTTCTCAGAAGAAGGCACTGACTGAGCTGCATTCCTCTGCAGACTGTGAAAGAACGTCCCACAATCCCAAAGTCCCAGATCGAGGGGTCTCTCCGGATGCTCGATTCATCTGTCCCCGTGGGGAACGGCCTGAAGGGCAGATTCGAGGGACGGTGGGACAAGCCGAGTTCCTGGCAGAGAGAGGAGCTACAGCGCGTGGAGGATGGATCTCGGCACCGCATCCGACTGTTTCCAGAAGGAAACTGAGGTGTGCAAGGAAGACTGACACCTGAAATCCCCCGAGCCCTTGCATTTCAACACCCTTAGAGCACTGCATGCTGCTCCACACTCACGCGAGGCGGCCTCTCCAGCAGCCTGAACTACGGGGCACGGGTTGGTGGGCACTCAGTGTCCGCTTGCTCCCAGGGGTCAGCCGTATCAGACGACACCGGTCCCCACGCAGCAGGGCTGAGACGCAGACTCACACACACACAACATGGTGAGTTTTCAGCCTCCAGAGCCCTGCTGTGCCTCACTGTGGAACATCAGAGACTTCAGATTGGGCGGGGGGTTTGTTTTATGATTGATCATCCCTTAACTTTCTTTCTAAGAGCAGTTTAAAGTACGGCAGTAAAAGCCGAGTGAAGAAAACGCAGATCCATTGTTTATCTCTAAACCGAAGGCAGCTTTTCTTCAGAAAAGCTTTCAACCTGGCACAGGGAAATGGAGCCAGGTCCAGCCGGGTGCAGGCAGCGTGGGTGTCGGGGCGGGCCGGCCATCGGCAGTGTGGGAACCAGTAGGCGGCGTGGCACGTAAGGAACTCAGCTTCAGAAAGCCAAACTCGCAGGGAGGAGAGTGCAGCGGTGGGTGGCCGCGCGTCGGGAACAGGAACGTGCTGTCCACGGGTGAGCGTGCCGTTGGGAGAGGAATAAGTTCCGGGACCTGATGCACAGTTTGGTGGCCCCGATATTCACGGACCTTACCACAGACACAATGAGAGCCCCGTGAGGCCAAGGGGGCATGGATGAGGTCCCTTGTGGCGATCATTTCACAACGCATACAAGTATCAAATCATCACGCCGTACGCTGTAAATACATGCGACTGTTTCCGGTTAGACTTTCACAAAGCCGGGGAGAAACAAGTTCAACTAAGGAATCTAGCAACATTGTCCCCATTTGCTCTGACAGGTTTCTCAGTGGTTGACCAAAAAAAGCATGTGTTTCAACACTAGTTTCACTTGATGATTTTGAGGTCTGTGATTGCTTCTGGTTTCTCAGTCCCATCTTCTTCCTGCACACTGAGAGCCTGAGAGGCCCTGTGGGGGGCAGGGAGAACAGGGAGCCTGGCGGTACCGCTGTCGCTGTGAGCAGGGGTGCCAGGTGCAGCAGGGGCGCCGGGTGAAGCAGCGCTGTTTCACAGGGGACCTCGAAGATGGCATCCAAGTCTTGGCTTTCAGGACACTCATCAAGAGGGCACCCATACGCTCAGTTCCTGCAGCTCCCCCAGGGCCCGGTGCAGTCTGATGTGTAACGGGATGTGACTGACTGAGTGGTGTATGGGAGGTTTCTTGAGAGCGGGGCCCTTATCACTCGGTGCACCGGAGGGAGAGCAAAGAACAAAGAATCTGAAAGCAGAACAATTCCCTAAGAAGGTGGCACAGAGCGCTGAGGACAATGCCCTGGATGAGGAGCAGGAGGGATTCGGGAGGAGGGAGAGCAGCAGCCAGGACGGGCCTTCAGGAAGCAAGAATGTCCTGGAGGCTGCAGGTGTGGAAGGAAAAGCAACAGGCTAAGGATGAGGAGACAGGGCTCAGACCACAGGCTGAGGACATGGGGACAGGAGCTCAGGGCTAAGGGTGCGGGGACCAGAGCTCAGGGCTGAGGGCGCGGGGACCAGAGCTCAGAGCTGAGGGTGTGGGGACCAGAGCTAAGGGCTGAGGGCGCGGGAACTGGAGCTAAGGGGAACGGAGCTCAGGGCTGAGAACGCAGAGATGGGAGCTCAGAGCTCAGGGCTGAGGGTGCGGGGACCAGACCTAAGGGCTGAGGACACGGAGATGGGAGCTCAGGGCTGAGGAGGTGTTCAGGGCCTCAGAGGGCTCCTCACAATGTGGGCTTTGCTCATCAGTGGATGGGCAGGAGAGGCTGCGGGTCTCTCCGAGGGGTGCATGGTCCTGCCTGTGCCACAGGAAGGTGCTAATGAGTCAGCGCGAGGGCAGGGGAATGCCTGCAGAGAAGCGACTGCACAGAGGCAGCAGGGCCGGGCAGAGGCTGGCACAGAGGCTGGGTCCAGCGGCAGTGGGGACCACCCGTGGACAGGAGAGTGAGCAGGAGGCACCAGGACTCCTGGCCAAGTGCCAGAGAAGGCAGTGGGGACCACCCGTGGACAGGAGAGTGAGCAGGAGGCACCAGGACTCCTGGCCAAGTGCCAGAGAAGGGCCACCACAGAGGAGGTGCTGGCCCCGGGACGGGGAGGTGGGTAGAGGGCAGCTCAGAGAGGCTGAATCCCAGCATCCGGTGGGGCCCTGAGAAATCCAGCAAGAAAGTGCAGATTCGAGTCTGGGATTTGGGAGACAGATCAGAACTGGAGCAGTACGCAGGTGGAATAAAGTCAAAGCTGGGAGCACAGAGGAGCTACGCAGAGCTGGGGAGCTGAAGAAACAGGGATGAGGCCTCAGGGACCAGTGGTAGGGTGTCGGGAAGCAGGGAGGCCACAGAGGCTCACATACAGATACATACACACACAGATACATATACCCGCAGAGGCACACACAGACGCACACAGACACACACACACAGACACAGACAGATGCACAAATAGACAGACATGCAGATACATATACACATGAAGAGACAGATACACAGATACACAAATACACATAGGCACAGGCACACAGAGACAAGGAGAGGAGACCAGAGGGCCAGCAGAAGGGTGGGTACAATGCCAGGAAAGGGCAAGGGGAGAAGGAGGAAGGTGGGGGAGGGAAATGGGGGGGCGGGGAAGGGAAATAGGGGGAGGGGTGGGGGAGGAAGGCTAGGACCTTAGAGGGGACCCTGTGGGGCTGCCCCATCCCAGCAATGACCGAAGTGGTGTGCCTGCCTTTCTTTAGCAGCCCAGGGGCCATTCTGAAGTGGATAAAAGTGATGGAGGGCAGCAACCCCATAGAGGACACAGAGGCAGGTCCCTTCTCTAGGGTGGGGTGGAGGACAAGGCAGCTGAGGGTGGAGGGGAGGGGTTCCTGCAGCAAATGGCCACTCCCAGGAAGCCAGGCTGATCGAGGAAAAGGGTTTGTCTGTTTGCCTTTTAAAGGAGACGGCCCAGGGAGGACTCGGTGGACACAGAAGCTCCAAGACTTTTCTTCTGATGCTTTCCTTTAAATTTCTTTTTTTTTTTTTTTGAGACAGGGTCTTGCTCTGTTGCCCAGGCTGGAGTGCAGTCATGCATTAGGCAGTCCTCCCACCTCAGCCTCCTGAGTAGCTGGGGAGTACAAGCATGCACCACCTTGCCTGGCTAATTTTTGTAGAGACGGGATTTCACCAGGTTGCCCAGGCTGGTCTCGAACTCTTGAGCCAAAACGATCCACCCACCTTGGCCTCCCAGAGTGCTGGGATTACAGGTGTGAGCCACCATGCCCAGCTTTAAATTTCAAACTTAAAGAAAAACTTCAAGAACTCTGTAAGAAAATCTCAAACGTCCTTCCCCTATGCACAGATGAATGGCGGTGGAGGTAGTGGGGGTCATAGCGGGGGTCAGCCTCTCTTCCTGGGGGGCTGTTTCAGGGGCCCCAAGGCCACTGCAACCTGCCTGCCTGAGGCTTTCGGCAGCCGCGTCTACCGTGCTGTGCATCAGGAGACCTCCCCACTGTTCCAAGGGCTCTTGGATGGCCCTTCCCCGGCTGGCTGCGGATGGCGTGTGCTGCCAGGGGCCGCATCTCTTTAGTGTCCTTTAGTGACAACATTCCCAGGTCTTTTTCCTCCCTTTCACGAGGATGAAGCCTCTGAAGTGTCCCCCGCTGCCGCACGCCCCTCGGCCTGGAGGAGGGATCATCTCCACACCGTGGGCCTCCGGCGAGGGCTCTCAGGCAGGGCCTGAGGAGGATGTCACTTTGGCAGTGGTGCCACGTCAGAGCCCTCTGTGACGCAGGCCAGGCCCCTTGCCTTGGCACTGACGCAGGCGCCTGTGGGTCACCTCCCTGGGCCATGGCTGCAAACAAAGCCTGCTTCTCTCTCTCTCTCTCCTTTGACATTCAGTTCTGAGTCTCACTGGCTGGGCTGTGGGCTGGGGCTGCACTGCAGAGCTGGCTTTGGGAGGTGAGCCGGACGCGGGCAAACAATTGAAGCAGCTCTGTGCAGCCCGAAGGCCTTGGGGACACTGAGAGCCCCTTTCATCAATTCAGGAAGAACAAATGCACCTCCATATTTGGAATAATTACATTTTTAAAAAGTCAGGCTGGAGTTCACGGCCAAAACCGAACTGGTAAACTGCCAGTATTTTAAAACAATCGGACACACTCGTAATTAGACCACCCAAAATATGAGTCCAAGTTTTCATATTCAAAACCGAGGATGTCAAGTTAAAGGGAAACACACCCGAGGCCCTCCGCTCTGCAGGAGGCAGGTTCTTGTGCAGAGTCCAGAAACCATGGGAAGAACCACCTTGAGAAGCAAGGCTTCTTGCTGTAGGGGTGGAGGACACCTTCCAACGAACGTCCTCTTTTAATAGAAAGAGGTATTTCGCCTGGACACACATCACCCACTGCTCGCAAACCAGACATAACTGAGGCCAAGTCCGGACGTGGCCAGCGAACACGGAGGGCCAGTTTCACCTGCAGAGTTCCAAGGTCCACTCGCCCTCTGATGGTGTGCGTTCTCCAGAAAGTTCCTTCATGCAGCAAACCCTTATAAACACCACTGCATACAAGGCACGGGCAACAGAAGCTGACACAGTTGGAAAACATCTGCCACCATCCCGACCACAGGCTGGGGAGAGGAGAGCAGAGCCAGCTCGGGGTCGATCCTGTCCACCTGGTGGAGTTTTCTCAGCCAAAAGGGGCAGCTCTGCAGGCTGCAGGCCTCGGGAAAACTAGAGTGGCTACATATGGCTGCAGGGAACACCAGGGCTAGGCACGGGCCGCCTCTCTTTCTTTTTTATTCACAGTGATGTTTCCAAAACAACTGCCCTCTAAGGTACAGGCTGAAGGAGGGGCAGACCAAGCCGGCCCCAGCTGCAACCCCAATGTAGGCTGGAGCAGCGCAGTGGGACAGGAGGGTTCACAGCTGCCAGAGCTGGGCAGATGCCCTCAGGGAACAAGCCCCTGGGGACGTCATCCTCCAAGAGGAAGGGCCGGGACGTCAGTGTTAGGCGGCCCTGGGCAAGATTCTTGTCTTCCTGGGCATCCTGGGAAAACACTGTCTAAACGTTTCAATCAACTGTCATTCACTCCCGTAAATCAATCAGAGAACAAACTCCAGTGAGAGTACCCGGTTTCTAAATCCTTCAAGAGTATACGGCATGTGAATAGGTGTTTCCTGTCTTCCTCAAACCTCCTACCCCATCACTCAGATAATGACATAATAAAATTAACAAACCTAAGTTGGCATTAGGAAGACGGATGTGAAAGTGCTTTTGACACCTGGGAGTAAAGATGCCTGGCAGGCGCCCGACACGCCCACAGCCTGTGCCCTTCCCGTCCCAATGAGGGGATTTGCTGGGTGCCCCATCCATTTCTGATGCGTTCCCTGCTGTCCGCTGATGAGGGCTTGGGGGTGGAGGGGCATGTGGGGTGGGGGTGGTGAGCCTATTTTGTGGTGTCCAGTGGGCAGCAGGGGCCAGGCTGTGGCCTGTGCTGGGCATCTGGTCTGACGTGGCTGCCACCCTGGAGCAAGGCCCCAAGGGGCCCATCTCCTCAATCCTGAGCCTGCAGCCCCATGATGGCTCACACACTAGGATGGATTTGGGCCACAGCCGGCTGCCATCTCCCAGGGGCCTTCCCCGACTCAGCCCCACTGGACCGGACACCACGCAATCAAAGCCTTTGACCACTGCGCCAGGGCTGAGCTGACTCCTCTTCTGGGCTGGAACTGTGGGGCTTGAGAGAAGGAAATTGGGACCAGGCAGGCAGGAGGGGCTAATGGTATCAGGAGGTCAGGGCTGCGGGAAGAGGCAGCAGTGTTGGTGGTGTAGGGGTCTCTCCCCACGGCTTTACCTCTGCTCTTGCTGGGATCCTGGTATTTCACTTTCCAACTCCTGTCTACGTGTGCTAGGAAAGTCTATCTCCTCCCCAGTCCTAACCCCAATTTTTCACCCTCAGGAAAACCACAGAAGACCCTGAGCCTCCGGACAGGTGGACAACCCAGGACCGGTCCTGAAATCCAGGGAAGCAACGGGGGTGGGGTGGAGTGAGGGGGGCACTTTCACAGGAGAGACAATAAACGGAGAAATGATTCCGTCTGTCGCCAAATCTGCCAAAGGTTTCTCCACGTTCCCCTCCCATCAACTCATCCTCTTTCTTCCTTGTAACAGCTTTACTGGGATATAATTCACATACCATCCAATTCACGCTTTTAAATGATATCATTTGTTGTTTTTAGTATATTTACAGAGCTGTGCAGTCATCACCATATCTAATTTTGGAATATTTTCACCATCCCTAAGAAGAGGCGCTGTTCCCCAGAAATGCTCCCCATCTGCCCGCAGCAGCCCAGGCCTGGCTCCCACGAGTCTGTGTCCTGTCTCTGTGAGTCTGTCTGTTGGGGACGTTTTATGTGCATGAAATCATACCACACGCGGCCTCTCGTGCCTGGCATCCTGCTTCCAAGGCTTCCCGTGCTGCCGCTTGTCAGTGTCATTCCACTTTATGGCTGAATGACATTCCGGCGTGTGGCCACGTTATATGACATTCCGGCGTGCCGGCGTGTGGCCGTGCGTCATTCCACGTTATATGACATTCCAGTGTGCCGGCATGTGGCCGCACGTCATTCCACGTTATATGACATTCCGGCGTGCCGGCATGTGGCCGCACATCATTCCACGTTATATGACATTCCGGTGTGCCGGCGTGTGGCCGCGTTATATGACATTCCATGTTATGTGACATTCTGGTGTGCTGGCGTGTGGCTGCGTTATATGACATTCCATGTTATGTGACATTCTGGTGTGCTGGCGTGTGGCCGCGTTATATGACATTCCACGTTATGTGACATTCCGGTGTGCTGGCGTGCGGCCGCGTTATATGACATTCTGGTGTGCTGGCGTGTGGCCGCGTTATATGACATTCCATGTTATGTGACATTCCGGTGTGCTGGCGTGTGGCTGCGTTATATGACATTCCACGTTATGTGACATTCTGGTGTGCTGGCGTGTGGCCGCGTTATATGACATTCCATGTTATGTGACATTCCGGTGTGCCGGCGTGTGGCCGCGCATCACAGGATGGACACCTGGGCTGTTCCCATGTAATGTGGCTATCACGACTGATACGGTTATTACGACTGATACGGTTTGGATCTGTGTCCCTGCCCACATCTCCTGCTGAAGCCTAGCCCCCAATACTGGAGGTGGGACCTGGCAGGAGGTGGCTGGATCATGTGGGTGGATTTGGCATGAACGGCTGAACACCGTCTGTTGGTGCTGTCCTCACTGTAATGAGTGGGTTCTGGTGAGGTCTGGTCGGTTAGAAGTGTGTGGCCCCTCTCCCCACCCCTTGCTCCTGCTCTTGCCAAGTGATGTGCCCGCTCCCCCTTCGCCTACCACAGTTGAATGTTTCCTCGAGGACTCCCCAGAAGCAGAGGCCAACACCACGCTTCCTCTACAGCCTGCAGAACCAGAAGCCAATCAGACCTCTTTTCTTATGAATCACGCAGTCTGAGGTATTTCTCTACAGCAGTGCAGGAATGGCCTGAAACAGGGACTCAGGTTGCTGTGAATGCCTGAGTGAGTTTACGTGTAGATGTGTGCTTTCATCTCTGGCCGCAGAGCTGTGGGGCCATGTGGTGGCTGTGTCCAACCTTTTGAGGAACTGCTGGACTATGTTCATAGCAGCTCATCTCATCTCTTACCTTAAAGATGCTCTATGTCAAATGCCAGCATTTGATCAACACGTAATCAGCATGTTAGTTTTCCTCTTCACGAGCATCACAGTGCTAGCCTTGCCTACTACCTCCTCCTGAAAATGGACTTATCTGAGTGACTTTCAAGATGTCTGTAGGTTATGCAGACCTCTGTGGGCTGGCCGGGGCCCAGAACCAGCTCTGACAGTGTCCCTTCGACTTCCTGCTGGAGTTCTGCACCTGTACAACTGCACCCGGGCCCCCCGGCCCTGTACGCTGCTTACCCTGTACGCTGCTCATGCACTCAGGCAGGCTGCAAGTGCCGGATGGCCTGGGAGATGGGCACTGTGGGTTGCTAGTTTATTTAAAGGTATGTTTACTAAATGGCCTTAGGAAACCCAAGAAAAAAGTGTTGCCCAAGTAGACTATTCCATTCGCTGGCACTGATGCACCACAGGCAGGACGTGGTCCAGTGGAACTCACATGGGCTGGTGGGAGAGGGCACTGGTCCAACGGAACTCACACGGGCTGGTGGGAGAGGGCACTGGCCCTGCGCGTCCCACTCCCTGCAGGTGAACTGTTCCTGAGCCCAAGCTCCCAGCAGCATCCCTTCTGCCCCTGCCCCTGCCCAGCTCTGTGCTGTGGGCCAGAGCATGTGCCTCCTCGGTTCCCTCTTTCTGCCTCCTGGCCTCCCTTAAGGTCAGAAAGGGGCCAGTGCTGAAGCCTGAGGCTGAAGCGCACAGCACACAGCCGCCCTGGGGCCTGGGAGCGCTGAGCCGGCAAACCCACCTTGTTCATCTGCAGTTGCTGCTGCTGGAACTGCTGCTTGTGTTTCTCCAGAAACTGCTGATGCTGCTGCTGGATGACCAGGTGCTGCAGAGCCTGGGCGTTCTGGGGCAGCGGGGCCGACTGGGTCCGCCCCAGTGGGCGGTGCTGCCGCAGCTTGTGGATGGAGGGGGACACCCGGTCTGCACCAACCAAGGACTGTGCGTGGAGGGGCAGTGCTCCCAGGCCTGAAAGATACCAGTCTGAAGATAATTGGAGGAAGAAACAGCAGAGGGGAAGAGGAAGAAGAGAGGAGGGAGAGAGGGCTATTGAGTAAGTGATGGAGACAACTGCGCCCTGTGCCCGCCAGCCCAGGCGTTCTGCCCTGGTGCCCCAGAGCTGGCTCGCTAACTGGGCCCCTTCCAGCTGAGGCTGGGGGCCGTGAGCTGGTGCTTTGGGACTATAGGAACCATAATTTGGAGGCAATTTTCTATGAAAATCAGGTCGACACAGGAAACGTCAGGAGTCCTGTGTGGCAGGTTTCAAAGAGCAAGCCCTTCCCCAGAGTGGCTACCACACAATTGTTCCTGGGGGCCACAGGCCCTAGAAAAGTGGGTTTTGGTCTGAACAGCACGGTGGGAGGGGAGAGAGGGCCACCAGTGTGCTGAGGAAGGCTGCCACGGTTCTGGGAGCCTCCACATATTTCCAAAGACAGCCTGAGTTGTGAGAAAAACAATTGTCCTTAGGGTTGACATCGTTTTAAGGTCTCTTCGAGCACTGATTTTATGCACAAAGATGGCGTAAACATTTTAAAAAGTCCTTATGCATATTGTCAAAACCCCTTTCTGAAAAGATCTGGCTAATCCCTGCCAGCGAGTGGAGGATGCCCACTTCACCAACCCTGTATGTTTTGATTAAAAGAATCCATTTTGATAGATGATCTTGCTTTAATTGGCATCTGTATCTTGATTTACAATGCAACCTAGTGAAGTACATTTTTTCCTTCTGCATGCGTTCATCGAGATATATATAAATTGTTGGTTTAGGTCGTTTAACATTTTTCCATGGTTTTGTGGGCAAAAGGATCTAACGAACCCTCTGTCCTGCTCTGTGAATATCTGTTCCTCTGGTAACCTGAGTGGGGTAAACACTAAACTAAACAATGCTGCTCAGGATAAAAATGACCCTGACCCGCTCAAGGGCATCTGACCGGGTGAAATGACAAAGGAAGTAACCACACCAGCTCTTGGAGGCCCTGGTGGGGGACTCTTTGGAACTCGGCATCCGCCTGAGGCAGCCTGCTGTTCCTGCTGCCAGGCGGGGCTACATGCCTGCTGCAAGGGCTACGGGACCTCCAGGGATACCAAGGTGGCCCTGCCGGCAAGTGGCAGCTCCTGTCCTGTCCCTCCCCCAGGACACTGATGCCAGGGCTCGCAGGGCAGCTGGGTGTGTCATCAGGTTTAGTGGAGTCCAAGCCTCCCAGTGAGAGCCATGCTGCTTAGTGCTTCTCAAGTCCCTTTGCAGGGGCTATTTCTAAATTTAAGAAATACTACGTGATATGCAAACACAAAGGACACATCCAGACAGACTAAACCCAGCAAGACCCCAGCAAGGCTGCTCTTCACTACCTTTTCAAAAGTTATTCACTAGTGTTCTCTAAACCACCATCCCTTTTCACCCAACCCCACAACTTTCCGGAAAGACATGTTATCTTAAATTTTATCATCAATGCTTGGCTATTAAATTACAGTGAATAACTAAAAATCCATTCAGAATCATTCCCTGAAAACGTAAAAAAAGAAAAAGGTAAACCATCCTAAAGAAGGCATTTCAGGCTGGGCGCGGTGGTGGCTGTAATCCTAGCACTTTGAGAGGCCGAGGTGGGTGGATCACCTGAGGTCAGACTGGCCAACATGGCAAAACCCCGTCTCTACTAAAAATACAAAAATCAGCCATGTATGGTGGCACATGCCTGTAATCGCAGCTACTCAGGAGGCTGAGGCAGAAGAATTGCTTGAACCTGGGAGGCAAGGTTGCAGTGAGCCCAGATAATGCCACTGCACTTCAGCCTGGGCGACAAACGAGACTCTGTCTCAAAAAAAAAATAAAAAAAAGAAGGCATTTCAGAATTTTTCAATTGTTGACGTGTGTATTACGTGGGATTGAACTACTTCACGGAGGAAATAAGGAAGTCAGTCACACAAAGCTGCTTTCAGGGGACGCAAAGGCTACGTAGTTGCTGGAAAGGTCTCTCCTCGGAAAGCAATGGGAACCTGAAATACATTTTCCTTAGCGTTGTTTTCCCCCAAAGCCTCAGTGTGCACACCATTCAGGGGTGGAGGCGGTGATGAGCTGCACAGTCCCCTGCCCAGGCCTGACCCTCTGCAGAGGAGAAGGACACGCCAACTTCATAGGATTCAGCTTCCTGGTGTGACACACGGTAAGGAACAAGCGACTCGAGCCAGCGGTGTGAGTGGGGGCTACACAGCGCTCCCAGGCTCCTTCTGGTCCAGGGCTCTGCCTCCCGCCATCCTCCGCATGGGCCCAGGAATTTCCCAGGCCACCAGCTTCACACGGGGACACAAGCCTACGCCCCATTGGAACAGGGCTTCATTTTCAGAACTGGTGTGAGCAGAGACCCCTGTGCAGACCGGCCCTGTTCCTTTTCCAGTTGCACTCCCCACGGACCAGCCCCTCACTCTCTCTCAGCCTATCTCGCCCACTCAGAATTTCACTCTGCTGCCTCCAGGGTGCAAAACCCAGGGCCGCCATACACAGGGACACCCTACCCCTGGGTATCCTTGAAAAGCAGCGCCCTGACCTCTGCATAGCAATGCTATTTGCTGGCAGGGTGGTTTCCAATTTGGATCCCTGAGATCATTAACAAGAGCTTCTGATGACAGACCATGATGTGGTCTTCAGGATATGCTGTCAGGGACTTTTGAGCATAAGTCCATCAGGACACAATTCTGTGGTCGGTGACCCAGCTGCAGGGGCTGGCTGTGTGGTGCTGGGCGGGGTGTGGGGCAGAGCCTGGCTCCTGTGGTCCCAGTGGCCCCCTGCTCTGGGCTCCTCCCCTGGGCATCTTAGCCAGGGTTTTTCCAGCTTCTGCTCTTTCTGCCCTGAGCACTGGCAGAAGCCCTTCCCTGTGCCCAGTGCAAGGGCAACAGCTGACCCTGGCTCCTGAGCTGACCCTGGCTCCTGGTGCTGGACGGCTGTGTCCCTATGGCTGCCGGCTCCTGCTCCTCCTGGAGGCACTTGGGGCTGGGCCTGAACTGTGCTCAGTGGCCAGCTCCCCTGGAAGTCCATACTCTAACACACAATCACAATAATTGCAATGACAGTTCCCGAGTGAGCATGCTGGAATGCACCCAGCCATCCAGGGTCTAAGTTTAGAACACCCTGCTCAGCAATACCCAAACTAATTAGTGAGTGTGCAAATGCATCACTTAGACACACCCCACCAGGTATGGGGATTTAAGAAAAAAGAAGGTGAAAGACTGGATTGCTCTCAAGTTCCGGACCCAGTTTTGAAGAGCGGGTCTGCACACACTGGGATTCTGTTTAGGTGATGAATTCACATGAGATGAACAATTCAGGGTGCCTGAGTCCTTAGAAGTCCATCTGGTGTATTCCATTGCTTTTTCTGCAAAATTCTTTAAAATCCTTCCATTGAGAAGCAAACCAGGCAAGAGTTAGATCCAACTCACAGTTTGCAATCCCGGCCGCCCAAGGGAACAATGTGGGTGCTCTGGATTCGCTTGGACCAATCAGCATCTGTTTGAGCTTCTGGGGATGGAGCTGAGGCCAGGCCAGGGCTGAGGACCACAGCCTCGCGTGCCAATTATAGGACATGAACCACGGCCAGCTGTGCTCAAGCCCTTCCTGGGACTCGCTGTTTTTTGGGGAAATGAGGCCTAAACAGTAGCATGCCATCGCTAACACAGAAGCCAGGGGCACCCTCCACTCAGCATGTGACAGCGGGACAGTGGGTCTCCACTGCCAGCTCAGGAAGGCTACGTAGCCTTAAGACGCTGGTGGCATGCTCTGTTTCAGGATGCTAGAAAGATCTGTGACAGGGCCACCTCCACGAGGCATACACATCTCCCTCCACCTGTCCTTAAGACGCTGGTGGCATGCTCTGTTTCAGGATGCTAGAAAGATCTGTGACAGGGCCACCTCCACGAGGCATACACATCTCCCTCCACCTGTGCCCTTCCCTCTCCGCCTGCAAGCTCCTACTGAGATCTCAGCTCCGACGCCACTGCTCCGGGAAGCCTTCCCTAGGCCCACCTGCGGCACAGCCCTGGTCTCCAGCCTTCTCCTCCACATGCCTGTACTACCAAGCTCCTCCTGGGTCTTGGGGGGCCCTGTCTCTCGGGTCCTGACAGCAGATTGCATGGTTCTCAAAGTCCTGCTTCTCAGCCACACGGGCATCATAAAGGACTTAGCTGGGCTGTCCAGGCAACAATCATGCCCACAGTTTTGCGTCCAACTAAAGCAGCAGCACAGGGCTCTGCACAGACACTTTCCTTCTTACCCGGGAATGGGCTCCTGAGCTCCACTCCCCGCCTCAGCTAGTTATGCGGAGACTAATCTCCGAGGATGTACCAGACACTCTGCAAAGATCTGAGTCCACAGTGACCACGTGCGGAGTGCCGCACTGGAGCAGCACATGAACAGGGACATAGAAGAGGCACGCCCAGCCTGTGACTGGCGAGGAACTGCCCGGAGCGGTGCGGAAAGGGGCTGACTGGAGGTATGTGGCGTGTAGGAGGCAGCTCTGGGAGACCCTGGACCATGGCTCACCCCTCTGGTCTCTGACAGTGACCTCACCCACAGAGGCCTCTGTTTCAAAGCATTTGTGGCTGGAGGGCTGTTCTAGCTTTGATATCCTATACACCTATGCACCACGATTACCAGCGATAAGGTGGGTCTGTCTGTGGGCCAGGAAAACACAGGCACTGCTGTCCAGGAGACCAACTCAAGCAAGAGTTCGTCAAAAACTGCAGGAAAGGGCAGAACATGGAAACGAAGATGCAGTGTGATCCAGGGAAGGAGCAACAAGGCAGGGCTGGGGCAGGGATGGAAGCCTGGGATGAGGGGGCAGACGAACCACACCTGATGGGGAAAAGGGCCCTGGGAAAGAGCCCTGGCTCTGGGGGCTGGCTGCGGTCTGGTCCAGCATTGAGCCGGCTGGCCTGGCTGCTGTACCGGACTAGGGAAGAGAAACGAGGCTTCTAGAGGAAGGCTGGAGTTCCTGCTCACAAGCTGGGACTTCACTCCAGGCCAGTGCCGCCCTGCCAGGACCTTCTGTGACAATGAGAACATTCAGGGGACAGCCGTGGGCCGTGCACTGGATGTGGTGCACATGTGACTGAGAAACTGAATTCTAATTCTGACTTATTTATTTAACAGCTCCCCGTGGCTGGTGGCTCCTGACCTGGCCAGTACTGCTCTAGACAGCGTGGGGGCCTCCAGGCCTTCAAGGAGAGTCCGGTGGATACAGGAGGACAGACCGGAGGGGAGGAACCTGCACAGGAGGCTTCTTCCCACAAGAAGATGGGGCAATCCCAGCGGGTTCCAAATGAGGGCCCTGCTCATGGCGGGGCTGGGGGAGGGCCCCTGAGACACTGAGGACGGACAGGGGCTGGCTGGGGGAGTGAGAGAGCATGGGAGGTGGCAGGTTAAGAACAAGGCAATGACTACAACAATGATGCCAACACCTGCAGGGGCACATGAGTGCACAGCCCACTTAACCCTCATCAGGCTCACGGGGGCGGACCGCTTAGTATCCCCACTTCCTAGATGGGAAAACAAGGCACACAGAGCATAAGCGGCTTCCCAGGGTCATGGAGCAGGAGAAAGCTGGGACAGAGGCGGCTGTGTGGCTGCACTACGCTGCACACGTGACACTGGCTCCGAGGCTCCCTGCCAGGGGGTTTGCAGGATGAGCTGCTGGCAACCTGGGGAGGCTGTGCAGGAGAGAAGGGGCTTGCAGGGTTTTGGAGGTGGCGGCATAGGACTGGAGGGGCTTGCTGGGCACAGGCGTAAAGCAAGGCCAGAGCAAGCTGGGCAACCATGCATGGGCCCCCTGGTGGCACAGAGCCTGGGCAGGGCACGGTGGGCAGGTCCCCATGCCAACGAGCAAGCTGCACCTGGGAGGAAAAGAGGGATGAGCGCACACAGGGAAGAAGCAACGCCGAGTTCAGTGCGTTTCTCAGAGAGGTGAGACCCATGCACACTCGATATCCAGGTTCTATCAAAAAGGCTGTTTTCCAAAAACCTGATACACAAGATTACGCATGCTATTTAATCGTGCAGAATAAACTGATTTAGAGAAGGAAAGAAGATAAGTGACAAACATCTCTGACGAAGTGAATCCCAGGAATCCTGAAGATCAGGCACATTTTACGTTTTTAAAGACAGGCGAGAAACTCAGGTGTCCTTCACTACCCACACTCGTGCCAGCTGATCTAGAGCATCCAAGAGACTCAGACGCAACCTCAGATACATTCCTCCAGAGAGATCCGCGTGCCTGCCACTGTGGCCGCAGCTCAGAGAGGCACTGTGAGGGCTGCCCCCTCCCTCGTTACACCACGGGCTCCTCTGCTCTGGACAGGCAGGGACACGAATTCAAGCTTCTGGAGAAACAAACAGAAAGGGGCTCAGGCACAAAACAAAGATTGCGCCATTTGGCTTCTGGGCAAAGAAGGAATAAGAAGGAATCCTCTCTGTCTAAACAGAGACACATGGGCAGCACAAAACAAGAAAACACCAAAATCCACCAGACTAGTCAAGCCAGAGGCCCAAGCCCACCCAAGCCAGCCCCTAGCCCCACGCATCCTGCAGCGCAGCCTCCTACAACACGCCAAGCCCCTGAGTTTTCACCAAGTTCACTGCCAGAGTTTCACAGGTGCAGCTCTGAGGGTATTTCAGCTTTCAATTGGCAACAACAGGTTTCCAGGAAGCCAAACACAAAGCTATGAAGATGTACAACGATGACCCGCACGGCAAGGGGGTAGGTAGCTGCTCCCTCATTTATTTATTTTTGAGACGGAGTCTCGCTCTGTTGCCCAGGCTGGAGTGCAGTGCCACCATCTCGGGTCACTATAACCTCTGCCTTCCAATTTCAAGCAATTCTCCTGCCTCAGCCTCCCAAGTAGCTGGGATTACAGGTGTGCGCCACCACGCCCAGCTAATTTTTGTATTTTTAGTAGAGACGGGGTTTCACCATGTTAGTCAGGCTGGTCTTGAACTCCTGACCTCACGTGATCCGCCTGCCTCGGCCTCCCAAACTGCTGGGATTACAGGTGTCAGTCACCGTGTCCGGCCGGTGTGCCCTCATTTCTGAAGTGACACTTTCACATTGCTGTTGCTATGTAATTTCATAAGGACGTTCCCATTTTCCTCTAAATTGTATTTTTCTAAATGTAACCACTCCCCCAGACAGTGCACATTTGTAAAAGTTCGCTAACACAAACTGACCACAAGAGTCGGTTCTGGGCTTCCAGCGCTGGCTCAGCTTGGTCCAGACAGAAACCCAAATCGCAAGAGCCGGTGGCCTCTCCCAAAAGGTGAGAAAGGGGAAGTGACTTCTGTTTCCACTCCATCTACCTGACTCTGGGAGTGAGGCATGGATTTTCACTGCAGTCACGGTGGCTACATCACGTGATGGGGATGTGTGTTTGGGAACTGTGGGGGTGGGACAGGCGTGCATTCCTGTCTCCTCCAAAGGCAGGCGAAGGCGGGGCACCATCCAGAGCGTGGGCAGCCTCAGAGCCTGGCTGCACCCAGGCCCATTTGTGCTCACCTGTGACGAGGGGTGCTTGTGCCGGCGGCTGCTCCAGTAAGACCATGTGCTGCAGAAGAGGGCTGTGCGCTGCCCCTCCGTCCCGCTCCAAGGGCGAGGTGCTCAGGTAGGGAGTGAGGTGGGTGCCGGGGAAAAGGGAGAGCCTCTGCTGGAGGGCGGGAAGGGTGAGTCTCTCGGCGTCCTGCTGGCCCGCCGTGCCCTGGAAAGCACAGCCAGGATGCTCGGGTGGAAGGACCCATCACCACCACCCCACACCACACGGACCCACGGGGGCTGACTTACCGCAGAGGGGCCGGTGGCAGGCAGGCCCAGCGTGATGTTGGGCAAGGATGGCGATGTGTAGAGGGGAAGTGGAGCGGCCGAGCCTTCTCGTGCCACAAGTCTGTGCGCCAAACTCGTCTGGGGACAGAACACACGATGACCATCACAGTCTGTCACGGCCAAACATCAGCAATATACACCAAGAAAAACAACGATGAAAACACCTGCACTGAATTCTGATATATGAGCGTAAACGTACATGTAACAAATGAGACAGCAATGAGAGCATGAGATTTCAACACGTGCCACAACATGAAAGCACAATTCACCACTCCAGTTTCCTCCTCCCGATACGAGTTCTTCTTCTGTCACCTTGTCCAGCATCATCTCGTTGATTTCTATTCAGTTTGATTATTTACCACAGAACAGTTAGAAGGAAATCTAGGCTAATATAGTTTACAATGCCGTTTTGCAGTTTCTAGGATAATATAGTTTACAATGCTTTTTTGTAGTTGGCAATGTCTTTCCAGACATAACATCAAAGGCAGAAAACAAAAAGGAAATAACATTTAACTGTACATTTAAAAATAACTATAAGGGTATGATTGGATTGTTTGTTACACAAAGGATAAGCACCGGAGAGGATGGACATCCCACACTTCGCATGACGTGATTATTACAAATTGCATGCCTGTATCAAAACATCTCATGTACCCCACAAATATATACATTATGTACCCACAAAAATTAAAAATAAAGAGAAAATCATAAAACAACTGCCTCTACGAAAGGTGGGCAATGATGACAATACTGGCCATGTATGAGGCAGACGAGGGTCAGCACAGAGAGCTTGCAAATCAAACAACTAACAGTGAGAAAAGCACGCGGTGAGGACCAGTGACGGCAGAGCTCAGGAAGGGGAAGGCGCTCAGGAAAACACATCATGGTCATCAAAAAAGGTATTCTGAAACCCAACAAATTGGCAAACACTTTTGAAACATGGTAATACCATCTTGGCCTAGAGGAACGGCGAACACTGTTGGGTGAATCACAAATCAGTTAGTGGCACCCTTTCTGCAGGACAATTTGGCAATCTATGTCAAAGGCCTTCAAAATCTGTCTAACCTTTGATGCTGGAGCTCCACTCTTGGGATGTAACGTTAAGAAATAAGGAGATGGCCTGATGCCCATGAAGCCTCCGCTGCAGGGCCGAGCACCCAGCAGGCATGGCAGAGCTATGCGGCTTCCCCGACACCTTGGTGTTAACAGAACGGAGGGGCATTGCACACCGGGATGCTCTGGGGGTTGGGAACGATCTAGCTGATTACTTGGACACTTGTTTATGATACATTAAGTTAGAAAAACAGGTTATAGATCATGTACCTTTTAAAGAATGGGCTTGGATAAAGCAAACACAAGCCAGGAGTAAAGATTAGAAGGCCACACAGGAAGAGTCAGCAGCAACAGTCTCCAAGGACTTGAACTACTGTGATATTTAACATCTTTTTGCTTGTAGAATGAACGTGTTTTGCTAAAAAGGACAATAGTTTATCACCACTATATCCCCTACACAGTAGCTACTCAAGGAATGTCTGCTGAATGAATGGGCAAACAAAGAGAAGGAATAAAATGTTGTTGTAATCATGCTAGTTAGTGGGGTTTGGCAGATAGAAATCCCCTTGCCAGAAGCTAACGTTAATAATGAATAGATAACAGATTTCATTATACTCTCTACCTCCATGACAGCAACGTTTTTAGCTCCCCCAGATGAATGAGAAAATGCCATGTTTGTCTTTCTGTGCCTGGCTTAGTTCACTTAACATGAGGGCCTCTAGTTCCATCTATGTTGCTGCAAATGTCAGGGTTCTATCCTTTTTGATGGCTGCATGGTATTCCACTGTGTACAGCACCACATTTTCTCTGTCTATTCATCCACTGAAGGACACTGAGGTTGATTCGACCTCTTGGCTATTGTGAAAGATCCATGGCTAAGACCTCAAAAGCACAGGCAACAAAAACGAAAACAGGCAACTGGGACTCTGCTCAACTAAAAAGCTTCTGCACAGCAAAGGAAGAGAATCACCAGAGTGAAGAGACGACCTGTGGGAAGGGGAAACATGTGCAAGCCATTCATCCGACAAGGGAGCAGTATCCAGAACATGCGGGAACTCCAGCAACTCACCAGCAAAACCTGAAGCAGCCAGTATAAAAGTGGGCCAAGGATCTGAAGAGACATTTCCCCAAAGACATATGACTGGCCATTGGGGATAGGAAGAAACGCTTCTCCTGACAAACACTTACACTCAGGCTGTTCCTACAGAACAGAAAGCCCGGCCTTCTCACTTAGGAGCAAACTCACGGCGCACCTCGCCCCAGAGGAAACCCTGCAACTCCCTTTAGATTTGCTCACATATTACATTGTGTAAGGAATGATTAAAGGGCTACTGAGGAAAACATTTTTCCTAGGCAATTTTTTTTTTGTCAAAAGTTAAAGAATTATCAGTAAGTTATGCTGTAGAGGAAATGCTTGTGTTATCATTTGGGAACAAAATAAGGAGACGTTCTAATGTTTGCAAAGTTTTCATTTCCTTTGTAAGCAAGGTTTTTTTTAAGCCCATTTCTGGAACTAAAGGAGGCTTCTGAGAATTTGTTCCTTGGAGATGCCGACTGGTCCACCTGAGAAATCGCAGGGCGTTCTGGCATCTGCTGCCTCGGGGCCGAGCCCTGCGGGAGGCATTCTGAGGCTGGCGCCCCCGGACCGCATCTCAGCATGTGCTCAGAGGGAAAGTCCGCGGGCCTGAGGTCAGAGCATCCAGGCACGCGTGTAAATAACAGCAGCAGCGGCCACAGAGGAGCTGTCCCCTTACGCACCTGGGCGACTTCCTCTCACTCTCTGAGCCCTGCCTCCTCCCTGTAGAGGAGGTGCCGGCACACTGGGCTTCCCTGGCCTGTAGAGGAGGAGGTGCCGGCACTCTGGGCCTCCCTGGCACTGTAGAGGAGGAGGTGCCCGGCACACTGGGCTTCCCTGGGTCCAGGGGGCCTTCAAGGTACAGTAGTGTTTCTAGGGACCCCAGGGTGAACAGAAAAGGCAGTGCTGAGAGCCAGGCTGGGAGGCCCCTGCTCCCCCCACATCCTCATCCACTCGAGACACCCCCTCTGACGGGCAAGCTCACTACACTCTGCACCACGTGAGAACGGAGAGCCAGCCCCTGGCCATGAAGCACAGGTGTTCTCACAGACCCGTCCAACTCTAGAGATACTGAAACCCAGAAAGGGCGCCTGGGTGTGATCCAACATGCAAAGGCTGCCCGTGCCCACTCTAATGAACATCTGATGTGGAACATGAACAATGGCACCTCTTGGTATTTCCTGTAACTCCTTCTACATGTTCTATTAATTTCCAGTAGCTTCATTTACGTATCGTGATTTCTAAAAATTAACACAGAACTGGAATGATGCAGACCCACCCAAACAAGGCACTGTTCCAATATTAACTACCATGTACATAAGTGCCTCATTTTAAATAAAAACATGTATCTAGGACCACAATCAACAAGATGCAACCAGTGTTAACCTCAGGGCAGGAAGTAATTTCTAGGTTGCATTATAAGGCTTATTACTGGTAGACCTCAGCTATGACCACAGCCATACAGAGGACTGTTAAAACTTCTAATCATCTAAATAAGTACTGAAGTTGGCAGGCTGAAGAAGACAGGTAATAAAAGAAATCGATGTATGAAGTAGAAAGAGTAAGAGAAATTGGGGATTAAGCAGCCTGGAGACAAAGGGCAAAATTCGTTCTGAGCAGTAATTCTAGTCTCTAAAAATGTTTATACATAAACGGTCTTGAAATTTGAAATGAAAATGCTAAACACTCATGCCTCTGTATCCCAGCTAAGATTTGCCAATCCTTTGGAAGGGCAGGATTCATTTCTAAATATTTAAGAAGGAAAGTCAATAACTATATTTAATAAATTATAGCCTTCTGTAAGTTGGAGAGAATTCAGAAAGAACCTCCCACTCAGTAGAACTCTGCCCCATGAAGCAGACACAGCATTTCCAGCTCAACTCATCAGAAAACTCACTGCTAAAGCGTACCCCTCCCACCCCTGCCCTGCAGTCAGGCCCACCCAGGCCCAGGGCACCACTCAGCCTGCGGGACTGCCTCTCTCTGCCTCTCTCTTCTTCCCCGTGCTCTGGGGGTGGCCTCTCCTTGTCAGTGGGGCATTGTGTGGAGTGTGGGGCAGGTCCTTGCTGCCTGCCTGGTTCTGTCCCTGGGCCTGGCACAAGGCGCTCGGGACACGTGTGGGATAAAGGCAGGGGGCGCAAAGGAGCTCAAGGAACACGGAGCGAGGTCCTCGGACCTGCTGCCCTGGAAAGCCTCCGAGTATGGTCAGTGTGCGACTCGGCCAGCCTGGGCGCCACTCCTCCCTGCCTTGCCACTCAGCTCCTGCGTCTCTGACATCTTTCCCACCTAGGGACTCCAAGCGTCCCCTGACTCCTCTCTAGCTTGCCAATGTCCCTCCCAGACTGTGGCACCACTTGGGGTCTGATGAAGGCAGGGGACCAGGGGTGCTGAGCTCTGCGGTCTGAGATGCCTGGTTCCCGTGATGCCTGGAAAAGTTCCCCGCTCTGTGGCTTTGGCCGGCCCTGCCATGCTGACCACGGGTGACGCTCCAGTCGGCCCTGACACATAGTTTGTTGGCCGACATCGTGTTGTGTATTTCTCAATACAAAATAAAAAATGTTAAGTCTCACTTAGCAACTATACCCACGTGCCCACGGCCTCTCAGCCACCCTCAGAGCACTGGCGACCACAGCGAGCTGGGCAGCAGGGATCCTGTCCACCTAGAGCACCTGCCATGCGTGGGCTTGTGCTGGGACACCATCTAGTGACATCTGCTCTGGAAGAGGTCAGGAGAAAGGACCAGGCTCAGGGCTGTCCCCGACGTGCCTGGAACTAGCGTGTTCATAATGAAAGGAGATGTCTGTGATGAGAGGAAGGCAGGAGAGTAACCTCCAACTGCGTCCTTTTTAGGATGGCTCACAGGCCACTTTCCCTCACCCCAAATTGGAAGGTGAAGAGTGAAGGGCAAGTGCAAAGTGGGGTCATTTCAAGCTCATCCGTCCCGAGTCCGACTCTAGCCGTAGGACACAGGACAAACGCTTCGCACTGACCTCCGCCGGGATGCTGGGGACGGCGGGCGCGATACCGTTCTCCGCGCTGACGCTCCCGGAGCTGTTGTTGGGTGAGCTGGGTCCGGAGCCTGGGGCGCTGCTGCACGCGGAGTCTGCGGAGGCAGAAATACCCTGGTGAGTGTTACTCCATGCGGAGGGAGGGCCGTGCTGACCTGTGGCCCGAATGCCCGGTGCCTTCCACGGACCTGCTCGTTAGCTTGCGACAGGCAGAAGTCCCAACAAAAAGAACATGGCCATGGTTTCAAAAAAGAAAGTATGATGCTGATTTCTGATTTTCCAGTTTTGCCACTGACTTCACTTTTTCTAGGACATGTACGTTACCAATTTTATACCTCGTTTGATTTTCAAGACAATTTTAAACACCAAAAAGATAAATCCTTAAACACTTATTAGTGACCTAACAACAGAAGACCAGAAAATGCAGAAGCTAAGTGACTTTGAAAAGCAAAAGGTCAGCTTTCCTGTGCTCACTATAAAAAGCTTAGTTCAAAATAAAGCAACCTACTATTAGTGTTCACTCTGAGCTGAATCCTCTCATTTTCCCTACATAGCAGCAAGCATCCAGGGGAAAATATAGCCAGTGTCTCCTGAGATCTATCCGTGCTACTGGAAAACACACGCTCGGACAGTCTTAGAGGATCTTTAACCATCGGTGCGGCTTGACCCTGGTTAATGAGACCAGGTTCCGCTCTGACTGAATGTGACTTCCAAAAGGGGCCACGTCCAATCCAAAGATCCCTTCACCTCTGAAGGGGTCTGCTGCTATTTTGGGCACACACATCCACCGTGGGAGGCCGCTGAGGCTCTCGATATTCACACAAGGATTTGTTTGGCTTGTCATATGTTTAGTTTAACGGCATTTTAACAATGGCATCATCTGGTTAAAGCTTTCCAAAGAAAACACAATGTGACCCATTTGCCTCGAGAACTCTAGGCGTCTGCTGTTCAGCAACGACTCTGGGTGCTCAGAACCTCGCCCCAACCTATATGCGCAGCGCATACAGGTCAGAAGGAAGGGACATGGTGGGGGCCCTGGAGGGGAGGTTAAGGGATGTTTTCCCCAAGCAGCCCCTCAACGGAGCCATCCCCAGCAAAGCCTCCTCCACGGTCTGCTTGCTGCCCGCGTCCTCCTGGAGCCCACGAGGACGCAGGTGCCCACTCATGCTGACTCACGTGGTATCCACGCCTGCTGGAGGTGGTGACTCTGCAAATATAGCCCCGAGCCACAGTGAGGAGGATGAGGAGGGTGGGGGAACAGGTAAAGCCACCCACAGCTCCCCCAACCTGGCAGACCTGATTCCAAACTTTGCCTTTATTAGCTCATCCATCTCTCAGTCACTGTTTGAGGAAGGTGCCATTATGACCCCGTTTCCCAGAAGAGGAGATGGAGGCATGGAGCAGCAACATCACTCGTCCCAGGCCACGTGGCTTGAGGGAACTGTCATGGGCGTCTGCATACCAGAGTTAACCCAGCTGGGTGGTGAAGGCGCACCTCCTCTGTTGACCACGCTGCCCACCAGGAACACCCTGGGAACATCTTGCCCTCAACAGCAGGGCAGTCTAAACCTCCCAAGGGCAAACCAGGGTGTCCACCCAGAAGCCCTACACCAGCCGCTCCCCATGGCTCTTGGAGCTCAAAAGAGTGTGGGGTCAGCTCACTGTCCTGGGCATTGAGCATGAATACAGGACTGGGTCCCGACCCTACCCCATCCTCTTTCTTTCCCTGGCCCTCTCACCCTCTCACTTCCACCAGACACTAACTCCAGAGGTAGGCTTCTCCCGCTGCCGAGGCCATGTTATTTGCACTGTGAGTGGGCATTCTGAGAATGCCACCTGGGCTGAGCCAGTGTTTGCATTTCACTCAAGAAAGCAGGACCCGCCTTCTCCAGGCCCCTCCAACTCTCCCATCTCTGCCCCACCTGCAGCCCACCGTAGCCCACCCTAGACCCCTGCTCTCTGATGTCAAGCTGTCTCCAGCTACACACCAAGATCCAGCAGATCTTCCCTGTAATGGGTGCCTCCCAGCTGTGTCGTCAGATAAATACCCTCACGCATGTGCCTGGGGAGTCCGGACAACTTTTTGGGGCGGTAAAAATTATATGTGTAACTTTCCACCCACTTTTAACTCAACGAGGTTAATTTTATTTTTTTGCATTCTACTTCCAGGAATAGGTCTAAGAAAATTCATATAAATGCATAATCTTCATAGTATTACTTAGATCAGCAAAACGGGAACACCATTGGAGGTGCTCAAAAGGCGTGTGGCTGAAATTGAGTGGAGAGGGATGCAGGATGGCGCAGGAAGATGGTGAGAACTCAGCTGTGAGGAAGGCGCAGAACATGGGCTGCGGGAAGGCGTGCAGAGTGAGAGAACTCAGGTGTGAGGAAGGCACAGAACACGGGCTGCGGGAATGTGCAGAGTGAGCAGGATTCACTCTGGACAGAGTGCGTATGGGAATGCATTTTCTTCTTTGTGCTCTACAGTAGACACCCAATTAATTAGTGACTGAGAAAAAGCAGAGTATCCACCTGGCTCTCTTTCTGCCAAGAACCGCGACTGCCTCCACCGCTCCATATGGGACCACCCTGCCTAATACCTGTCTTCTGGAAATCGGCTCCACTCCTCCGTGTGGGACCACCCCGCCTAGAACTCCTAATACCTGTCTTCTGAAAATCAGCTCCACTCAGAGCAGCCTCCCCATCGTGGCAGCTCCCTGGTACCAGTGCCGGCCAGGAGATGCACAACCCTCTGCCTCTCTGCCCCAGCCCCACTCACCCGCCAAGTCCCAGTGCAAATGCCACCTTCTGCAGAGCTCTGCTGGCTTAGAGTGGCTTGTGCTGATCTCCCAACTCCTAGGTGCCTCGGCACGGGCTCCCTTTATGCCACAGCTCAGCACTGATCACGCCCTGCCACGCATGGCTCCTGGGTGAGCTCAGCACTGATCACGCCCTGCCACGCATGGCTCCTGGGTGAGCTCGGCACTGATCATGCCCTGTCACACATGACTCCTGGGTGAGCTTAGCACTGATCAAGCCCTGTCACACATGGCTCCTGGGTGAGCTCAGCATTGATCACGCCCTGTCACACATGACTCCTGGGTGAGCTCAGCACTGATCATGCCCTGTCACACATGACTCCTGGGTGAGCTCAGCACTGATCACGCCCTGCCGCATGGCTCCTGGGTGAGCTCAGCAATGATCGTGCCCTGTCACACATGACTCCTGGGTGAGCTCAGCACTGATCACGCCCTGTGACGCATGGCTCCTGGGTGAGCTCAGCACTGATCAGGCCCTGTCACACATGACTCCTGGGTGAGCTCAGCACTGATCACGCCCTGTCACGCATGGCTCCTGGATGGTCTCACGTGTGATGTGCTGCTTGCTCAAATTACATCACAAGCTCCTTCCAGGGAAGGACTCTGTCTCACTATTTTTGCGCCCAGCCCAGTGCTGACTCAAAAACAGCACTCAGTAGTCACTGGGTGACAACAGGAACACCAGCTTTAACACTCAGAAGAAGCTTGCTGAAGACTCCGTCTCACCCACTGCACACTTTAAAAAAAAAACAACAAAAAAACGCAAAGGTTCACGTGTCCATTAGAGCTGGCCAAGCAAGGCACTGCTCATAGGAAAAAAGGCTGCATTGGAGTTTGAAAGCTTTTAACTCACATGATTCCTCGTTTCAACTGAATCTTCCCCAGTCAGCTAGACTTAGTGAAACTTTAGATCATAACATTTCTTGATGGCTGTAGAAAAGGTCTGTGTGTACTATAATGGCCAGAGGAAAGAAACCTACATCAGAAATGACACATATGGAGTTCCCCTGGGCATGAAGATGTCAGATACTTTTTAATAGAAATCCACAAATATTCAGACCCAGACCCTTACACCGTGGTTAGGAACTCCTCAAGTAGAGAGGGGACAGGGCACGAGAAACAGGCAGGGCCCTGTATTTAGCGGGTAGGTCTGGCTCTCACCTCACTGCTGAAGCAGAGTCCCTGTGTGATGCCAATGCTCGCACACACGGGGCATGGCACCAGGAGCCCCTCCCCGGCTTCCCTAGGTCAACAGCCTGCTCAGTGGAACTGTGCCTTTCACAGACCACCTACCATGAGCCTTGGCCTTCAAGTTGAACACTTTCTGTTGTGCAAACATGTCCGCTGCCTCCCCTCTATCCAGGCCATGCCCAAGCAGCTCCTTTATCCTGGTGCTGTGATTTCAGGAGTGGTGGGGTGAGGGGTGTACCCTGGTGGTGGTTGGGAATGGGTGGTCCTCTGGATGGGGATGTACCCTCAAGAGGGGCGGGTGAGCCTTCAGGATGGGGGTCTGCTCGGTCTTGTCCTTCTGCGTGTCCACCACTAGATGGGGCCAACCGTGACACGTCACTAGGGCCAAGCTGAAGCAACTTCACTCCTTGCTTCCCTCCCTGCTCAGTTGATGGGTGCTCTGGCGTGGGAAGACGTTAAAATGCCCCGGTGGTTCAGACACTGCTCAGGGGCAGCGGAACAGGGCAGAGCATGCGATTCACCACTACTAGGGTGGGACTGGTTAAGACCCACCTTCAGAGGAGCCTCAACTCAAGCTCCTGACTGCATCTCCCGCAGTGCCAAGCTGGGGCACCCTTGTGCACCTCAGCCCACCTAGAACCAGCTCTGAGTCACTAATGCCAGGAGCAGGGCCCGGCTTAGACATGCCGGAGTCATCAAACCTGGTCCCCTGGGCCTGGCACTTCCAGCGCCATGGGAACAGGACCACACTGGGGGTTGACAGCGTGAGGCAGACACGTGGGTTTTCAGAAGCTCCTGAGAGAAATCGCCTATGGCAGGAAGGCCTGGCAGAGAGGGCAGCGGGGCGGGTGTACCTGCTCAGCCGACATACCTGTGACATCCAACGGACGCTTTTTTAGAGCAGTGACCACTGGCCCGTCTTTCCTGCGTAACAGGGGGCTGCTCCGTCTTTCGGCCACTTTCTGCTTTAGCCTGGACCGTAATTTCAGATTCGGTTCAGAAGCTGCACAAAAAGGAGATGTCATTACAGCCAGGCAGACACCACTGGCTCAAGGTTATCCTGTTGGTGGTTTTTTAAAAATACGCACTCTGGTGAGTAAATATTTGCTCAACACTGCTGTGTTGCTGCAGGGGAGAGCGCAGGGAGCTCACGAAGCAGGGGATTCTAAATCCCATTCATCAGTCCCAAATAATGAATAAAACGAATCTGGTGCTTTGGATAAATTTCTGTGGCCACAGCATTATGCAAGCGCTGGCACTGTCTTCACAGAATCAGGCCACCACTGTTTACCAGGAGATGGAAACAGGACTGACAAGCTGATTTACTGGGCGTGGCAGGAGGCTGCTGAGGTGTGAAGTCACTTAATGGCGATGTCTCGTAACTAATGCTCTTCTAGATAATACACCCCTATCTTCATAGCTGTGTTGCTCTAAAATCAGAGAAAGACTGACAGGGATGTGAGGCTGGGCCCAGGGATGTGAGGATGGTGTCCACGTTGCACACTTTCTTGCTCGCCCATGCATCGCCCCAGCTGTGTCAGTCAGTGAGGCCTCCAGAGCGTGAGGCTGCTATCCCCACCCCGACCTGGGGAGGCTCAGCAGAGCCCATCCCAACATCTGCGCCGGCTTCACCTTTCATCTGACCACAGGGTGAAGGTACTGGGCGTGGGTCGGTTTCTGTGAACAGCTCTGCCTGTGTGGACAGAGCCATTTGCGAATCTACACCTTTCAGCCCACCGTGGTCCCCAACTCATCTGCATCTGGAACCCAAACCTCCGGCGCGAGGCCCGCCTTGGGAAGCACTAGGGATCTAAAGGCAGCGACCGGAGTCAAAGAAATCCCCAAACCCACCCGGGAGAGGTTATCGGCTTTCAGAGTCCAGAACAGAGCCAAGAATACCGCCACGGAGACGTGTGTCACACAAGCCTTTGAGTTCTGAGGTTTTACTTGGCTACTTTCAAGATTCTACCACTTGGAGATTTGCACATTAGGGAGATTTTACCTCTTCTTAAAGAATCAGCACTCCTGCTGTTCTTAATCTTTCTGGAACAGGCAGTGCACCGCCTCCAGAGCAACAAGGAATGAGACGGAGTTTCTCCTGGAAGCAGGACTGATGTGGCTGGGCGATGGGGACCAACATGACTTCACTCTTTGGGACGTGCAGACAGCCCAGGACCTTCTCCACTTTGGAAAAGGCTTCGAGTCAGGGACAGTTTTTCTGCAGGTCTTGGAAGGATGTGGGAGAAGCAAGCTCCCTAAAACAGCCTTCCCAGAGAAACCAGAGAGGCGCTGTGAGAAGGTACCAGACTCTAAGCCTCTGCAGGGAGCGAGGCCTCTGTGCTGTGGCACGGGGGACCTGGATGACGACAGATGACGGATTCAGCCACAAGCCGGCCTCTCCACGGGCTACTGACGAGGGCACACTTCTGTGCCTAACACAACCGACCGAGGCAAGCGTAGATTCACAAGCTCCACTTCTATTTCCACGCTGGGTTTCTTGCCATTATTCAAAAGACAAAACAAAACCAAAAAAAACAAGCCAAAAAACCCAACTGATGACTAGGCAAGAAAACAGTACCTCTTCTCTCACCACCAGATCTCCACTGAAACCCACATGGGCTCTGCAGGGATTCCCCGGGCCTGGGACAGGAGCCACTTCTGAGAGGCAGGGGCTGTGTGTGCCCACAGAAGAGCACAGGGTCCCTGGCCCTGTGTGAAAGGTCTTCCTCAGTGGCTGCCCTGCCACATAGAGTGGGACACGTGGCATCGGGAGGCGGGCATGACATGGTCACTCCAGGCTACCATGGACTGGCTGTGGTACTGCAGCCCAGTGCACCGCCTCCCCCAGGCCCTGTGGGGGTCATCACGCTGCCACCAGGTCATCAGTCAGGCGGCAGATCCTCCACAGCCCTGCCGGGCACTCCAGACTCTTTGTGCAAGAGACTCTTGAGGAGAGTCCCATGGTGGCTGCTTCACCCCACCCCTTCCCTCCACTCCCCTCCCCTTCCCTCCTCTCCCCTTCCACAGGCCTCTGCTCCACGCCCCTCCCAAGGCTGCCCTGACCCCCCACAGCCCCACTGCCCCCATCACAGCCCCACTGCCCTGTCTTCCTCACAGCAGCCTTCTCACCATCTGGAATTCTTCTGTCCCCTCACCTGTTTACCCCCTGCCTCCCAGCCTGCACACCTGCCTGGGCTCCCTGATTCTAGCCGACTGCACGTCCCTGGTCGACTCTGCCTGCAGGGTGGCTGCAGCTGACCAGGAGGCTCCAGGACACCATGCCAGCACTGCCAGGGACAGCATGGCATGAGGCTGGGGCCCTCCGCTCGTCCCTGCCCCGTGGGCTATTCAGCACTCTGACTCCCCCGCAGAACCTATCAGACAAGCAGGGTTTTGGATGCGGGGCTCGGGGAGGGGATTGAGCAGCAGCACGTGGACCAGGAGAGAAGGGGGATGCTGGAGACCACCCGGGGCACATGAAGTGGCCTTCCTGGGGAGAACAGAGAAGCCCTAGGGGGCAGAAGGCAGCCGGGGGAGCCGCATACCACGAGGACCGGCTCACTGCCTGCTTTCAGGGTGGCCAGCCTTCCTGCTTCCTGCCCTCCCTCATTACTTCCAGGCCGGGCATCTCATAGATTGACTTAAGACATAGGGACCTACAATATCAGCCCTTCAAATGCATGTGTCTTAAAGCTTGCACAATGCCTGTAACTCCAATAATTCTGCCAAAGGCAGCCAAAGTGGAAGATGCAGGTAAGCCGGCACCTGGTGACTGTGAGGGTCGAGGCTGCACGTGTACTGGCTCAGTGCAGCAGCCCCTTCACCGCCCTCGCGGGCCTTCCACTCATTCCAGGCACGATGTGGCCAGGTGGAGGAACTGCAGAAACTGGATCCCACCCCTAAGAGGGCTGCAGGTACATTGACAGAACCAAAGCATCAGGCCGGAGGCCTCATGGAAGAGTTGCTCCCACCAAGCGTGGGTGAGGGCAGGAAGGATGCCAACTGTACTTCCAAATGCAGTGTCTGCTCCTTAGGGAACAGGGAGCAGGTGGGATTGTTTCTCCTGAAGCCAATCAAGTAAATGACTAATTAAGGCGATACAACATTCCAATCACAACCTTAAAATTCAACGCAGTGCCCAATGCCTAGCAGGTGCCTTCATCCTTCTGCCAGAAGCAATTCTGATGGAGACACAGGCTGGCTCCTCCAACTTAAACATCCTGAGAGTCAGCTGCAGGTGAAGCGGCTCTCAGAGCCGGAACGCTTTAACTCTTAGGGGCCGGGTTTACAGAGGGGACAGGCGTGCACCTGGCACCAGTGTGGAGGGCGGTTTCTTTGTGGGCCTGATGCAATGTCCAGCGGCCAGCGAGGAAAGAACCCATTGATGTAGCATCAGAGAATGCACGCAATATCGCCGTGGGACAGGGCGGGCAGGCAGAACTGCAGAGAGAAGGAGGCACCTGCTTCCAGCTGCTCTGCCCTGAAATCCTAAAGTGACACCAAAGGAAATATTAAAGAGGATAAAGACAAGAGGACAAAAACTAAAGTGCAGAAGGAAGGGGCTGGAGAAAAAGTTGAGAATTGTCAGAAGGGGGAATAAAAGGATAAAAAGATGAAAAATGGGAGTGCAAAGGTCGTACAACAAATTACTGGAAACGCCAGGAGAAGAGAGAATCAGCAGGGTGGAGAAATCATGAGCAGCAATTCCAGGCCTACTTGTCCAGCTGAAGAGGAGCTGGACACGGAGGCCAAGAATCCCCCACCTGCGGGATCCCAAACTGCTTCAGAGCTCTGGGGACAAAGGCTCGGCCTTGAGAACAGTTTTGTACTTGGCAACAGCCACATCGAGGGCAAGACGATGACCTGAAAACCCTGCAGGAAACCCGTCCCAACCAACTGATCATCCAAGAGTGCGACAGAATAAAGTGATTTACCAGCAAATGAGGACTCCAAAAACTCATGCTCCATGCACGACTTCTCCAAGAGCCACTGGAAGACGTGCATGACCAAGATGGCGAGGCCGCAGAAAGGAGGCCACGGAGCCCGGGAGAGGAGGCGGGGGCCAGGCCGGGAGAGCAGACCGTTCACACGCACCGGGCAGTGGGGCCAGAAGCACCAGGCGGCCTGCTGTGCAGAGGAGGGTCTCCTAGGTCTGCTGAAATGTGGGCCTGAATTGATAGCAGGCAGGTGTGAAACTAAGCAAATGAAAAAAATGATCAACTTCCGGAAAAATTTCTACGAGGTGAATGCAGTCCAGGTGGACTCTGGTTCTGCTGTGAACGTGACACACGCTGTAATAACGCAGGCGGGACAGGCAGTCAGGGACGGCCGTTCTCCTATCATGAACATCATGGGGGTCTATGTAAATGTACGTTTATTTACTTCGGTGAAAATAAAAAGATAATTCTGGCCGGGCATGGAGGCTCATGCCTGTAATCCCAGCACTTTGGGAGGCTGAGGCAGGTGGATCACCTGAAGTCAGGAGTTTGAGACCAGCGTGGCCAACATGGTGAAACCCGTCTCTACTAAAAATACAAAAATTAGCCAGGTGTGGTAGTGGCACCTGTAGTCCCAGCTACTCAGGAGGCTGAAGCAGGAGAATCCCCTGAACCCAGGAGGCGGAGGTTGTCTCACTTGGGCGACAGAGCGACGTTCCGTTTCAAAATAAATAAATAAATAAATAAATAAAAAGATAATTCTAAAAGACAAATGACAGACTGGAATCTAACTTCTGTAATACATGAAAACACAGCATTGCAAACAACATATAAACAGTACTTACAAAGGAACAAGCAAAGACGATGCCCCACAGAAGAACAGGTGAACGCACTGCCGCTAAGCAACCTCCATTCAGCACTGATGGAACCGCCTCACGTGCCCTGCGTGGCTCCAGATGCTGGGCACAGGGTGGCTCTGAAGACAGAGCCTGCTCAGGGCAGCCCCGCTGCCCAGCTCCGGGGCACCAGCCACCCTCGACTTTGAAGCACGTTGCTCACGTGCTCCTGGGGAGGGGGCAAGCACACAGCCATGCCCGCCCTTGACTGACGGTGACGGCACTGCTCACTCAAACACCAACAGGCTCGCCATCTTCACCACTGGCCACATTGCCTAGAATGAACTGCAACACCATCCCGCCTGCTCGTGGAGGGGGTGGGGAAAATGGACTCTCAGGCTGCTGGGGAGGGGGTATCATTTGCTCAATGTTTTGGAATATACATACTCTGAACCAGCAGCTCCATTTTCAGGAACCTTTCCTACAGAAATACTAACACAGTGAGGAAAGGTGCTCAAAGTTGCTGGCAAAATGGTAACCAGAAAACAGTCCAACTTATATCTATGTCTTAGACTACTTGAGAGAAAGGCGTTGAGCTTCATACGTAAAAATGGAATAATGGCCACCATATAATATTAATTAAAAATAAAGGTAGAGGAGAAAACGCAAAATGGGTATTTTTGTTAACAAGACAACTCAGATACATACAGAAACACAGGTACACACACAGACACACAGATACACACACAGAAACACAGATACACAGACATACAGATACACACACAGAAACATAGATACACACACAGGTACATACACAGATATACACACAGATACACAGAAACACAGATACAGAAACAGATACACAGAAACAGACACACACACAGAAACACAGATACACAAACACAGAAACGCACACAGATATACAGAAACACAGATACACACCCCACACACAGAAACACAGACACACACACAGATACATAGAAACACAGATACACACACAGGTACACACACAGATATACACACAGGTACATAAACACAGATACAGCAGCAGGAAGTCTCACCACGCTGCACCTCCTCAAGTATATACCACACCTTCACATACAGCAGCAGGAAGTCTCACCGCGCTGCACCTCCTGAAGTATGTACCACACCTTCACATACAGCAGCAGGAAGTCTCACCACACTGCACCTCCTGAAGTATGTACCACACCTTCACATACAGCAGCAGGAAGTCTCACCACGCTGCACCTCCTGAAGTATGTACCACACCTTCACATACAGCAGCAGGAAGTCTCACTACGCTGCACCTCCTGAAGTATATACCGCACCTCCTGAAGTATATACCACACCTTCACATACAGCAGCAGGAAGTCTCACCATGCTGCACCTCCGTATGTACCACACCTTCACATACAGCAGCAGGAAGTCTCACCACACTGCACCTCCTGAAGTATGTACTACATTACACCTTTACATACAGCAGCAGGAAGTGTGGGCACTGCCCATTTCTTCCTGGTCCCACCCCTCTCCAGCAGTTTCTGCAAACTGCATTAGAACAAGGGACAGCAAGCAATGGTCAGAGGCAAACAGAGAGCCCCTTCCCAAACTCAGGGATGAATGTGAGGGTGGAAAACACACTCTGTCCTATTTCACAGTACCCTGAGCCTACTCTACACACAGATAAGAACAAACACTTGTAACTTTATTCAGGTCACTAGTACACAGGGCGAAAGCCATGAGCCTATTGATGAGCTGTGGGACTTGACTAATGAAAGAACCATGAAGCCATGAAGTGGATGCCCACCGCCCCACCTTGCAGACCTGCGGACACAACGGGAGGTCATCTAGTCTGCCCAGGATATGGTGTCGTGGGCGCCAGCCTGGCCACAGGCCCTGTGCTCTTCCTCACCAAGCGGGACAGCTTCCCCCCAAAATGGAGGAAAACCCACCCTATCTGCACATCTAAGCAATGGATGGATGTTTCCCATGGGCAGCCGTGACCTTGAGTGACTGGTTTCAGAAGGCCCCAGGTGAGGAGGGCAGAGCTAGATGAACACTTTTCAAGCCTGACCATGGAGGCAAGTGCAGAGGGAGCCCAGGACCTTTGACTGACTGCCCAGATCCATGATCCATACAGGGGCCAACAGAATTCGGTCCCTAGGACCAGCCCAGCCTCCTCCCAATTCACACCCAACTGTGGGGACCAAGCCCTACCAGGCAGGCTAGAGAATGCCGGAACAAGGCTGAAGTTACCAACTTCTCACCAAACGTGAGCTCTGGGATTTTGCTTCCTTAAAAGAGCCAGGACAATCCATGGCAGTGCCACAGCCCAGGCCAGCAGCCGGGCCCCAACACATGCTGGGGAGAGTGTTTGCTGCTAGGACCATGTGCCCAGGGACACATGAGGATGCTGGACAAGGAGTGCTGTGGAGTGCACGGTTTTCAGTGCTCAGGCCCAAGAAGCTGCTGACAAATGGGAACGAACTGTGCTGGCTGGACAACAGTTAGTTAGTTGTTTTGGCCTCCTTTCATCTATCAGCAGTCACATGAGGGGAAAATTTAAGAGTCATTATAAAAAATACACGGTGACTAATATCTTTAAGAAGATCACGATGAAGATGTTACTGGGGAAAACTAAGATCCCTCAACATCATCAAAATGACAAAACGTTGCTTGCTTTTAAAAGTGGAAAAGCCTCCATTCCTCAGCGTGAACATGGACTCAAAGGCTCTGTTTAAATGCAGTTTCTGGTGAAGCCATCTGACACCCACACAGTGCAGGAAAGATCCAGCGTCCTATGTCCATGACAGTGATCCACACAGTTCTGTCTCTTCTGACTATATTTAAAAATACACATTTGGCGGCTTCACAAGTCTGCAGAAACCCAAAGTCAGGGTGACACTTGAGGCTGCACAGACATGGGAAGGGACCAGGCACCTCACCCTGGGCCGAAATCTGGCGGGAGGTGAAGACCTCTGAAGTGGAGACACCCCTGCTGCCAATCTCCCAGGAAAGGGGCGGGGCCTCTGGCAGGAAGAGCTGGACCTGAGGCCCTGGGTAGAGGTCTCTGACTCTCAAGCCCAGCGGTGGAGGCTCCTCCTGGGAGATGGCACTCAGGTGAAGGCAAGCCAGGAGCGAGGAGATGAGCCCTGAAAAGCCAACAGAGCAAGATGGGCCCTTCTGGCCAGATTTTGGGTATAAATCTTGGTGTTCCCATCCTTGTGGTCCTTCTCTAAGTGGAGGTGAGTGGCTCCTGCTGGTTTCTACCTGAACTGTAGGCATGGAGGCAAGGAGGTGGGGGGATGCTGGGTCTGGCAGTTACCAGTCATTGGATGGAGAAAAAAATCAAAAACACCCTAACAGCGTAGAGAAACAAGAGCAGAAAACACCTCGATCTGGTCCTACTCGAAGGACTTTGCAAATATTAATTAATTCACATCTCATGATAGCTCCAGGAGAGAAGCAATTTAAAGGTACATTTCACAGATGACGAAACTGAGGCACAGAGAGGTTCAAGAGCTTCCCCAGGTCCCAAGGTGGCGGGTGAAGGAGCTGGGTAGAAACTCAGGCACCTGGTCCTGCCCACAGGTGCAGGCGATGTGAATGCCCAGAATATGCCCAAGCTCCGAATAGGAGTCACTGCATTGCTTTCACCAGGGAGGTCAGACGTTTGAGCTGGTACAGGCGTTACCTGTCAGCAGAGCCAGCAAAGGACATGCAAAAAATGCATGGGGTGACGACAAAATTCACAAGACAGTGACAAAGCTTTTCACATGTTCACAGGTCATACAATTGCCCTTTAGAGATGCAGAAATGGGCAAACTGTGTGCCGGGTCAGGATAAGTTAATGTAAAATCAAAATCATATAATTATTTAAGTCTACATCACAATTATTAAAGACTATTTCAGTTCATTCAAGGAACTTCATAACTAAAATTTAATGACGTGTTTCATATTACCAATTACTGCAGAAAAGCACAGATATAACTTACTTAGAATGAGCGATGTCATGTGTTTGAAAGTAGATGTCAAGGGTGATACAGGGTGTGTAACTACACACTATTCTCTTAAGTGGTTTAAACGTTTTCTCGGAAATCTTTATGTTATTATTATTAATGTGGTAGTGATGACTTTTTAAAAAACTGATAATGCAATCAAATCTTAATTAAGTTCTTCTGGAGCACTATGTATTCTAAATAACATTTCCCGGAGTGTGAAAACAGAATTCTCTCTTCCGTTCTCAAGAAAGCAGGGAGTTGGAGGGTGGTGCTATCACAAGGTTAGAAGCACAGTAGAAGGTGTTGGAGACTTTGCTTCCAATCATCCCCAGAGAAACACAAGGCAGCATGGGAAGCCAACAGCCACGGAATCTACGAGAGATGGCGCGGGCCCTGCCTATGGGAGAAAGGCCTCTGATGGTGAACAGCAGGGCAGGGCCGTGACAGTGTGCCGTCTCCCATGCTGATAGCCTTCCTTGCTATGAAGTACTCAAGCTGGTTCTGTTTCTTAGAACAGGAGGCTGATCCCCAGGTAGTGCTGACATTTGGGATGGGGGAGGAGCCAGTGCAAATAGCTCCTAGGGCTCCCCCATCCCTGCTGTTCTGTTGCGAGTTGGGGTGTGGAGCTGCTGAGGAACTGCTCTGGGGCCTGATGGGATGGGTGGTGTGTGCTGTCCTTTCCTGGGGCCCTTGGTGGAAAGGCTCCAAATGGGGAGTTTCTGGGAAGGCACGTCCCCACATGAGGCCGACTTGCTGGGCTTGGTGCTCTCGCTGGAAGCTCCCTCCTGGGTCCATGGCTCTGGAGTCTGAGTGCCACAGCCATCACTCCCAGGACAAGAGGAGACTCTGGGGATGGGTGCATGCCACAGCCGTGAGGATGTGGGTGTGGGCAGACCCACTGTGCTGATGAGGAAATGGAGGCCAGGGGAACGGAAGGCATTTGTTTCAGGGCACACAGAGCTATTACATGAATGAGCACACATCCAACCCACAGCACTTGATGACAACACCTCCGGGCTCCCACCCTCCACCCTCGGCATCGCTCCAGTTTCTAGGGCAGGGTTCTTCCGGGTAGGCATGTTCCTTGCCTCCCCATTCCCCGGGTCTCTCTCCCAGCATAGGGCCCACCACTCACCGCGGACTTTGGTTTTGTTGATGGAATTTGATTAATAATAGCATCAGTCCCCAGAAAGGGAACCTGGAGGGCGATTTGTAAGAATCAGCCCACAGATTCTCTCCTGATACTACTGGGCACATCTTTCTGGAAAAAATACTGATCTCTAAATCCGTTCTTTCTGTCAAGCTTTAGGGCGCTCTCCAGGTGAAATCCAGGACCATTCTCAGTAGAAGCATCAGTAAGAACCACAGGCTCACACCCATGAAACAAAGCAGCAGAAGCTCTAGGTTCACTTTTCCCAATAAAGGTTTATGGCCCAAATGGAAATGCGCCCATGTTTGCAGGGTTCTTGACTTGGAGAGGACATGGCCGTGCTGATATGGCCCACTCCAGCAGGGTCTCCACCAGCCCGATACGGCCCACTCCTCTGAGGTCACAGCTGGCCTGTTATGACCCACTCCTCCAGGGACTTGGCCGGCCCCATACGACCCACTCCACCTGGGACATGGCCAGCCCGATACGACCCACTCCACCTGGGACGTGGCCAGCCTGATATGACCCACTCCACCTGGGACATGGCTGACCCAATACGGCCCACTGCTCCAGGGACACCACCGCCTCAATAAACCCTAATAGGTGTACTGGGAACATGGCCGGCCTGATATGGTCCACTCCACCTGGGACATGGGCCAGACTGATATGACCCAGTCCACCTGGGACATGGCCAGCCCAATACAGCCCACTCCACCTGGGACACCACCGCCTCAACACACCCTAATAGAGCCCACTCCATTGGGAACAGGGCTGGCCTGATATGGCCCACTCCACCTGGGACATGGCCCACTCCACCTGGGACATGGCCGACCTGATATAGCTCACACCTCTAGGGTCACAGCTGGACCAATACAGCCCACGGCTCCAGGGATGTGGCTGGCTGATATGGCCTACTCCTCTAGGGTCACAGCTGGCCTGATATGACCCTCTGCTCCAGGGATGTGGCTGGCCTGACACGGCTCCCAGCAGCCCCTCACAAAGCCTCATTGTTCCAGTGAAGAAGCCCTTGTGTGACTGAGTACGTTCACTGTTTCCGCCCAGAACTGGCCAAAACCTTTGGATAACAGAGAATTTGTTTAGCAAAAAAAAGCGGTGCCCCTAGGCTCTCATCTCCAAGAGCCGCCCCCTAGGGAGGACGCCTTGGGATTTCCCACACTGTCTTGCAGTTTGTAGGATCCACTGGCCACATCTGGGATGAGGCACTGCCCGCCCTCAGCACCTGCTCCAGCTCCTGCCCTCACCAATTCTCTGGGCAGAGCCTCTGGAAGGCACTCCCTGGCCCCTGCCCTTCTTGCTACCCCAGCGCACTGCCCACAGCCACCCTAATCATTATCTAAAGCCACTGCCGTGGCCCCTGAGAAAGTCACAGAGGGTCCGTCCTGACTTGCCAGACACTGCTGCAGCCGCCTCTCCCTGCTTCTAAGATGGTCCAGGCACCTGCTTGTGCCTAAATGCCCTTCTCCCTTGGCTTAGGACAGAACTGTGGCACATAACTCTGAGCCCAGCTGGGATATCCCCTGCAGGACATAGCGAATTTCTTTCTCATAAAGATTTCCCTCCCACTCTGGGGACCTGGAAGGCCCTGCTGCTGGCACTGCCCAGCGCCATCCCTGAAGGCCACAGGCTCACCTGCTCTCAGACGGCACATGGCCCACCAACAGGAACTTGCTTCACCCTGTGACCACTGCGGGGACGCCCCTCAGTGTGGCAAAATCTAACACACCACCGAAAGAAAACTAAACTGAGTGTGCTTTCAAAGTGAGTTTGAGTGTTCAGCAGTGGTGTACATGCGTTAGGTTCATTTCTTTTGAAATAAATAATAAGGAAATGTTTAGGGATATCTTTTAAAAACGATGCTCTATGAAAGGAGAAAATATTTAAAAATCTGCAGGTGATTCCTTCTCTAAGTGGAAGACAGCGGTGGGCCCTGCGTGGCTTGTGGCGTGGAAGGTGCCCGTGCAGGAGACCTCCCGGCCCACAGCATGCCTGGGCACTGACCTGTTTTCCTAAGAGGGAAGTCATCTTTGGCGTCGTACATTCCCAGGACCGGGTGGTTATAGGAGGTCGACACTCCGCTCTGGGGTGGAGAACTCTGGTCAAGGGAACTGTGCTGCGTTTTCCTGGAGAGAAGGCAAAGACAGATGGTTTAGTTTACCCAGCGCACTGCCCCAGGCATGCTGCAGCCGAGAAGCCACACACGATGATCTTTCCCTTGAAACCTCAGCCCCACCTCAACAGACACACCTTTTCCCTAGGGTCAAGCTGAAATTAAATGGAAACAAACAGGATGCTAAACAAGCAAGCAAACATCCGATGCCCACATCCTCCTCTGCGGGACCAGCAGTGCTTGGGGATGGGATGGGCAGCACCTCTGGCCGTTTTCCTGGTGGCTGTTCTCCACCTGGCCCTGTCCTCTCAGATGGCTCCAGCCCAGTCAGTTCGCTACCAGGGCCACCACTGGCCACTCAGAGAGCCTATCCCCGGTGGGGAGAGGAAGAGGAAAACAGTAGGCTGCTGCATAAGGAATCAAAGGTGAGTTCATAGGCAGCTGAGACGGGGCAAAAAACGGTCTAAGAACAAACGCTGTGATGTGTGGGACTCTCTCTGCCACCTGGAGAGAAGAAGCCCATGGGGCTGTCTCTCAGAAGGCACCCATCGTCATCCGTGCCTTCACCAAACTCACCCTGGTCACCTCCCTCTCTGGGGGAGGAACAGGATGGCAGCTACTGATACCCTGTGCCCAGGGAGCTGACCTACGAAAGGGACTTCCTGTATGAACAGCTGGGTACAACTCCACACCCTCCAGGCAGCAAGACAGGAATCGTCTGCCAGGAGAATGGCCGGAGGACGGACATGGGGAGGAGGCGGGCCCTGGGCCGGGACGGGGATGTGGGCTGCCACCCGGATGACCATCAGCAAGGCCTTTTTTGACGGCACTGACAGCTCAGTCTTGCTCAAAACACTGTGCTGAGTGGAATAAATTCTGAGTCTTTAAACTGCGTAATCTGCTTAATGACTACAAACAAATTTGCCGACTTACTTATTTGGAATTGGTTAGACTATTTGAATACATAGTATGGCACACCAATGCACCTGGAGTTATTTGAATTAAGAATGGGAGCTTGTAAATGGGTACAGGTGTATATTTAAATATTTGAGAGCACACCAGTGCAAAGAATGTGCTGAAGGGAACTCATAGACAAAATTGAGGAGCCGAGCCCAGGCACCTGGGCAGTGGGGTGCTGGGCCGTGCATCACAGGAGGAGCTCAGGGAGCTCCGGAAAACTGCACAGCTTCAGGCCACGCCCCAACCCCGCCCACTGCTCAGGGCACACCTCCAACCCCAAGCAGCTTCTCGCTGTTTCCCGGGGAATTCCACCATGCAGTCAGGCTCGGACTGCAGGGCTGGGACACGCCTGTCTGCACCTGTGCAGGGGCTGTGGCCTCCAAGTGGGACCACGTCCTTGTGCAAGCCTCCCTTCTCTTCCCTGTAGTTCTACCCCTCGTCTCACAATCTCATGAAAAGGTCTGGGGGCAACACTCTTTCTCTACCAAATAGTATTTTCAGATTGTATCCTATGGGGAATGTGATCTTGGCTGATTCCAAACTTCTTCAACACCAGGTGACAGTCTGGGACCATTTCCGCGTTCACTTTTTCCTTCATGGGAAACACGGAGTGACTTGTACATGCATCCCACGAGTTAAAAAGATCAGTATTTACATAATAATAAATTTAAATAAATGGAATAAAAATTATTATATTTGAACGGTAGGATTTGCTTACAGTGAAGTAGGAGTTGCAAAAGTTACATTGGTTTAAGATCTAACAGACGTTCTCTTACTATTCTGATCTCTTGAGGTGCTTTCAGTGTTAAAATCCCCACTTTCCTGTCAAACCTTAAAACGAGCAGAGCAGCAGGTGCAGGAGGGGCTGGGCCCTGCCCCCCAACTGCCAGCGCCTCCCCGCTGGACCACCTCGATGGATCCAGAGACCTCACAGGAGCGACCTCACCTCCTGCATAGCCCAGCTCACCGCCAGGAGCACACCATGCAGAGCCCGCCCCACCGCGCACCCGCCCTCCAGACACCAGGAGAGGGCGGCCCTCACCGTCAGGGCAGGTCACACCCGCCCAGCCCTGGTCACATGGTCCCAGGCCAGACCGCACACGCGTGCCCTCCGCGAAGAAGCGTCCAGCAGGGCGAGCAGAAGTGAAGCTCTATCCCTGCTGCAATCACACCCGCACCGCACACAATTACTCTCACTCACATCCGCACATCACACAACTGGTAACACTCACATCCGCACATCACACAACTATTCACACCCATGCCTCACGCTACTCACACCCACCCATACCTGCACCTCACACTATTCACACCCACACACACCTCACCCATACCTATATCTGCATCTCACTACTCACCTCCACACCTCACACACACACACCCGCACTTCACAATACACCCACTCACACCTGCAGCTCACCCAACTACTCACACCTGCACCTCACTACTACTCGCCCCCAATTCACACTACTCCCACCCACACCTCACATTACTCACACCCACATCTCACTTTTCACACCTGACGCTCGCACCTACACTACTCACACCCACTCACGCCCACACCTCACCTCACTACTCACGCCCAACTACACTCACACCTGCACTGCACACTACTCACACCCACATTCCACACCCCACACCCACCTCACACCCACACCCCCCTCACAACCTATACCCACCCACACCCCCTCACCTTACACAAACTCATGCCTACCTCCCGCACTCACACCCATCTACCTCACACCCACTTACACGCACACCCCACCCACACCCCACACACCCACACTTCATGCCTCACACCCACCCACACCCCACCTCCCACACACACACCCGCATCTCACACTCACACCTGTCACCTTTCCCACACCTCACACTCATACCCCACACTCACCTCACCCACTGCACACACCCACATCCCCCATTCACACCCTACACTAAGCTAACCCCGGCCACAGCCCACACTCACACTCACCCCGGCCACACTCCACACTCACACAGTCACACTGGCCACCCCACGGAGCCCTGAGGGCAGAACCTACAGAGCTGCTCCCTCTACCTCACCTGACCATAAATTATCTTCCGATTTTTCAACCTTTCATTTCCTGCAGCCTGGGGATGGGACACAGACGCTGGGCCAGGAGCCGAGGTGCAGCCCCCACGGGGCCCTGGGGCCAACCCGGATGCCACACCTAAAGGCAAACCTTGTCTTCCGGAGGAAGATGGAAAAGCAAATACTGTTTTCTTCTAAACACTGGCTTGACTGTAGAATAAAGCTTCATACAAACTCAACCATTTCAGTTCCAAACCATTGCCCTTTCATCAGATTCGTACCAGTGATTTCCAAGAAATACAACGAGGAACCACATACGCCAGGATACTCCAGCAGAAATGTACCATGATGGGAGCCACATGTGAAATTTACAATTTCCTAGTAGCCACATTAACATGGATAAAAATAAATGGGTGGAATTAATTTTAGTATTCGATTAAACCATTATAAAAACCATCCTTTCAACTTATAATCGATATAAACATATTAATAAGACACCGTAGGTCCTTTCTTCAGACCAAGTGTCTGAAATTCCATGCTCTGCATCTATGGCATGTCCTGGTCGGACCCAGCCACGTTTCAAGTGCTCGGGAGCCACGTGTGGCTTGTGGCAGCCACACTGGAAGGTGCCATCTTGTCTCAACAGTCTTAAAGCTGGAAGCGGTGACTCACGTAAACACCCACAGAGTCCACGCCCTGATGAAGCCACAGCACCATCCATCTCTGCAGCCTCCCAGCCCTGGTCTGCTTTCTCTCACAGTCGATTCACTTTGCTGACTCTGAATTTCCCATCAGTGGAGTCATGGGGGTGGCCTCTTTGTCTAGGCACCGTGCCTCTGGGGCTCCCCCAAGCTGCTGCAGGCGCCAGCGGTCCGTTCCTTGTCACTGCGGAGTAGCAGTGCAGGGGCCCCAGTTTGCACGGTAGCGTGTGCAGGGGCCCCAGTTTGCGCGGCCGTTCCCCTGTTGATAGCTTGGTTGTTTCCACTGTTTGGTGACTGTGACCGTAAGATGACGACTCGTCGTGTTGCTTGCTTTCATGTCTTGGGCAAATACGGAGAAGCATTGCTGGGTCACAGGGTTGGTGGGTATTTGTCTTTGTAGGAAACTGCCTGCCTGTTTTCCCACGTGTGATTCAGATTCCAACAGGCAGCACACAGAGGTCCAGGGACACCGCATCTGCTCCAGCACCCGGCCTGTTTCACTCCGGCCATCCCCACAGGTATGAAGGGGCTGCTTGCCGCAGTTTTGATTTGCATTTACCTGATGACCAGCCATCTTGAGCATCTTTTCCACACTTACTGGCCATCCCCATGCCTTTTTTTGTGAGGTACCTGTTCAAACCTTTTGACCGTATTTTTAAGTGGGCGGCTTGTCTTTTTACTATTGAGTTATAGGAACGAGCTCTACATTTTGGATACAAGCGGTTTGTAAGATATACGCATTGTGAATATTTCCTTCCATTCTGTAGCTTGCTTTTTAATTTTCTTAATGGTGCCTTTGAAAGAGCAGAAGTGTTTCAGTTTGTGGAAATATCATGTTTTGGGTTTTTGGTATCTAGCCGATGATTTTGGCGACCTAAGAAATCTTGCCTCCCCCTCCCCATCAAGGTTGGGAAAAGTTTCTACTAGGTCTCCTTCCAGTTTGATCAGTTTTGCGTCTAGGCTCAGGTCTATGACATCTGAACTAATCATGCGTGGTGTGAAGCTGGGATCAGGGTTTCAGTTCTTTCCCTATGAAGAGCCGGTTTTCTGACAAAGTTTCTGCCACCACTCCATGATGTTTAAGTTCAGGGTTCAAATACGGCAAAACAAGAAAACCACCAGGCTCCAGGAAAACAAACCTGTCCTATGGCTGACTTGAGATCAAGTCCTTCCCCCTCCAGCCTGAAGGTCCCCAGAGCCCTCTGAGAAGAAGTACCTCCGGCCCCTGCCATTAAAGCCAGGGCACGCCGCCCTTGTCCAGGCCAAGACACTCACCTTGAACACCCAGCTCACCCAGGGAGTTCCAGGAAAAGTCAGTCCTCCCAGCCCCAGCCACTCTGTTTGCCACCCCTCCTCCCTGGAAGCCCCCCATCTCCCGTCTCTCAGCACGTCCCTCAGCGCCCTGAGGCTGCCCCAGGCCACTTCTTCTCCCGTGGCCTCCTTGACTGCAGGTGCAGCCTTTCCTTGGGCCTGCTGCTCCGTCCTCCCCTCAGGTCCAGGCCACTGCCCGGCTTCTATTCCTGCTGGCCTCGGCCCCCCGTCCACTGTCCACTGACTCCTGGGCGAGGGGGCGCCAGCTCCCCACCTTCTTCCATGCTGCCGTGGCCACCCTCTGGGGGCTGCCCTGTGCTCACCGTGACCCCTGCTTCCCAGCAGCCCCACTGCTCTAGTCCTCCAACTCCCGCTGCAGCCTCCCAGACTCTGTGCTCCTCTTCAGAAAGGGCTGCCCGTGCTTGCCCCACTCCTATCACTGTCTTCTCAAAGCTCGCTTGCTCGGCTGCCTCACAGGGGGACCCAAGGCGGCCCTGCCCTGGTCCAGCAGGCTCTGCACTCCAGCTCTCCATCCTCCGCCAGGCCCCAGGCCCACCCTGCCCCTGGCTCCTCATCCTGCCCTTTCCAGCTTGGGCCCCAGGGGCACCATCTGAACCACGATCCACACTCCTGTCCCTTGCTCCTTCTGCCCTGCAACCCCACGCCCTGCCCCAGCCAGTAGGACAATGGAGTTTCTCCACAACCAGTCCAGGCAGTGGACTGGCTCTGGGGGCACAGATCGGGGTCTCCCCCAAAGCGGGCTCCCAGGTGCCGGTTGCCAGCGATTCTCAGGAAGCCACCTCCTCTCTCAGGTCCCAGTGGGTCACTGCTGTCACGTGCTGCCTCCCATGGACGCCGGTCTCACTCCTCCTTGCAAGTTTGTGTGTCCCTGGTCGAGTTACCCAAATCCAGACGGTGTGTCTGCCGTGAGTGCAGCTTATGTGCCACTGGCAAGCACAGCGGCTGCCAGAGTGGAGGACGTGGGCCACCTGTGCTGGAAACACCTTTTGGGATGTGTCGGGGTAGCGGGCGGCCTCCACGGAAACAAGGGGGATCGCGTCTGAGCTGTGGGGGGGTCTCACTACACATAGCTGTCCATTTTGAGGCTTGAGAATAGCTATTTTTTTTCCAACGAAATTACTGATATTTCGATTTACAAAAACTCCCTTATGGGATTTTTTTCTAGAAATGAAATGAACCTTGAGAGCAGCAGAAAACTACATTTCAAAGCGATCCTCTGTTGCCCTTGCTCACTGTTTCAAGCCGCATCACCTCGCCACTCGCTCGCACTGTGCTCTGTGAACTCTCCCCCGAAGGCCTTCTTTTGCATGGCAGGTCGGCTCTCTTCAGTCCTCAGACGAACAAGCCTTTTGTGGTCTCTGTCAATTGCGTGGGCCCTGGCAGGGTTTCTTAGTATAAAATAATAGAAGTACCACGGGGGCTTCCTGACTAGCCTAAGAATTATTGAAACGTCAGGTGGGAGCGCTGTCGGAGCACAGAGGATTCAGACAAGAGTTCCAGTTTAAGTGGCTCTTATTGTGGCTGAAAAATGGCACAACATTACCAAGAGTAACGACAGGCACCAGCCTCCGGAGCACTGCTCGGTCCCTCTGCAGGGGGGCCCACTCCCATGAGGACGGCCACCGTGTGAGTGGACCCCCAGACCACGTCACTCTGGAGGGGGGCCCACCCCGTGAGGATGGCTGCTGTGGAAGTGTACCCCCAGACCACGTCACTATGGAGGTGGGTCCCCCTGTGAGGGCAGGGGCAGCTGCCGTGTGAGTGTACCCCCAGACCATGTCACTCTGGAGGTGGGCCCCTCCGTGAGGACGGCTGCCGCACGAGTGTACCCCCAGAACACGTCACCCACATCCGAGCACCACTGTGCTTGGGGTTTCAATTCCTCACCCTCCTTCCCTGCCTCCGGTGAAGAGCTGGCTCCATGCAAATCTACCGGCGATCAGACAGTCCTCTGGGCCCCCAGAGAGGAGGCCGGGGTGCTCCCCACACCCACACTTACCCGTACCAGTAGCGAGGGTCGCTGGAAATGCAGTGGTTCAGATTCCGGTGGGCCAGCGCCTTCTTTTTATTGAGGACAAATTCTTGTAACTTCATCTTCACTTCTGTGCTGGCCACGGCACCTGGCGTGGGAGAAAGCATAGCAGGGGGTGAAGTGTGGCTCTGCCCTACAGCAGCAATGCAGGGCAGCGGGGCCACAGAGGGAGGGAAGGGCTGGGGACGGCTATGCACCTTCAGGACGCTGTGGCCTCCTGAGCGCTTCCTCAAAGAACCAAGGCCGGGAGGGGTTTTAATGAGAGGTTTTCTTCCCATCAAGATTTTACATCATTGCATTCTATTTAAAATGCAGATTTAATCATCCGAAAGACTTATTGTTAGCTAACACAAAACCCACTTCTGAAGGAAGTTTTAATATTCTTACATAAAAGAACACTCTGAATTAGGCAGTGGCAGCGTGGTGGTTGCATTCTTGCTACCGCAAAGCAGAATCTAAGAGAGAAGGCTTTGTGCAAATGGATGCATCACGCAGGGACAAAGCCAGTCTCACAGGCAGGCGTGCTTCCTTCTACACCTGCGCCGACATGACGGCCGGCTCTGCTTCCAACAGCATCAAAGGGCAGCGCCTGTCCTCCCCAGCTTGGCAGCTCAGACTCAGGCAGAGTGACTGCACCAAGTGGGACCGAAGTCGAAACTGTGGTTTTCTTCCGTGGCGGTGATTCTTTTTCAAAGCCTCATTAAAGGGAACTGGCAAAAAAGGCCACTCTCACCGCCTGAACACAAGGCCTGTTAGCACGGAGGCTGCTCGCCTCAGATCTCCAATCTAACCACACAGTACTTCTATCCTTCTTACAGCACCTTAAGTATCTTCCTAGTGTTGCATAATATTCAGATAGCGTTTGTAATGGTCAAAAACACACCTTGAGGTGAGTGAAGCATGTTTACAAAACCACTTCCCGACTGGGAGACAGTTTTGGTTGTTAGAAACCACGCTGCAGTGAACATTTATGAGTGGGTAACACTGACTACCTTTAGAATTACTTGCTTAGGACATCTTGGCAAAGTGACTACATCTAACAAACTTACTATTCTAACCCTCGGCACATCTTGGTAAATTGCTGTCCAAAATATCCCTACACATAGGCCAGGCCCGAAGGCTCACACCTGGAATCCCAGCACTTTGGGAGGCTGAGGAGGGCAGACTGCCTGACCCCAGGGGTTCGAGACCAGCCTGGACAACATGATGAAACCCTGTCTCTACTAAAAATACAAAAATTAGCCGAGTGTGGTAGCATGTGCCTGTAGTTCCAGCTACTTGGGAGGCTGAGGTGAGATAATCACCTGAGCCCGGGAAGTCCAGGCTACAGTGAACCAAGACTGTGCCACTGCACTCCACCCTGCGCAATGCGAGTTTAGACCCTGTCTCAAAAGAAAAAAAGAAAAACGAAACTTCTCTACACGCTGACCCCCTGAACCACCCATCCACCTGCAGCAGGGGCAGCTGCTCCTCCTGCTGGTCCTCAAATCACCATTTGCCCAAATCCAAAAGCCAGCAGGCATCACTGTGAGGCACCCCTGAGCACCACTGGACACGCGCCGATTTCCTCTCTTGCAAGATAATTCATGTCCTTGGCTTATGTGTTCTTAGAATCTTCCGGCGATGTGCACAGTGGTGTTGTGGGTCTGTGTGTGTGTGTGTGTTTCATACTTGTATCCACTGGAGTTGCGTGGGTTTCTTATGATAATGGCTGTATCGAGAGCCTAGTATATGCCAGCCCTGGCCTGGTTCGGCCTCGCATGAGAGCTATAAATAGGTATTCTCATCCCCCGACTGTGGATGGAGAACACAAAGGCGGCCAGGTGCGCCTCAGGTGAGGTTGGCTCAGTTACCAAGTCTCATGGACGCCCTGGTTCGTGGCTCTCGGCTGCTCCGTGTGTGTGTGCATTTACCCTGCCTCTTGTTTCCTTTTACAATTTGGGTAAAATGTTCAAATGCTTGTTTTTATAAAGTCTATTTTAGTTTTTCCTTTGTGAGTTTTCCCTTTCCTTAAAACTCTGCCATTGTTCCTCCTTTCAGTGGTTAATAAGCCATCATTTTAATTTTATCCTTGGTTCTGGTGCTGGGTTTTCATTCATTTGGTTATTTGCTAAATTTTTTCATGACTCACTCTGATGGCTCAGAAATGGATTTGGCATATAAGGCTCTATGGATATTCTGACCAACTGCTAATAAATGATTAATATCATTAGAAAGATGTCTTTTCCTTGCCACCTTCATCACATACCAAATGTCTTTGCTGCCACTCACAAATGGAGTTTTTGTTAGTTAGGCTCATTCTGTGTTCCCTACGGCAGAACCCCACTCCCATTACATTAAGGTGGAACTTTAATGTCTGGTCAAGGGTCAGTCAGCAATGAGACGCCTGGAAACAGGGTCTACCCAGGCTGTGGTGGGGCCTGCACTAGCCAAGCCAGGGAAACACAAAGACATTAACTACACGACCACCAGCATGAGTCCGGGAAGGGCCACCGTGATGCATGAGGCTTCAGGCTCAGGGCTCTCTGTCGGTCTGAGAAAATCATGTCATTGCCCGAGTCAAGCTGTGCCTGTGACGTCCCCCAGCTCATGCTGCTGAAGATGTCTCATCACCTAAGTTGTGACTGCGGTGAGCACTGCCCCAGGTAGGGTGGCGGTGGGGGGACAGGAGGGATGCTTTTTCAGGGCACCCGGCGTTAGACTCGAACATCACTTAGAAGCACTTTTAGCTGAACTGTCTGTCTGTAAGGGGACTGGTCAGAAGATCACACACTTATGGAAACCATTCGCTTCTACCATTCCCAGGCATGTGAGCACTGGCATTCCTAAAAGATTATCAGCAACAGGCTGCTAACTTTGGAAAAACAGACCCAGACATAAACCAGAGAGTTAACCTCGTAAATATACAAACTGCCTCCACAACTAGGAATAAAAGGAAAGGCCGGGCGGTGGGGAAGATAAGTGAGCAGAGAACACAGAAGGCGAATTTCAAAAGGAGAAGGCAAATTTGCCAATGAGTATGTTAAATCAGCTTAACTTTACTGATAAAAGAAATAAGAAGTGAAATGGGTAACTTCAATTTTTTGCCTTTACACGGATAACATTTTTTTGGGTACTACCCATGCTGCTGACAGTGCAGGGAAGTAGTCCAACCGCAAAATGATGCTGGTGACAGCGACAGTGAGGATGAGGACCCAGATGGCCAGTTGTTGGAGGGGACTGCCCTGCAGGTCCCCCTACATGGCCGTCCTTGAGTGGAGGCAGCAGAGCAGGACAAGAAGCAGGTTCTCGGTGTGCGGGACGAGGACGCCCTCAACACTTTCCAGTAGACCCAAACTCAGTGCAGTCAGCCTTACCTGCTCAAAACACCAGTTCCCAGGGACAGCTGTTACTGTGGATCCACTGGCCCTCCACGGGGGAGGGTGCGCACTCCAGGAACAGGACCCACTTTATGACCCACGTCCTCTCCCTGCTTCTGCAAACACCATTCGGTGGCAAAGGGTGACTTGGCCACAAGCCTGGGTCCTGCCTGGCTCCCTCTATGCAGGGCTGGGTGCTGGGCATGACTGGCGTTCATGCCCCATGCAGTGGGGGGCAGACATGACTGGGGTTCACACCCCACCCATGCCCAGCATAGGCCTGGCCAGCAGGAAACACGAGGAAGGTAAGTCTTCGATTCATGACCTTTCTAACCACCAAGGAATCTTCTTTTGATCTTTCAGACTTTACTAGGAGAGTATTCAAAATGAGGGGCTGATTCTGACCCCCACCCCGTTTCTGCACTTCTGGTTATGCACACGCTCATCTGTCAACAGGTTTCTCACTTAAAGTTCTAGAATGAAAAAACCCATTCAACAAATGGATAGCAGATCTCCCTAATTTTTACTTTTACTTTTTTTTTTTTTTTCTTAATTCACATTGAGTATCACTCATCCCCTGCATGGAGGCTTCTACAGAGGCTCTATGAGATGCCAGCCCGTTCTGGCCAGCAGAGATGAAGCGGTGGATAAAAGAGGCCAAGTTCTTCCCATACCAGGGGGCAGAGAGTGCACCCGAGACCTAAGGAATGAGCGAGCAACAGCTGAGCGGGGCAGAGAGAGGAGGACAGCAGCTCTGGGTGGGGCGGGGCGGGGCAGGTGGGGAGGGACGGCTGTGTTCGGGGAGGGACGGCTGTGCTCCCGGAGGGCCGTGGCCTGGGCCTGGCGAGTCCAGACGACAGAGCTGTGGCAGGTTCTGCTTGGCTTCTGCCTGAAAGTGCTCCTTTTTCTCTCCACCCCCTTGCCTCTGAGGAAGGCACAACTTCATGGAAAGGACACCTAATGACTTTCAGGATCAGCCTTTCACGTCATTTTTACACAGAGCAAAGGACTTGCTCAGTGACCTCCCTCCATTCCCTGCAGGGCTGCGCGTGTGGACCGCAGTGAGAGAAAGCGGGGCTGTATTCGCTCCACACTGCTCGGGCCGAGTCCAGCCTGCCCCTGCTCCTTCCCCGAGCTTATGTGAAGAGCCGTGTCTTAGATTCCCAAGTGCCGTTAATCTAAATCAAAACCTAGCTGGTTAAAGACAGTGTGTTCTTGCTAAACATGATGAAAACTGCCACCGTTCTGTCAAATGAATTGCATTACTTGGTATCAATAAATAAAAGTGCAGAATTATTTAAAATTAAAAGTAATGTAAATGTTTATAAGTGTAATGATATTTATTAGATACTCAATAAGAAATTCACTTAAAAAAAACCCAAGAGAATAAACAGATGCTGTGCACCGTGTTTTCAAATGCTTAGATGCTGGCGGTGCTTCGTGTCCCCCGCGCCGGCCCGCCACTGCTCCTCCAGCCTGCACAGACAAGAACCTCCTTCATGGGGGAAGACGCCGGCTTGGGCCCCGCTTACATAAGAGCCCCCGAGTGGCGTCCACCACAGGGGCCTGCGGCCCTGCGTCCTCACCACAAGACCACACTCTGAGGGCTGCAGAGCCGACACAAGCTTGCCAAGTACCCAACTGTACACAGTTTATTATTAATAATAAAATCTGACCACCCAAATCCTCAGTGAAAACCACCGGGACGGCCGCCTGTGACGGGGCTAGAGGGGAGCAGGAACATTCCAGAGCTCCAGTTAAGGGTGGACGGCGCTTCGGATGCAGCGCAGGGATTGTTTTGGGCTGGTAAACGGATCCAAAATGTTTTCTGAAGTGAAGTCTTTTCATATTCTGTGAGCCTCAAGATGGTATTTTTATTGGAAGAGTCTGGTAAACTCTGAGGAAGTAATTTAGACCAAGCTGCTTTTTAGCAATCTGAAAAACTCTTATTTGTTGGTTAGTTGTGGCACAAATCACCCAGCTGATATTTAAATTTTAAACTTCAATTCTTTGATAAGCAACTATTTTCCCTACTCCAAAGAAAAATACATAGGATACACCCTGGGCTACCGGCGAACCACAGAAGCGTGGAGGGGAGGCCGGACCCCAGGCAGAGGCCCCAGTGCTTGGGCCCGTGGCGCACACCCGCGATGTGGGTCCCACGCACGCCTCCTGCACTGCAGCGTCACCAGCACAGGCCAGACAAGTCAAAGCCCCGCGCACAGGGCTCCCACGGGGACCGCGTGCTATTGTCTACGGAAGGCAGCTTTCTAAAGTGGAAAGCAACCCCACAGGGTGGGCCCCGCCCAGCAGGCCGTGGAGCCCCTAAGATACTCAGATTCCTCACACGTGAAGCCAGAGGGCTCAGCTGCGCTCCTGGTCCTCAACCCAGGCAACGCACTAGGCAGCTTCAGAAGCAAGAACACTGCCAGCCGGGTTCCACTTGGGATCAGTTTGGCAGAACACCCTGGAGTGAACAGAGACCCACAGCACAGCCGTCCACTACCGAGAGGGCCCGGATCTGCATGCAAAGACCAGGCGTGCGTGTGTGCAGCCCTGTCTGCAGGGTCCTTCTCCTCAAGGCCTCTGCAGCCATGTCTGGAAGCTCTCCCCTATGCCGCCCCGTCTCCTCAAGGCCTCTGCAGCCATGTCTGGAAGCGCTCCCCTGTGGGCAATCCCTGGGGATTAAGTCACCACCTTATCTAATCAATGTGCCAGGAGCCAGGGCCATCAGGCAGATTTGGTACTCACTTTCAAATCCTGATGCAAAAATTAGACCTACAATGGAATATAAACCCTCCTCAGAGGCCTTCTACCTTGAAATTCTACCAGTTAAAGTGAAAAAACATTTAAAGTGCATTTATTATTTCAAGAGTAAAATGCTGTGATAATTGATAAAAGTGTTAGTTTTATGGACAAAAACAATTACTAAGAACTTGGAAATAGCTAAATAGAGGAATAAACTAAAAACTCAGAGAGTGCATTAGCTATGTACTCTTAGGAAAAATATATCTAGTCTGAAATAGCAAATATTTATAAAAATGTACAACATAATATAGGCATAATAATACAGTTTAGATTATATCCCAATTCTAATTTAGCATTAGTTATAACATTCATTACATTAAAAATAAACTTACAAACTGAATTTACTTAATAGTTATTTAATTCTTTTTAGAACACAAGGATTTCAAATACAAACAAATGAACAAAAATGTCCTATTTGGAAAAACTTCAAATCTAGTGCAGATTAATTAAAAGCAAAATGCCAATTTCACAATCTAAAAATTATATGAAGGCAAATCACCAAACACACCAAATATTAACATATCCTTTCACTCCAGACAAAACGAAGAACATAAACAGTATAAAGAACAGGTTAGGAAACCTGGAGTACTCCAAGCACATGGTGTTTTCAATAATGTAACTTCAAGAATTTTTATTCAGGTAATTCAATTAAACCTACTGGAAATGGTCAGAAGATCTAGACAAAGCACCCTAGCCTTCTGTGTGAAGGCACAGAGAACAACTAGGGCAGCATGGAACACCAGGGCCGAGGTCAGAAACAGGGACCGCGGGGAGCAGGACCCCACCCTCGGGTAGCCTGTTCTCTAGACTCAACAGTGGGTTTCGGAAGAGGCCCTTGATAGGGCCACAAAAACTGAGGAAAATTAAAGGACCCCAATAAACCTCATGAGCTTGTGCGTAGGACCTCAAAGGGATATGCCTTATGAGTAACGATGGCCAGAAATCCACCAGGCCTTTGAAGGCCTGAAACCCAACTCAGAATCAGCTCCAGACCTGACTGCATTCAGATGCTTAAGAAACTTGGCCACTTCTGGTCAACTGCAAGAAGGAAAACAAAGTCCACTCGAAAAGAATGTGTCACCATCCCAGGTCCCCCATCATCACAACAGTGCAAAGTCAGACATGCAACCTAAAATATCCAACCATAGAAATAAACACAATCTGACCAAAAAAAAAAAAAAAAAAATGAGAGAAACAACAGGCAGGAAAGCCTTGCCACAGGGCCAGAGAGTGTTACCAGTCAGACTCCAAAATAACTGCACTACGTGCAGAAAAAAATAAGATCAAGAAAGTCTATGGAAAACTATGAAAAAGGGCCAAATGAAAATCCTAGAACTGAAAACCAAATAAATGTAAAATCCAATGGATGAGTTTAACAGCAGATTATTGTGCAGGTAAAGCACAAATTAGGGAAGTGGATGATAAATTGGAAGAAAATACCCACACTGAGGCAAAAGAAAAAGGAAACAAAGACACAAAAATAACTTAAGAAACTTAGGGGATACTGAAAGCTAATCCAACACAGGTGTATAACTAAATCCCAGATAGATTAAATGGAGAGACTGGGGCAAAGTCAGTATCTGTTGAGGTGAAGTTTGAGAATAATCAGGTCTAAGAATTCATAACAGTATAAAACAACAGATTTAGGAATTACAAATCCCAAAAAGAAGACATTAAAATGAAAGCAACTACAGTTAAGCACATTAAAGAAGAACTTCAAAAAACCAAAGACAAAATCTTAAAAATAGCTAGGGAAGAAAGATTATTTCCAAAGAAGGAACAATAGGATGGACAGCTCATTTCTGGAGATTAACAATGGAAGTCAGAAGAGAATGGAATGGCATTCTCAAAGTGCTGAAAGAAAATAAATACAAACCTAGAATTCTATACTCAGCAAAAATAACCTTCAAAGATTAACCTGAAATCACATTTTGAACAGAAAGAAAATTCATCACCATTAGACCCACATTAAGGTAAACAAAGAATATCACAGATGAAAGTTCAGACATGCAGAAATTAATAAAAGTGGAAAGGATAAATTTATGAGTAAATCTTGACTATATAAAATAATAACAACAATGTCTTGTGATGTTAAAGATAAGTTTAGAGTTAAATACAGGTCAAAATAGTATATAAATTAAGAGTTAAAGTATCCCAGACCCTTACTTTGCCAGAATTGGCAAAAGTATTAATTTAGATAAGGCTGTGATAGATTAAAGACAGTTGTTGAAATCCTACTGATAATCAGTAAAGAAACAGCAAAATAGTGATTACCAAGCTGGTGAAAAAAAATATATATATATATATATATATATATCACTAAAAACATACACTAAAGGCAAGACAAGTGCATTAGAATAGTTGAGATAATTATAATTCATATTGTACAATGATAGATTTAAGCATAAATATATCAATAATTACATTAAATGTAAATGGGCCAAACTAATTGAAAGACAAAGATTGTCAAACTACGTATCAAAACTTGTGGGATGCAGATAAAGTTGCATTTAGAGGAAAATGTATAGCTATATAAGCATATGTTAGAAGACAGAGCTGAAATCAATGCTCTATGTATCTATATCAAAAAGCTACAAAAACCACAATACACCCTAAGAAAACAGAACATAGAGAAATAAAAATACTAGAAATTAATGAAATCGATATTCAACAAACAACATCCATAAAGTCAAAAGCTAGTCTTTGAAAAGAATAACTGATAAACTTCTGGAGAGAGTGACCAAGAAAAACAAAAGCAAAACAAAACAGCAGCAATAAAGAGAAAAAGCACAAACAACCAATATCTGGAGTGTAAAAGAGGACATCATTAAAGGTCTGACAGACATAAAAAACACCAGAAAAGGACATGACACCAAAAACCACTAAGTCAAAAATACAAAAATGTATAACAAAGGCATATATTTCTTTTAAAAAAATACAACTTAGCTAAAGTGAGCCGGGGGGGAAAAATGTCCCAGGAACTATTTTAAAAATTGAATAAGTAATCAAAAACCTTTGCACAAATGAAATCTTAGGGTTAAGATGGCTTTAGCAGTAAGTTTCACAAGATATTTATGGAAAAAGTAATATCCATGTTAAATAAACTTTGCCAGAGAATACAAAAGGAGAGAGGAATGATGCTTAACTCATTCTGAGGCCAGCACAGTCATGACACCAAAACTTGACGAGGACATTATGAGAAAGGAAACTGTTTGGCAATCTCCCTCAGGAACACAGTTGCAATCATACAAAATAAAATGTTAGCAAATCCAAGTTTTCACTACATAAAAGATAATATATTACAATCAAGTTGACTGGGGTTATTTTAAAAATGCCAGTTAGAATTTATATTCAAATAAATCCATATGCTTTACTTCATTAACCACATAAAGCCAAAAAATCATACAATCATCTCAAAAGATGCTGAAACAGCACCTGACAAAAATCAATATCCATTCATATTGAAACCCCGAGCAAACAAGGAATGGAAGGGAAACTTCCATGATCTGATAAATAGCACCTGTCAAAAACAAGTAGACAAATGAGTAAAAAATACAAAGCCCCTACAGAAAACATGGCACCTAACAGTAAACTGGGAACCAGACAAATGTTCCTGCCATCAGGACCACAATTTGATACTATATTGGCAATCTCAGCCCATTCTATATAATAAGCAAGTAAAAGACATAAAAGGTATTCCAATCAGAAAAGAGGCAATCTTCTCATTATTTATAGATGACAGGATTCTAAATGTTGAAAATTCAAAACAATCTATTAATGATTAGGATATCTGAGTTTAACAGGGTTGCTGGACACAAAGTCAATGGTCAAAAACTGACTGCTTTTCAAAATTATAAAAACCAAGCCATTCACAATAGCAACCAAAGCCATCAAATGGCTTGACATATATTTAATCAAATATATGCAAGCCTCCTAAACATAAAACTATTAAGAAATTATTAAGAAAAATTAAAGAAGGTAAATAATCAATGTTGTAAAAATATCAGGTCTTCCTAATTTGAACCACAGAGTCAATGCAATCACAAACAAAACCCCACTAGTATCAATTCCAGGTACAATCAGCTCCTAGGAGATAATTAAAGAGGATGTATCCAAGATTCTGAAGAAAGGAAAGATTTCTTAAGGCACAAAATCATCTAAAGGAAAAGACTGAAACTGTATTAGAAGGGAGAATTTCTGTGCCTGAAAGATAACATTAAGAGAGTGAACAGGCAAAGTACAGAGTGGAAGAAGAGATTTACAGCATGTACAACTGGCCAAGGGTTGATTCCATAATATATAAAGAACAACTCCAAATCAAGAAAAAGGGAGACCTCGCATCAGAAAAATGGGCAAGAGACTGGAACAAGCACTTCACAAAAAGGGGAATATTCATTCGGCAAAAAAAACTTATGAAAATAAACTATCTTATTGGTAATCAAAGAAATGTAGCTGAGGGCATGAGGAGGAGCTGAAATTAAAGTGACTGACAGCAGCAAGTGTTGACAAGGACATGGAGCCACAGGAACCCCTGTACATGGCTGGTAGGAGTGTAAACTGGTACACTACTTTGAAAACTTTTGGGCATCACGTATGAACACTGACAACATGCATGCCCCAAAGTTCAACAACTCCACTTCACATTTGCCCACATGTACCAAGAAACATGTACAAGAATGCACATAGCAATACTGCTTTTAATAGCTCTGGTTAGGAAACAAGCCAAATATCTAACAACTTTAGAAGAAATGACTACATTGGTGCATTTATAAATGGGACACCATGCAGCAATATATAATAGATAATGAATGACCTCTTGCTAAATGCAAAATGGGGATGAATTTCACAAGCATAATGTCCACAGAAAGAAGCAAAACGCAAAAATCCTACATATTAAGGGTTCCATTTACATACATTTCAAAAGCAGGCAAAATTAATCTTCCATGTTAAACATCAGGAGAGGAGTTATCTTTGGGGAAGGGGGAAGTGCATAAGGACTTCTCTTCTGACTCATGGGCCAGCCCTACAAGAGTAAATCCCTCTACTCTCCTTACCTGGAATCCTGTTACCTGAGGAAAATGTATACCTCGACTCCTTTTCAGTATTACCAGGGAACAGACAAATTTAACTGAGCATGTAAGTCCTGGGCAGAAACTCGGAGTGTCTATGAAAGTCCCTTCACTCTGGTGATTAGATCCTGACTGTCTGTGTCACTTAAAACAAGAAGTTGTCCATGGAAAGGATATAAACACACAGTGAGCCAAGGGCTCTTTTAAGTGAAGATCTGAGAGGATGCTCAGAGCTGACTCAGCCCCACGGTGGACCCTGCACCCCGGGGACACGCCAGGGCTCAGACACACTGGCGACGCTGGGCACCGTCCTCGTGCAGAGGAGCCCACGGGTCATCGTCCCAGCAGCCCACAGTCAGCAGGGGCGACACTGTTACCTTTTCCTCAGTAGATGCGTCCCTCTAACTGTCCAAAGTGGGAAACAGCAAATACAGTGTTCTCCTGGATAGTATGAAGTGTGGGCTCTCCTTAGAAGAAAACAGACCATGCTGGTCTCCAGATGTACAAACACAGCCCCCACAGAAGGCAAAATTCAGAGTGGAAGGAGCAGATAGCAAGAGCACGCTGCTGGCCCTCACTGGGCCGTGGGTCACTCTACAACCTCACACCTGCTTTGAAGGCACTTATAAAATGCTCCCGAAAGAAAAGTACTTTGAAAAATGCAGGGCAGAACTCACAGATGAAATTCACTGTGCATCTGGCATGCTTTATGGCTTTTAATATTTTTAAGTCTATTAGGAATCCTGCCAAATAGTCTTTAAAATGTTTAAATCAAACCAAAAGTCGGGCTGAATGCCCCTTGCTTTGATGTTAATATTGAATCCTGCAGCCCTGGATGAAGATAAATCCATGGACTCTGGTTCACTGGGGGAGCTAACCATGGGTGGGCTGACACACTGTCACACTCACTGTCCCTGTCAGGGGGTGGGGGTCCCATTCCTGGCCTGCTTCTTAGAAACCCAGCACAGGCAAAGTGGCAAGAGTCACCATGGTGAGGCTCAGCTGCCCCTAGATCTTTCCCTACTCCCCGTGTGCTGCCCCAGTGCCCTCCTGCACTCACTCCTTCTGCCCCTCACCTTCCGGAGTCCATGCCCCCACTCCCTCCCTCTGCCCGGCCTCCCTCCCTCTGCCCGGCCTTCTGCGCCCGCACTCCCTCCCTCTGCCCAGCCTTCCGTGCCCGCACCCCTCCCTCTGCCCGGCCTCCCTCCCTCTGCCCGGCCTCCCTCCCTCTGCCCGGCCTTCTGCGCCCGCACTCCCTCCCTCTGCCCAGCCTTCCGTGCCCGCACCCCTCCCTCTGCCCGGCCTCCCTCCCTCTGCCTGGCCTTCCGTGCCCACACTCACTCTCTTTGCCCTTCTCCTTGTTCTTGAGCTGCTGCAGCTTCTGCTCCCGGTGCTGCTTCTCCAGCTCCTGCTCCTGGCGGTGCCTCTCCAGCTTCCGCTGGTGTTCCAGCAGCTCCTGCTGGTGCTTCATGGCCAGCATCTCCTGTTGTTGCTGCAAGTGGAAGGAGGAGACAGACGGTCAGAGCCCAGGCTCCACACACACACAGAGACCCAATGAAGACCCAAGAAACCAGCCCAGGCCCTACACGTCTGCCCTGGTGTGGCCCTGGGCACTGCCCTGCCCTGCACTGCTGCTATTTCAGTCCAAAAAAAGAAGTCAGGGCCATTCCGGGCTCTGGGCATTGTCTTACCTTCGAAGTGGAAAACATTAAAAACAAAAGCCATTGGCTTGCTAGAAGAAAATACGCAAGAAGAGTTATGTTATCTTGCAAGTTGGAAATGCTATTTTGAGAACGACACAAAGACAGTGAAGAGAGCGTGAAATGGTACAACCACTTCAGAAAACTGCTGGGCACTTCCTTATAAAGTTAAATGCACATCTGCCCCGAGACCCAGCAATCCCATTCCTAGCTATTTATCCGAAACACGGAAGCACACCCACAAAAAGCCTGTACAAGAATGTGCATGGGAGCTCTGGTCACAGACCAGCCTTGATGCAACCCACATGTTCCCTCGAAGGTGGACACTTGGAGAAATGATGTGTGTTCATCAAAGAGAATACCACCTAACCATAAAAAACAACAACCTACGTGTACACAAGAAAACACAGGTGAACTGCTAAACAGCAGGTGTTGGCAGAGGGTGAAAGAGCAGAGAGAAGAGGCAAGACTGAAAGACCCTCCGCTGAGCCTCTGCACTTGCAGCTCCAGATCCGCACATTCCACCACAGCCTGGTGTGGAAATACGGGTGGTTGGCCCTCAGTGTCTCCAGGCTCTGATCCTCCGCTGGCTCAATCAGTGGAGGTGAAACCCAAAAATATGGAGGGCTGACTATATTCACATGAAGCCCTAAAACAGAAAAAACTAACGCACAAGGATGAAAATCAGAAGAAGGCTGCCTCTGCGGGGGTGAGGTAGGGTTGGGGGTGCCGAGGCCGGAGGAAACGCCCCAGCGGGTGGAGTGTCCGACCTGTTGACTGTCTACAGGGAAGGGCACAGCCACCCAACAGCACCCTTAAGGGCTGGCATTCTACCGAGTATAAATTATATCTCATATTTCAAAAACTGACGTCGACATAAAATGTTTGTCTTAATAACAAAAGGCAGAAGGTAAAAGAAAAACTGCAGTATTTATGACATACAAATTTTATATAAATGGTTGTTATCCATTAATGAGAACATGACAGGCAGCCCACTAAAACGTTGGGCAGAAAAGAACAAGATGCACAGAAGAACTGTTTAAAAAGAAATCGGGATAAATGTTCAAGCTCACTAGTGAACACTTCCCATTTCACTCACGGTATCGGAAAAGGTGAAAAGGAACAATTTGGCCTGGCGCTGACGAGTGTGGGAAGGTGCAACTGACCAGACGCCCTGAGAGGGACTCCCGCAAACCCAGAGCACCTCTGTCCTGGGACCCAACCCAGGCTCCAGGGCTCCCGCACGTCCTTCCGCTCCTCTGAGATGGCTCCGCTCTCGTTCGCATGCTCCAGGGTTCTGTCTGCACACACTTTCCTCGGCTTCCACACAAACCCCTGGGCCAGCCCGGGGGAAGTGCCAGGCCTCCACAGGTGTGAGGAGCTCTGCCACCTGCCTGCCTGGGAGAGCCTCTCTGCCACCCTCTGTGGCCGCACGTGTCCCGGTCATGGTCTGTCTGCTGTCCCCAGTGATTGTTCCGTTACCAGTTGTCTCTTGTCCCAGTGTCTTGTTTATTTTAGACATAGGGTCTCGCTCTGTTGCCCAGGCTGGAGTGCAGTGGCGCAATCATAGCTCACTGTAAGCTTGAGCTCCTGGGCTCAAGTGATCCTCCTACCTCAGACTCCCAAATAGATGGCAGTTAATTAAAAAAACAAAATTGTAGAGAAGGGGTCTTGCTATGTTGCCCAGGCTGGTCTCGAACTCCTGGGCTCAAGCCATTCTCCCACCTCAGCCTCCTGAGTAGCTGGGACTACAGGTGCACACCACTGCACCCAGATACGTTTTCTTCTTTTTTGATGAAACAAGATCTTGCTCTGTTGCTGGGGCTGGTCTCAAACCCCTGGGCTCACGTGATCCTCCCGCCTTAGCTTCCTAAAGCTCTGGGATTACGAGCGTGAGCTGCCTCACCCGGCCACTGGTGGGTTGCTTTTTGTTGGTCTTGCTCCCCTTATGGAGGAAGAGGGGACGGTGAGAGGGTACGGGATAAGCAGGCATCCTGGCAACCAGAGTGGCCCGAGGAACTTTCTGTGGAGGAAATTTAGTGAATCAGGGGCTCCGGGCTGGCTCCAGAGTGGGGCTTCCACCAGCTGGTGATTCTTCCTGGAGGATGAGGCTCAGGCCAGGGAAAGGATGAGCAAAGCATAGAGTGGGGTGTGTGTGCGAGGCAGCCACCGGATGCCCGAGGCATAGAGTGGGGAGTGCGTGCGAGGCAGCCACCAGACGCCCGAGGCATAGAGTGGGGTGTGTGTGCGAGGCAGCCACCGGACGCCTGAGGCATAGAGTGGGGTGTGCGTGCGAGGCAGCCACCGGACGCCCGAGGCATAGAGTGGGGAGTGCGTGCGAGGCAGCCACCGGACGCCTGAGGCATAGAGTGGGGTGTGCGTGCGAGGCAGCCACTGGATGCCTGTGCTCCATGAGTGGCTGCGCTGGCACAGCAGGACTGGCGCCCATGGGATGCCACCCACGTCACACTGTCGTCCCTGTGTATTCTTCAATCCCTCTACGACAGGGGTCCCCACCTCCGGCCGTGGACGGGTAGCAGCAGTCCCTGGCCTGTTAGGAAATGGGCCACAAAGCAGGAGGTAAGTGGCAGGCTAGGGAGCATTCCCGCCAGAGCTCAAGCTCCTGCTGGATCAGTGGTGGCATTAGATTCTCACAGGAGTGTGATCCTGTTGTGAACTGTGCGTGTGGGGGATTTAGGATGCATGGTCCTTATGAGAATCTAACGCCTGATGATCTGAGGTGGTGGAAGTTTCATCCCGAAACCATTCTCCTGCGTCCCCCACCCCTGTCCACAGAAAAAACCATCTTCCACGAAACCGGTCCCTGGTGCCAAAAAGGTCGGGACCGATTGCCGCTCTACAACAAATGCGCATCACTTCAGAGCAAGAGGTGATAACAAAGGAAAATGAAAAGTGGCTGAGGGGTAGGAAAGCAGATGAAAAGGATTACATCGGACGGGCAGAGGCAACCCCGACAGAGTAGGGCCAGCAGGGATGGGGGGCTGGGTCCCTGAGGTGCCACAGCCTGAGAGCCCACGCGGCGTGCTCAGGGTGGGAGGCGGCACAAGCCTTCTGCTACAGGGCTCGCTGCTCCAAGACAACAGGGCTGCCCGCACGGAGGAACCTGCACATCAACGTGCTTGTGCACCCAAGTGTGCGTTCTGAATGTGAGTGAGCGCGTGGGATTGAGCATGTGTGCTCCAGGTAACTGTGAGCGTGCAAGGGCGCTGCCCTTCTCTGTGGGCGCCAACCTTCAGCGGCGTTGGCAAGGTGACGGGGGCAGGCGGTGTGTGTCCGGGAACATCTCCTGCATCTTGCTGGGTCCTTCTTCACATGAGAGGCCCGAGCCGACTGGCAAGCTTCACACCCTTGCTGCCCCTGCACAGCCAGCTTCCAGGTGGCCACCACACCCTCTCCTGCGAGAGCCTGGAGGTCCAGCTCAGCCCCCGGGCACCCAGCACACACACCTTTCCAACCCCTAGGCTTCTGGGAAGATCCAGCCTGCAAAAACAGCCTGGCCCAAGCCCTTTCATGGTCACAGGCGGTGCAGGGGATGAGGAATGGCCTCACCAGGGCATCAATCCCGTTCCTGGACCTCGCTTCCCACTGCTGAGGACTCAGCCGGTTTCCACGACCACCCAGAACCACTTGTAAATAGGGAAGAAAGGATTTCAGCTTGCTCACAGCCTCTTCCTACTCAAGATGAGACATGCCAGTCACCCCGCATGTCTGTGACCTGTGTGAAATTTGAATCACATTGTGTCCACGATGTTAAACGTAACATCAACTGTGTAATTTTGTAAGGTAAAACTCCTCATTCTTCCATTCTGTAAGTAAAGCCCCCAGCCCAGACAAGGGACAGAGACAGGCATTGGCCAACCAAATGGCATTCGGCAACCTCAAACTGGCGCTGGCAGTGAACAAGCAAAATGAACATGATTGCCCCTCATGAGTGCCCCATGTGGATGGAAGGGTGTGCTGGGCCGCTGCCCCCCATGGCCCACCCCGAGGAAGAGTCCCCAGGCAGAAACCGCCTGCCCCATTGCAGTGACCCCAGCAGATAGCTCTGGACTGAGGCTGCCCCAGCCTCCAGGACGGAGACCACAGCGCTGGTCTTTCCCGGCCCACCTGGGCTGGGTCATTGCAGCCTGCAGCCCACAGCCAGCCTCCCCGTCCACTGTCCCATGGCAGCGGAAGTGGCCTGGATGGCAGAGCCCCACAGGAATCGCTTGGAGTCCAGGGCAGTGGGACCTCGGGCTCTAGGCAGGTCTGCCCAGTCACACCTGTGGTCACACACAGCAAGGATTTACAGCAGCAGAGAGAGCAGATCAGCATCCAGACATTGGGGACAGGACCTGCCGGCTCTCCTCACAGATGAAAAGCCCTGTCCACAAACACGCCCACCCACCTACAGCCCTCACAAGGGGGGTGGGACTCAATTCCAGCCAGGAGCACGGGGATAGAAGAGCTGCAGAGGTGGCAGGAGGTAGGCCCACACCCAAGGAAGGAGGGAGGAGAGGAGGGGCTGAGGCAAGACCCTACCCAGGCAGGTGCAATGCAGGCTTGCCTTCCAGCAGGGGTGCTGCTCCTGGCAGATGTGTGGGCACAGGCAAGGCAGGAGGCCTGGGTGGGCCGAGGGAGAGGGGGCACCCACCACGCCCGGCAGCAGCGTGTGCGCAGGAGGGGCAGGGAGGGCCGTCAGGGCTAGCTGCACACACCAAGCATCTCACCTGTATCTTTCCCATGGCAAAAACTTAATTCCGAACAACCAACTTAAATGAACTTCTTGGGGATGGTGGGATAAACATAAGCAAGCTCTTGCCGTGTCCTTCATCAGGGCAGCGCTGGCCTCCGAAGACTCACAGGCGGCCCATAGCACGCTGGCTGGAGGGCAGTGCCCAGGCCAGGCTGCCTGGCTGATAAAACCTGCTCCACCCACCTGCTTGCTGCCAGCGCACTTGCACCTAAATATTTAACCTCTCCGTGCTGGGTTAAATGTGGCACCTGCCCCCAAGGGTTCCTGTGAGGACTGGAAGAGGTGGCATGGGGAGAACACTCAGAAGAGCTGGTCTGGGCTTGCCTCCGTGCGGCCTGATTGTCATCAAACCGTCACTTTTGAAAGATGTCGCCTAGAGACGCCGACTTCCTGCAGACACTAAATATCCTAAGGTAAAATCAGGCCCCCTCAAGGCTAGGGAGATACTACCTGGAGCACACCTTCCTAACGCGGTGTTCCTTGCCGCCACATGCAAGCAAAGTCCCTCTACCAGGACAAACATCTGGGCATGTACAGATTCAGGACTCTGCCCTGGGGACCCGGAGCTGTGTACACAGGGAAAGGTGCCCCGAGAGCATCCCTGGGCCACACTGTCTGCAGATTGGGAATGCCACCAGCAGGTTAACCTATAAACATACAACCCACAGGGCTTCGGGGTGCTTCTCAGCTCAGAAAACAAACACAGTCCTTTGTTGAACTGATCTCCTCGTCATGGCGAGCCCCTCCCCTCTGGCTGTCACCTGCACAGGGCCCCTTGGCTCCCTCCCTCCCGCTGCTCAGAGCTCACTCAGGGCGGAAACGCAGAGCGGACAGATGCAGCCTAATGCAGTCTCACAGTATCTACTTGTCAGCCAGAACCCAGAGGGAAAGTGAGCTCTTTCCACCATCATTTCAAAAAGAATGAAAGCAACAACCATGGCTGCTGGGGATTAAAATTCACAGGAAGGCAAAACTCCCAGAAACATGACTGTGGTGGAGTTTTAATGAAACCAGCAGTCACAAACAGTGACTGATTCCCTACCTGCCCCCGGCAACGCTGTGTGATCTCGGCTTCGCTACTTGTAGGGAGGCATTCCACCTTATTAGATTTATAACAGATTATCTGTAGAGCAAAGCCTGCAAAGTGAAAGCCATCAGGACAAACTGGATTTCAACACTCCCTGTTCATAGCACAAGCTGAGACGTCAGGCCTGTTTCTTGATCTTCAAAGAAGACACAGGGACCCTCTGCCCTCGGCATGCTCGGAAAATGCTGGAACCACAAGGGAAGATGGCCATTTCACTCTTCTTCACTCCTGCCCCACATCCTAGCATCGTGAATAGGTACTTATTCTCCATGGGAACCCTCAGTTGGCTTCTGGAGGGCAGGTGCGTCACTGGAATACCAAATTCAGGCTTCGAAAAACAGGACTTTGAGATGCGCTTATTTTTAAGTTAGCTAAAATTGTCTGCAACTAGTCCCTCGCTAACTTTACACGTCAGACTACTCCATGGGGCAAGGGCTGTTGGGAAGCAATTTTTTGCAGACTGAAACTATAATGAGCAATTTAAAATAAGATGACTACGACCTCATTCTTCTAAGAAAAGCAAAAACAAAACCAATCATAGCTGATCCTATTACTCTAACCAGACTTTAAGTTTACGTTAAGCGTACACTGAACTCTGAACCAAATATAGGAGCCCCAGAATTTAGCTGCTTTGACTCTGACTTCAGAATTTAATATACAAATATTCAAGTGGTAACCCAAAAAGATTTTCACTTTTAAAACGAAACTCTTGACTTTCTTGTGTCTCTTTTTCAACTTGCCAGGGGAACAGCCCCAGAGTGGGCAGATGCCGCGCCCGCATAAAGCGGCAGGGGCCAGGAGGAAAGGGCGGCAGAATGGACGCCACGGACGGTAAGCTGCCGCCCATGGATGGGAACACCAGGTGCAGACCAGCTGGGGTAGGGCCACGGCATCCATGGCTCTCCAGGTGTGTGCCCACGTGCCCTATGTGTCACCTGGCCCCACTGCCCACTGCCACGTGCATGTGCCTCTGCCTAGCTTGGGAGGCAGCTCATGCTAAGCAAAGGTGTGCACGAGGTCTTCCCGTCTATTCTTAACCTTCACCCAGAGGCACCACAGAGGGACTCTGCTCCAAACCAAGAGTGTGCTCCTGCCCCCTGCCTCCCCACCGCACCCCTGTCCTGGCGCAGAGCCCTGGATCAGGCATTCGGCACAGCTCAGGTGAGCTCTAATGCTCACTGACAGCTGCCTCAGGTGACCAGAAAGCTGGGCCTGGGCAACATCTCTTCACCTTCCTCGGCCAGGTATTAAAGAGAATAAGGATCATGACCCACGCTCCCAGTGCCAGAAAACTAGGTTCCTTTCCGTGTTAGTTCCTCCCTGAAAGGAAGAGTCACACTATCAACTAAACAGCTCTGAAAACTCTCTCCTATCCACTGTGCTCTCCATAGCACAAGTCACATGGACACACACACACACACAAGCACACGAAAAAGAGGCCAGCCTTGCTAGTGTAAAAAAAAAAAAAAAAAAAAAAAAAAAGACATGCCACTAAAACAGTGTGTAAATGATTTTTACTCTTCATGCATTCGACTGGGAATAGGCTGAAGTTAGGGAAGAAAAGGCACGCCTTACACCAGTGCAGGGAGAGAGGGTAAGCCTTGCAGGAGGGCGATGTGCAACCTACATACAAAAGGTGCCCTGTACCTGCCCTGGAGGCTGTGCCCTATGGGGGGGTCCCTAAGTGTCTGTCCTGGAGGATGTGTCCTATGGTGGTGGGGGGGTCCCTCAGTGTCTGTCTTGGAGGCTGTGCCCTATGAGGGGGGGTCCCCCAGTGTCTGTCCTGGAGGCTGTGCCCTATGGGGGGGTCCCTCAGTGTCTGTCCTGGAGGCTGTGCCCTATGAGGGGGGGTCCCTCAGTGTCTGTCCTGGAGGCTGTGCCCTATGGGGGGGGGTCCCCCAGTGTCTGTCCTGGAGGCTGTGCCCTATGGGGTGGTCCCTCAGTGTCTGTCCTGGAGGCTGTGCCCTATCGGGGGGGGTCCCTCAGTGTCTGTCCTGGAGGCTGTGCCCTATGATGGGGGGTCCCTCAGTGTCTGTCCTGGAGGTTGTACCCTATGGGGGAGGTCCCTCAGTGTCTGTCCCGGAGGATGTGTCCTATGGGGGGGTCCCTCAGTGTCTGTCCTGGAGACTGTGTCCTATGGTGGGGGGTCCCTCAGTGTCTGCCCTGGAGGATGTGTCCTATGGGGGGGTCCCTCAGTGTCTGTCCTGGAGACTGTGTCCTATGGTGGGGGGTCCCTCAGTGTCTGCCCTGGAGGATGTATCCTATGGGGGGGTCCCTCAGTGTCTGTCCTGGAGACTGTGTCCTATGGTGGGGGGTCCCTCAGTGTCTGCCCTGGAGGATGTGTCCTATGGGGGGGGTCCCTTGGTGTCTATCATGGAGGGCTATCCCTCAGTGTCTGCCCTGGAGGGCTGTGCCCTATGGGGGGGGTCCCTCAGTGCCTGCCCTGGAGGCTGTGCCCTATGGGTGGGTCCCTCGGTGACTACCCTGGAGGCTGTGCCCTATGGGTGGGTCCCTCGGTGACTACCCTGGAGGCTGTGCCCTATGGGAGGAGTGCCCAGTGTCTTCTGGGGAGAGGTGCACCCCATGGGGTGCCTGTATCCCCCATGGGGGTTGCCCTGTATCTCCTGGGAAGAGTTGTGCCCTATAGGGGTGCCTCGGTGTCTTCTGGGGAGAGGAATGCCCTAAAGGGGGTGCCCTGTATCTCCTGGGGAGAGGTCTGCCCTATGAAGGGTGCCCCGTGTCTCGTGGGGAGACATGTGCCCTGCAGGGGGTGCCCCACGCCTCCTGGGGAGAGGTGTACCCTAACTGCTGGGGAAAGGTGTGCCCTGTGGGGGTGTCCCGTGCCTCCTGGGGAGAGATGCACCCTGCAGGGGGTGCCCCGTGTTTCCTAGGGAGAGGTGCACAGTGTGGGGGGTGCCCTGTGCCTCCTGGGGAGAGATGCACCCTGAGGTGGGTGCCGGGGCCCAGTCTTGTGCTTGGGGTCTCCCACATGCCCCTGCTCCATCACTCACCAGCCTGGAGCATGCTCTAGCCATGGCTTCGTGGCCTGTCCTTGGACCCTCTCTGGGTATCCATGTTTGTGTCCTGCCTCTCCATATTCTTCTGGGAGGCATTGATCAGAAATGCAAGAGAGAGGCCGGGCGCAGTGGCTCACGCCTGTAAACCTGACACTTTGGGAGGCTGATACAGGCAGATCACTTAAGGCCAGGAGTTCGAGCCTAGCCTGGCCAACATGGGAAAAACCCATCTCTACCAAAAATACAAAAATTAGCAGCAGGGTGTGGTGGTGCATGCTGGTAATCCCAGCCACTCAGGTGGCTGAGGCATGAGCATCGCTTGAACCTGGGAGGCGAAGATTGAAGTGAACTGAGATGGCACCAATGCACTCCAGCCTGTGCAACAGTTGAGCGAGACTGCCTCAAAAAACAAACAAACAAAAACACAGAAGTGCAAGAGAGAACTTCCACGCTTACCTGGGATCCGCTTCTTGGTGGAAAAGCACCATCCGAGAAGGAGAGGCAAGGCTGTGTCTAAACCACCACAAACAGCCAGGAAACCGGAAAGTCCAAGGGGACCACGAGCATTAAAATTCTCCTAAAAGATCCTATTTACCCAACATTAATAATTTAAGTTATATTTTAAAAATGACTCCCTTTTCAATTATAAAACTCTATTCAAATTCACTGATGATTTAATGACACTAATTAGATTTTGTGTTCAAGAAATCTGTCTGACAAACACTATTGCCAAATGTCACTAACAAACAATATGATGGCTTATAAAGAGAGTTTAAATCATCCAAACAAAAGCCTCCTAATGTAATGAAACCACTATGTAGTTCAAATGGCTTTTATAATCTCTATTTTAATGAAGAAATAAATGATTAAAATGCAAAGAGAAAGGCAACCTTGAACTTCTTTCTGTGCTTTTGAGACCCTGGCCCAGAGACTGGCTCCAGAGCCATGGTTCTAAGGTCTCTGGCCATCTCTCAGAGGGTGATGGGGTGGGCTTTCCCAGGGACCCCTCCAGGAATGAGGAGCATGGCCTGAAGGCCTGGCCTGTAGGAGCGACGTGAGGACTGGGGTCGGGGTGCTCTCTTCCAAGCAGTGAAGCCAGCTCCTGGGGCACCAGAAGAGGAGAGGCAGAGGGGTTCTGGAGGTGAGACCTGGCCTCACCCTGAGATGGCAGCACTGACCCCAACTCAAGTGTCTTCTTTATGTCTTCTGGCCTCCTAGGACTACCTTGAGGAGCCCCAGTCAAACACACGGGGCTTAGGCTTACTTCTCAGCTTCTCATCTACGTCGTCTTCTTGTAAAAGCTACAAATTCAACCAGCACGGAATGAGACATCAGCAATCCCATCTCTTTAACCTCGCTCTGCACCGACAGCCATGGCGGCTTCGGGGTGGGGTCCTAATCATGCACTGTGAATGCTCCAGGTGGATCAACGGCAAGGACTGCAGGGCTCACCAGGGTGCAGTGACAACAGGAAAAATGGAATTCAGCAGGAGCCCCTGAGGCCATCCTCAGCCAGCATCTGTGTTGGCCTGCAGGAAGGCAGGGAAGCCGGAGTGAGTGAGTGGTCCTCATGTCCCCGAGGCAGGCGGGACCAATGGCCGACGGGGGCTTCTGAGAGGCACAGGGCAGTGCCTGGGTCAAGACTGCTGTCAGGGAGTCCTCGGGCTTGATGTGGGGTTGCCAACATGCAGAATACGAAGGAGCTACGGTACTCATTTTAAAAAATTACTTCTAGGAGTCATAGAATGTGAGCCTATGGCGCAAAAACTAAATAAAACGAGTGGCCTCTTGAGGGCTGCTCTTCGCAGATCATGGAAAGGCTGGTGAGCTGAAGCCCTGGGCAGGCTGCAGGGATTGCCTGCAGTGACTCCCCCGGACCCGCGCCTTCTGCCTGGCATGCACCTGTTTCCTGCAGCCAGCTTGAAAACTCTTCTCCCAGGCCAGAAAAACAGAGGCCAGCTGCAGTTGCCCATGGTCAGGGCCGTGAGGGAGGCAAGACTGGCCTGTCCACTGCACCGAGTGGTGCCATCAGTAAAGTGAAGACTGTGTCCTCTCTCATGTCCCACCTGCCAGGAGTGTCAGGATCACAGGGATCCCAAAGGGTATGGTGCTTGTGGAGCTCTCAACTGCCCCACCCTAAACTCGAGTGTGCTTGTTAAAGTGGACAGGGTGCCAGTGGAGGCTGGTGGGCCAATCTCCACAGGGACAAGTGACGTGTTTGTTACACACGGCTGCTAGGTCGCTCTGAAATCTGAAGGCAAAAACGATAAAGCATGGACTTCAAGAGCTCAGGAAAGTGTCCTCTCCTTGGTTTGTCAAACACTGACATTAGCAGGCCCATGCATCTGGGAAAAAGCAGCAGCAACAACTCCCAAGCCAACAAATGCCAAGGCAACGGTGCCAAGTCCAAAGACCCAGAGCCCGCAAGCAGCCCCTCAGGGTCCAGCCAGAAACCTCCCAGCCCCCGTTCCCTCAAGGCCAGAGGGGGCCGAGTACAGAGCTCTCCGGGCTCACCTTTGAAGCACAGGCACTCACAGAATGGTTTGGCACCCATGAGAGGGGACATGGAGCTGTCCCTGAGCCTGTCCTCCAGGGCCAGCCCAGCTTTGGGATGCAGCCTCCCCCACAATCTGCCACTAAGTCTACAGACAACTGATACTACTTTACCTCCATTTCTCGACAGTGATTATGAAATAAAGACACTGAACAAAGTGTCTTACATATAAAGGAAGGGAAACTGGGATCCTGTGGTCAAGAGAATTATCAGCTAGGGCAGAAACAGAGGGATGCACCCCTAAGCTACTCTGCACACTAGGTGGGCACACTAATATCTGTGTGTGGGCTAATGCCAGGTAGCCAAGACCTCAGGTGAACAACTTCTACCCATGGACCACGTGAGCATCTCAGAAGCACCAGGTTGCATACGGTCATAGGCTTTTGATGCCCTACATCTGTGCTGTCCAACAGTTGCCACGAACCACGTGTGGCTCGAAATGCGGCTGGCCTGAATGGAGACATGCCCTACGTGCGACCCAGTGGCTTGCCAAGACTTAGCATGAACAACAACAGCAGCAGTGTTGGTGGCGGCCTGCCACTTCCCAGATCAGGGCACGAGAGACCCTGTGGCTTCCATGTTGGCCATGCTTCCTCTCGGGTTGCTCCCTCTGGGAAGCTGGCTGCTATGCTGTGAGCAGCCCTGTGGATGAGGACCTCAGGCCTCCTGCCTGCGGCCATGTGAGTGAGCCTGAATGGAGCTCCTCCCGCCTCAGTCCAGTCAACCCTGCAGATGAGACCACAGCCCTGCCTGACATCTTAATAACAACATAATGGGAGACCCCATCAGCGAAGCTGCTCCAGGATTCCTGACCCACAGAGCAAGACAATACAAACTTGCTATTTTAAACTGCTAAGTGTTGGGGTAATTTTGTTACACAGATATAGATAACTTAGTCTGGTTTTGTGGGATTTTTCACTTTGTTTACTGTGACCACTAGAATATTTAAAATTACTGGTGGAATTTTAATATACTCATGTATATTTCTATTAGACGGTGTTGCTCTAAATGGTTCTAAATGCAGTGACAGCATATTATAATCACAGATATCATAACTAGCCTGCCAACTATATAACTTTGCTACATATCACTAGTACATATTTCCAATTGATTTAATTTTAAAATCTGGTATCAGATTAAATATTTGTAGACAGTAAGTACCAAAAAAAGTCTTTTTTTTCTTACCGCATTTAAATTAAAAGAAAATATTATCTTTTTCTAATTATAAAAGGTTAGTAGAGAAAATAGAAAATATAGAAAAGTCCTAAGGAAAAGAAAACACAGATTTGTCAATACACCTCCCAGCAACGATCATTAAGGTTCTGGTGCTTCTTCCCTTTGGTAGCTTTTCTATTTCTGAGCATGTTTCGGATGAAATTAGGCGATAAGCATTTTTCCTATTTGGAATATGCTTCCACTCAATGACTTTGGACCGCCGTTCCCACTCAGCACCACGTCCTCCACAATACACGCAAGTGCTGCCCGCGGTTTGTTGCCTGGTGTTACCGTCCCAACGCAGAAGGCCTCCTGCAGGAACCCTGCATCATGCCTGGGGCCCCAGCACACTCCGCGGAGGCAGGGCTGGAGTCACCGGGAGTTGAGGGTGCCGGAGGCCTGGCCCACCCGCAGCCCCGCACCGCGCCTCACCTTGATGTGCTCGTGGAGCTGCGCCTCGTGCTGCCGGGAGAGCTGCTCGTGCTGCCTCTGGAACTCAGCGATGAGGATCTGCCTCTGGATCTGCTGCTTCTGCTTGAGCGCCAGGAGCTCCTGCTGCAGCTGCTGCTCCCGCAGGGCCGGCTCTGCCACAGGCAGTGAGAACTGGTGGTCCAGGCGCAGGTCCATGGGCACTGCCGAGGGGGCCACTTGCAGAGGCAGCGCCGTGGCCACATCCACTGTGGGAAAAACAAGCAGGAGAGCCGGTCACTGCCGCCCTTTGCTGTCCCTGGGCCCCAGAGCCCCCACCCAACACACTGGCCACCTTCACGGGGCGGGGGGGGGGTTGTGACCATTTGAGGATTGGATACCCCTCTCCCCCTGTCCCCCTCTTGCCCAACAAACTCAAAATGCAAGACTCAGAGGCCTCTGGGGCCCATTCCTCAAGGGCAAAAACCACAAAAGCCCATGGGAGGTCAGGCCAGGACGCACTCCACAATCCCTGTTCCTTCCTCCACCCTCCCCGGGAGGCCGGCTCTCAGAGGACCCCGCTACAGGCCCAGAGGCCTTGCTGACGTCATTTCTAGAGGCCAATAATGAGAAAAATAAAGAAAAAGGTTGTGGCTGTTCAAGGAAAAGCGCGGGCGCCAGGTCTCAGCCAGGAAGACTGCCTGTCCTGCTCCTCTTCCTCCTCTTCCATCGAAGTCACCGTGCCGCTGTGAGAGCCACAAGAGCGTGTGCCCCAGAAGTGGTCCAGACAGACGCTCGAGACCCGGAGCCCGTTTCCATGGTGAGACAAGCGCCCCCTTGGAAAACATGTTTACCAGACACAGCCAACGAGACGTGCTCCTGGCTCTTGGCACAAGTGCGTTCCTCTGGGCATGCGTTTCTGCACCTCGCGAAGAAATGGATTTTCTGCCCTGTACTAATGTGCTATTGAGAAAAGGCTACAAGTAATTTTGATGAGGAACAGAAGCTGAATCAATTTCATTCCTTACAATCAATACCAAATGAAAGTGAGAAAAGTAACACAGGAAGAAGGGTAGGTTTAAATTACAGATATCACAAACAGCCCGACCTGCGCACCCCTTTTACGGCAGGTCCCTATTCTGAAAGCATGCAGTGTGTGCAGGCACTCACTCTGAGCCAGCACTGCTCCTGGCACAGCCCAGGGACATCCCAGCGTCACTTCTCAGACACGCGACTCTGCCGAAAACTTCACTGAGAGTCCAAGTGAGAGCCCAGCCTGCCTGCTCCCCTCCCACAGGCCCACCCCTCAGAAAGCTCCCCATAACCAACACTCATGTGACCTGGGCCAAGTGGGGAGGTGGGGCCTTGCCCTCTAGGAGGGTCTCAAGCTCAGAGGGGTGTCTGGGCCAACAAGAGGGCTGCTGAGAAAACAGCTCCTCGCCCCTCAGGGTCAGCACCTTTGGGCGTGACCTTGTCCAGGTGCATCCCTGAGAGCAGCCCACCCACGTTCACCCTGACACTCAGCCCGTCTCTGGACTGGCTTAAGACCAGGCCTTGTCAGCAACTCAGTTCCTAGGAAAACCTGCACTCCACAGTCTCAAAGCCACCGATTTGGGTGAAACAGCCCATAGGTGGCAGCTGCCCCTGGGTGCAAAGCATTTCCACAGTCACTGCCCAGGCAGCAGGTCCCACACTGGCTTTGTCTCCAAACCACTGGAGGTCCTGGTCCCAGGACTCAGCCTTCTCCTGAGAAAAGGGTGGGAAATGCTTTGGGGGAGGCCTGGGCACTGGCCGGAGCTTGGGGTTCTGATCCCTGGGTTGCCGCTTAGCCGTGGGAGCTGCAGTCACCTGAGCTCCTGGTGCCCAGGGTGAGGGGTGCTCTCAGCTTCTCTGGCTGACTTCACTGTCTCCTCACCCCTCCCCTGCCCCACCGCAGTCAATCATGCTCCTAACCTGGCCCTGCTGGCTGCCCTGGCTGGACTGGCTTGAACCTGAGGAGTGCCCAGGCCTCAGGCCACGAAGACCAGCTCAGGCCACTTTCCTGGACAGTGAAAAGACACAAAGCAACCCAGAAGGTGACAGAAGCTTCTGAATATATCTGATCACATTCCACAGCGCAGCACGGGCTGCCTCGTTGTTATTGTTGTTTTTTAAATGAAATCCTCCTCTCTGACTGTTTCTGTTTCTTTCCCCAAATCAGTGAAGTGCAACCCCCAACTTTTAAAATGCATGTATTTAGTTTTTAATTGGGTGTCGACTTTGACACAGTAAAAGGTTTTCATTTGCTATTATGTGAGAAGAATCTACGCACATAAACTGCGTGTTCAATGTGCGGAAGCAGGGAGTAGGGGTCCGCCCACCCCCCACCCCGCACATGGGTGAGGACTGTTCCATGTGCAGGAGCAGAAAGCAGGGGTCCACCCACCCCCCACCCCACACATAGGTGAGGACTGTTCCATGTGCAGGAGCAGAAAGCAGGGGTCCACCCACTCCCCCACCCCATATGTGGGTGAGGACTGGACCCTATTCATTTCCTTTCTTCCCTTTTCTGATCATTTTTATGACAAAATATAGCAAAATGGAAAAACTGCGTAAGCAATGCTGGTTTTATGAAACATCAGCGTTCACCTACATTTGCTTCAGACTTTCTTTTAAGGAATAAAATATATGAAAGGCAGGGAGGAGAGCTAAGTCAGCAAACTCGCAAACTCGGAGAAAAGAGAACGGGGCCTGGCTTCTTGAAGAAGACTCAGCTGGCGGGCTCCCTGCTGTGGGCACTGGGGGCTACGGGTCCGGCTCTCACAAGCACGGCGGTGCTAAATGCTTTCCTGAACACACAGTCTCGTGAATGACTGTCAGGTTGCGGTTCCCTCTTCCGCGTTCATGGCTGTGATTGGCACGCGGTTCTCCTGGGACCAGTGCCCTGCAGTGACTTCCTAGAGTGCCTCAGGTGAGCGGGCCCGTGCTTTCCAGGGATAAACACAACTTTGTTCTTCTAAGTTACACAGTCAGCACCCATGGGTGAACCCATCGGGGAAGGCATACACTTGTATAATGTAGAAGAACAAAGTTGCATTTATCTCCAGGAAGGGATAAAGTTAGAAAAACAAAATAGCATCAACAACGACCATGTTATTTAGAATGCTGGTGTCTATATTTGTAGGTGAAACTGGTCTCTCTCATATTCTTTCTGTTTGGTCAAACAGAGACATTTTAGCTTGAACAAATAAGCACAGGGAATAAGTAACTGCACAGCGTTGCATCTTGGAAGCTGGGTTATTGCCTACGTCTCGCCTCATTTATCCCTGTGTGGGGGGCCTGGGTGGGACCCCTGCTTATAAGATGTGCTGCTGTCACCCAAGGTCCCATGTAGAAACAGGGTCCCACCACAGGCGCTGGGCAGAGGCCTGACCCGCTGCTGGCTTTAGCGCATCCCCCTCCATTTCTAATTTCTCACAGATGGAGGGAGGGGGCAGCATTGTAAACGTCTGGTGTTAATCTCTTTAAAAACCGAACATAAAACAACTTTTAAGGGATTTTTTTTATTAACTTCAAAAACATGACATGCCCGCATTTCCACTCCTCATTCAGTTCCCAAAGAACATTCATGGCTCCTGCTGTGTGCCAGGTGCTGTGGGAACGGGCCCAGGGCAGCCGCTGGGGCGCCGAGGAGCACAGGAGCTGATGGCAGGCCCAGGGGAAGGGCCCACAGTGGGCTGCGTCTCACCGAGGGCAGGGGCTGCCTGAGCAAGGACCCAGAGGTCTGGGTGCAGGTGGAGGGTCATGGGGACGGGGGAGCCCAGAGACCAGCCTGCCATCTGCAATCCTAGAGTGTCACTCAGGCTTGGGGCCGGGAGAGCAGCCAAGAGCGCGAGGGGAAGCAGCAGCAACTCTGGTGCTGGGGAGGACCCAGCTTCTCAGGACAAAGTGGGGAAGGCGGGGCAGGCTCTGCACACCCAAGGTTGGCTGGCCGAGTGGAATTTTCTTTCTTCAAACTTTTCTCAGATTCCCCTGAATCTGGAATCACAGGACATCTTAAAAGGAAACCCAAGTTCATGTTTGCTCCAAAGCATCTAATAGAGATGACACTAACATGATCTTGATGCAAATGCCACCGAAGCTATTTCATCAGGGTCAGAGGCAAAATTCAGTGTACTGAAATTCCCATCACAACGCAGGCACCTGGCCAGATCTGAGCCCGGGGTGGTCAATGCTGATGTGGGCCAAGGGCCCCCACCACCTGGGAGTTTTCAGAAATGGAAAATGATCACAAGGTTCCTCACAGGGATGCCGGCCAGCATTCATCATTGAGCGTGGAGGAGATGCGCTCACTTGGATGCCAAGGAGGACAGGCAGCGCCCTCTGAAGGTAAGAATTGCTCCCTGGATGTAGCCTCATCTGGATAACCTACACAACTCATCTTTCCATCCAGTCTACTCAAGAGCTATTAATGCTTTAATTCCTAAGGCATTCATTCTTTAATCTGTTCCTTAAGCTGTTTTCTTGGAGATTTGTACAAGTTCTGCAAATTAATTCAAATTTCATCTTAAAAGGAATTTGTCAACTGGACTGAGAGACAATCAAAACAGTCAGACACGGAACATGCTGAGCGCCACGCTGCTGCCGGGGAATTCTCTTCTGAAGCTTGGGTGACGCTCCTGCCCGCCTCACAGGCACACAGCTGAACCTCCTGTGCGTGCATCACCTGAACGGTCACAGCTCGACCCAAGTCTGCTCTTAAATTCCACCACCTGTGAAACAGCCAGCGAGCAGCCTGGCCCAGCACTCCCCACTCCCAAAAGACAGGACCCTATGGGGGAAGAAACTGCTGCCCAAATCTTCTGAATGTCGCTTACAAACTCCTTTTTCTGCTAAAACCTTCCATTCTGTGACAGCACAGAGAGGATGATGCAGACTGCAGCTGGGAAGCTGCTTCCTACTCCTCCAGGCCCCTGCTGGGTCACCCTAGAGCTGCCAAGGCCAGCAACTGAGGAGGAGGAGGGCAGGCAGGCAGGGCTCCTTCCAGCCACTCCAGCTTCTCCAGCAGTTTAGCGCATGCTGGAAGGTGCTGGCGCTGATCCGCCCCTGGCAGTGCTGGTGAGAGAGGCAAGTTACTCCTCGCAGATCTGTGTCTCCAGCTCGGTGCGCGTCTCCCTACGGACATGGAAGAGTGCGGGTCCCCTGAGGAGCAGGGAGGCGAGGGGCCCTGCAGAGCAGCCACCTTCTGCTGAGAAGGAGCCTGGACTCACTGGCACAGTGCAGCCAGAGGGGGCTTCGGTGGGCACCGAGGCTGGGGAGTCGGGCTCACCAATGCGCAGAATGCTGTCGCTGTTCTCACTACGGCACCTCCTGCATTTTCACTCATTGTGGGGAAGGGATGTTCACACTGCCTTGGTTTACCGGACTGCCACGTGAAACTCCACTATCTGCTAAAGTAAGCTAAGAGCAGAGCAGAGAAAATCAACAGCAGCACACGCCGCCTGCATCCCATGCGCACCTCCGGCCACGGCCATTGCTCACCTCTGAAGACAATGCTGCATTTATGTTGGATTCAATAACACAAATGGAGCGTTCACAGGGCAAGGAGACCCACCCCAGGGCTCCTGAGGGCTTCCTAATGAGGATCCTGGGAGCCGGGTGGGTGGGGATGAGGCCCAAGCTGTCCCAGGCCCGGCCCCACACACCAGCTGCAGAGATGAGAACCACAATCGCATTCACGCATTCGTGCGCCTACGGCTGTGTCAGACGTGACTTGTGCTATTTCTGTATCAAAAACCATTCAAAATGCCACGAGTTCCCAACAGAAGCTGCTAGTGCTTTTGACCCAAAGCACCCTGAAGAAAACAATAAAACCTTCTCTCCTTAAAGAATGCAGCATCAAAACAAAAAAGTCTGTATTCTCATGAATATTCTACGGTACAGCAGAAAACGGCTTTTATAGGTTGTGCCTTGAGAAACATATTAAGACAATCAGACTCCTGACGTCAGTGAGAGCACAAAGGCCGCATTCAGAGTCCAATGGGAGACGGTCAGTGTGCTGTGAATGAATTCTCAATCACAAACAGAAAAACCTGTTAGTCTCTCTCTCTCGCTCTTTTAAAATAAATGTTCATAAAGAAGCATACTGATTTTCCACGACATGCTTAGGTCCTCTTCTCAGGACGCGATTTCATGCCATCATACAGATATGGAAGAAAAAGAGGCACTATTCTTTAGGTAACACAGTCAATGTTTAGGGTCTCTTCAAGTAAAGAATGACTCATTCAAATCAAGGGAAAAATAATAGATATTTCAACTATGTAACCATGATTTCCTCTTACACTGATATTTTGCCTCTATGTGGGGGTGGGGGGAAGAGAGAGGATGGGACAGAAGAGGAGGGAGACAGCACATCAGAAATGCATGACTTAGCTACAATGTCCTTCACCCTTTATTTATTGTGCAGTGTGCCATCCATGCTGAAGAACAAGTATGTTTAGTAAAAGAACAGTAATGAAACCAGCACCAGTGCATCCTCCGCTTCAATGAGGCCCAAACGTCACCCTCTGCGTCCCTTCAAACCACATGCACCCCCTACCCCGTGAGCAACATCCTGACCTTGTTAAGTGTCCTCTTGCTTTGCTATGATAATAACATCTGCATATATGTGGCCCTGAAAACACGTCCTTTGCTTTCTGAAGACTGAAGGCAGCAACACCAGTGCAGTGGAAGGAGGAGTTGACGATGGTTCCCGGGACAGGACAGTCTCGAGTCCGAGTCTGCCGTCAGCTTCTGGGACAGGGGACCAGAGCTTCTTCTGGGGTGAAGCCACGGGTGACCCCCAGGAAACCAAGTACACCCCGTCTAACATCTGGCAGGGCAGTCATGTGGACCAGAACCAGGTGCCAGAAGGTGTGGTCTGGGGGGTGAGCTGCCCTCCATGGTGGCCACCTCCAGCTCTCAGGTGGGAACTGGGCAGAAGACCCCCTTGGAGAAATGAGTGACCTCGGGGAATCGAGGCAGTGGGGCAAGGAAGAGAGAGTGGGGCCATGTGGTCAACAGAGGTCAGGCACAGACAAGCGGCTGAGTGTTGCATCCTCAGGTTTAGGCAGCGAGGCAGGCAGTCTGGTGAGGCCGGCCCAGACGCTGCCTCCGAAGCTGTGCCACTCACCCCGGGCAGGCGCTCCCTCTGTCTGCACTGCTGCTGGCCTGGACGGGTCCAACTCCTCCAGGGGATTCCCTCTGTCTCTGCCCTACCTTAAGTCTCCCGCTTCCTTTGTCCCAGCCATCGTCTTCCTTGGTTTATTTTCTCACTCTGCAGAACTCAGGCTCCAGCTGTGTCTTAAAAAGGGAGGCATGAGAGTAAGTTCTGCACATCTGAAAACGTGTCGATTCTCCCCTTCACGCGTCCTGACTTTGGCTGGGTATAGAATTCCAGCTTGAAGACCATCCTTCGCCTTCGGGATTCTGAAGGCGCAACTCTGTTGTCTTCCTCTCCCAGTACTGTCAGGAAAATGGGCGCCACGTGATGCTGCACCTTGAGTGTGACTCGATGTCTCTCTCCGGGTATCTATAAGGTCTTCTCCAGGCCCCCAGCGTTCCGAAATTTCGAAGCCGTGTGGTTTGGTGAAGACCTTTCACACCCACTGCTGGGCGCCTGGCTGGTCCTTTGGAGACGGCAGCTCCCGTGCTCCCATCGTAGGGGGCTCCCTGAAGCACTTCATCAAGGGTTCCCCTTTCCCATTCTCTCCTTCTGGAACTTCTACCCCTTGAGTAGGAGATCTCCCAGAACAATACTGGGTCTTTTCCATCCTCCCTGTTTTCCTTGTCTTTGTCTTACACGCTTCTTCATGTGTGATTTCCTTAAATGTATATTCTAACCTTTTAAATGAGGTTTCATGATTTTTGCTATTTTGTTTCTAACTGACAAATAAAACAGCCATTTTCAGAGGACAATGGACCCTGGATATTCTTTTTTTAAAATGTCATCCTGTTCATATTTCCTAGATAAAATATCTTGTCTAGTCTCTGAAGATAGTAATGATAGCTCACTAAAAGTTTGTGTGTGTGTGTGTGTGTGTGTGTGTGTGTGTGTGCTGAGTGTCACCCAGGCTGGACTGCAGTGGTGCGATCTTGGCTCAATACAACCTCCACCTCCCGGATTCAAATGATTCTCATGCCTTGCCTCCCGAGTAGCTGGGATTACAGGTGTGCACCACCATGCCCAGCTAATTTCTCTCCCTTCCTCCCTTCCTTCCATGTTGGCCAGGCTGGTCTCAAACTCCTGACCTCAGGTGATCCTCTCGCTGTGGCCTCCCAAAGTGCTGGGATTACAGGCCTGAGCCACCAAGCCTGGTGACAAGTTTTCTTTTCCCTGTGGAGTCTCTGTTTGCTCTCCACCGTCCCTGCAAAAGCCTCCCCTCAGGTGCCTGGTTGCCCCTGGTTATGTGTTGCCGAGTGTGAGTGGAGGCACGAAAACCACCTGCCAACTGTGGGCACAGTCTGGTTCTCAATGCCAGGCTTCATGGAGGGTGACTGGAGGTGGCATCATCAGGAACCCCCTGGCTCAGTGCCCAGAGAACCTTCCCCTAGGGCTGGCCTACTGTCCACGAGAGGCGCCTCTCCATCCTGGGACTAGAGGGTGAGAGCTGGGCCTTCAGTGTACCAAGGGAGGGACCCCCTACTCAGTGTTTGCTGTGGACACAGTGACTAGCCCCCCGTTCTTGCTGCAGTACCCACATCCTCAGCTTGCTCCTGTCCCCATGCAGAGGCGCTCAGGATCATAGTCGCTGGAGAGCACCCCTTTGTGGCAGCGCAGCTTCCATCTGGTGAGTTCTCAGTGCTCCTCGTGGTTGGCTGAGATCTGTTTTTTGGGTCTGCTGAATCGCTGTGACTCTGTCACCTGCTGTCAGTTGCCAGGCTCTCATTCGTGTCGCCCCTCTTCTGTTCTCCCCATCTTTGTGAGCTTATGACCTTTCTCTGGAATATATATTTTTATCTTTCATGAGAAATTCCAAAAATACACAAAAGCATGAAGAATAGTGTAATCAAGCCGATCTCAGGTCCTCTGCTCATCCACCACTTCCCCACCTTCTAGATGACAGGGAAGCAGGCCCCAGTCGTCACTGCGAAGACTTCCAAATCAAATGCCATCAACACACGCAAATAAATGGACAAGTCTGTAATATTATGAAGTAGCCAGAAAGTGTCCCCATAGTTTCATAAACACTTTTAAATATTTTGTTCAAATCACGATCCAAATACATTGTAATTAGCTGATGTATCTTTTAAGACCCCTTCCCCTGACCTCCTGCTTCCTGCCCCCCACCACCCCCACCCCGATAATTTATTAGCTGAAGACATCGGGTCATCTGCACTTTGCTGATTACACCCTGGTGCTGACGAGCAAGGCTCTGTCCCCCGTTCTTCTGAAAGCTGGGTGCTCACCGAGAGGCCTGGTCAGAGGCAGCTTAGACTTCCCAGCAAGGCCTAAGGCGAACCCCTGCTCTCTGGGTGGCTTTTTTGTGTTGCGAAGGCTCAAAATGATCACTGACTAGATTCTCTCATCAGGGTTAAAAACAGAGCTCTTCGAGTCCCATCAGCCCCTCTCCATGTGTTAGCAGGACCATTTCTATAACGGGAAGGAATCCAAGATCAACTATCTTGTTACTCTCACAAACAGCGCTTATGAGAAAGGCAGTGTCATGCTTGATTCTCTTCCTCGGTTTGCCCATGTCTGAAAATCCTGAGTGGGTCTCGTGGCAGCCTCCAAACTCGAGCAGTGAGGAGGGTGTGTTTTCCGGTCACTGTTTACGAATGCTCACAGTCCTGTCCTTGACGAGCAGGAGCCCCGTGGTTGGATCGGGCGGCCCTCCAGACCCTGTGAGTGCTCTCTGAGAGCAGCGCCCTGTTCTGCTACCAGATGCTTTGGGGTCTTCCTGTACATTTCTTTTTTTTTTTTTTTGAGATGGAGTCTCGCTCTGTCACCCAGGCTGGAGTGCAGTGGCACGATCTTGGCTCACTGCAAGCTCCGCCTCCCGGGCTCACGCCATTCTCCTGCCTCAGCCTTCCGAGTAGCTGGGACTACTACAGACGCCAGCCACCACACCCGGCTAATTTTTTTGATTTTTTCAGTAGAGGCGGGGTTTCACCGTGTTGGCCAGGATGGTCTCGATCTCCTGACCTCATGATCCATCTGCCTCGGCCTCCCAAAGTGCTGGGATTACAGGCGTGAGCCACCGCGCCCAGCCCTCTTCCTGTACATTTCTTGACCCCTGTGTGGGTCCCTTTCTTGGGAAATAGTCTTAGAGACCACAGTCTGGAGACTGGGGTAAGCGCTGTTATTGGGTTGGGACTTACGAACTATCGATCTTTACTGGCGTTTTTGTGAATTTCCTGAGGGACGGACATGCGTGTTTGACCTGCCATCCCTCCTCAGAGCTATGGAGAGCACCTCGCGCTGAAGCTGACATTCAAACGCCTGAACGGTCATAACTGAGACCCATTCCAAACGCTGACTTACATGTGATGTCATTTTCCCCCAGTGTTCTTAACTGAATTGCAACTGTTGTATTTACCATGGTGGGGAGGGGCACGCACGCAAAGTAGAGACGAGGTAGAGAAAGTAGAAGTATTCTTTAAGGTAAAGATATAAAAATATTCTGTAGATAACATGTAACTTAAGTGGCCCTACCTTGGAGCTTCGTATGTAGGTGAGTTTTTATATGCCACTTCTGTTTCTCTCATTTAGATGGATATATGCAATGCCAAAGACAAAAGCTTATGTTAACAATCACTGTAAGTTAAATTATGCTTGAAAAATAAGAATAAAAAATATTATGGTGCAAGAAGAAGGTGCTTTGTATTGCTTTCCATTGAAATCAAAATGTAAAGAAATAAATGCAAAGAGAAGATACAGTGGTATTTATGGATGTGCACAGGGGAGGCTTTCTCTGTGTGGGGCTGGGCGGGAGAGAGACGCGTCACAGGCAGATTGCATTCGACGCCGTGCTCGGAGTGGCGTTCTCGGTGCAGAGTTCTAGCATGAAGGCAGCTGCAGCACATGGCCAGGCCTGGATGGCACTGCGCTTTAGCCTTCTAGAAAAGAAGGGAGGTGGAGCTCTTCAGGCTCCCTGAGAACTGCAGCAGAGGAGACTGCTCGCTCGAGCAGGAGGTGGGAGAGGGCCCACACAGGAAACTTCCCCTGCCTCCTTGTCCTCTTCACTACCGGGGAATCACAGGGCCTGGGGTGAACTCTGGCCCACGGCCTTTAGTGCTGATGTATTAATTCATTTAAGGGACACCCCGCTTGACAGGTGTGGGAAACTGATGTACAGACAGTTTTAAGTGACTTGCCCAGGGCCACACACTAGTGCACAGCAAACCAGAACCCTGGCATCCTAACCTGGCTGAACAGTGAGAGGAGGCTGGTCTTGCTGGAAACATCAGGGGCTGAAGGAGTGTTATGGGGAGCTCACAGGTCACCCAGGGGGGTGCCTCAGGCTGGGTGTGGTCAGCAACACAGGGATTTGGGAGCAATGAGAGGGCCTGGGTCCTAACCTGCCGTAGAGACCCAAGCATCCCTGAGGCCTCAGAACTTCTGCTCCGGAGTCGATGGTCTTCCAAAGCCAGCACTGGGGGCCTGCCCGACCCCTCGGCCTGCTCTGTGTGGCTTGGGCTTTGGTTTCATTCCTGACCAAAGGCCAGGCCCCCCTGTAATTACTATTTGCTGAGAGCCTACAGCCCACAGCTCTCCGTGAATAAAGTCACTTTTTCCTAAAAAGCTCCTGGGGCTGTGGCAGCAACCTAGATCTGCTCCCACAAAGCTGCTCAAGGCCGAGACAACAGCCCCAGAGGCACAGCCAGGCCCCACCTCCCTTCTCAACAGCACCAGAAAAACAGGTGACGAGAGGGGAAGCCCGGCCAAGCCCAGCCTGCTGAGCACAGAGATGGAAACGACACATTCCTGAAACAGTATTTTCACTGCTAAAAATAAAAAGCTACAATTAATACCAGGTGTGCATTTTACTCCACTGTCTTTTTGTTTTTGTTTTTATGTAAATCGGCTTTCACTTGCACCAAACTCAAAGCACCTTCCAAATCTACGTTTTCAAACTGCTTTCTTACTGGCAGAAAAAAAGTCTAAGTAGATGCATGCATAATAAGGTATGAACTCAGCCCAAATCTGTGCCACTGAGAAGGGTGGTCCCTGCAGTTGGCAGGATCTTTCCCCAGCCTCCACCCCCCTGCAGGCATCTCCAGCATCCCAGGGCTTCTCCGGGTCTGCTGGACCCGAGAACATTCTGATGGAGAAGGCGAGCGGGTGCTGCTGGAGGGCTGGCTGTCTCCATGCCCTCACCTCATCCACGAACCTTGGAACCAGCCTGAGGGGACACTGGCGTAAGATGGGGACTACCTATAGTAGGAAGCTCTGCAGTCTCCAGTACCAGACTGCAGGATGGTATTTGTCAGGAAAGCCTAATGAGAGTAATCTCCACCCAGAATCTCCTTTTAGGTTGTCTCACAGGACACTCAGATAGAAAGACCTGGTCTCTCCAAATTTCCAGTGTGGACTTAAGACACGAGAAGAAACAGGTAACACCTGGAGACAGGCAAAGTGGGGCAGTGGACGGGGCGTAGACTTGGGTGGGGTGTGAGTTCAGACCCAGCGGGGTGACTCTGGAGAAGGTACCCTGGCCTCCATCTATCGGGGCGACAGCAGGATGTCTGCTTGTTGCAGGGCAACCGGAGCTCTGGGAGAAGGGCTGGCATGGGTGTGGCTGGTATTCAACACAGGACTCTGGGAGAAGGGCTGGCATGGGTGTGGCTGGTCTTCATCACAGGGACAGGATGCACCCTCCACGCGGGAGGGGCGGTGGCAGGGCCATGCAACATGGAGAATCACCGTCCAGGAGAGACAAGGCAAGGCTTCCTCGATGGAGCTGTACCCCCTGACCTCATGAGCTCCACACACTTCTGGGACAAAACAGCAGGCCCAGAAAAAGCTTTTCATCACCCAGGGTGATAAACCCAGTGATCAGGATGCCACGAGTGTGTCCAGGAGGGCGCAGGGCTGCAGGTTTTGGCATGTCCTGTTAGTTGAGCACCAGGAAGGCAAAGAGCATTGACAAGAAAGGAAGGGCCTGTCCACGCCGCCTGAGCAGCAGCAGACTGATCGCCGCACCTGGATGTAGGCTACGGGGTGCAGCACAGCCCAGGCAGCAAGCCCAGACTCCTGGGTGCTGGCAGCGCTGAGTGGAGCCTCAGCCCTACAGGCACACAGCCCTGCAGGGCTCCTGTGCCATAGGGTGGCAGGCAGAAGCTACCGCGAAAAGGCCAAGGGCCTGACCTGTCCACTGGTCCAGCAAGAGAGCGGGAAACACCAAGGGGAAGAGCTCAGTAAGCCCAGTGTGGATGCCTAGCCCTGGAGACTCCAAACCCCCAGCAAGTGGGTGCCCACCCAGCACAGACAAGGTGGACACAGGTGCACCTGGGAAGAATCCTCCCTGTCCCTTTTTAATAATAGAATTATTCTAGCAAAATCAGTGTCAGCTTCACACACGAGTCAAGGATAAAAATACGTTTGACCGTGCTCAGATTTAGAAAATTCCATTTTTTACTCTAACTAGAAGCCAAGAAGGCTCATTGGAAAATACAAAAATTACACTTTCAGGATATAAGAAAGAAACCAAAGGACCTGCCTTTCCCTCCCTCCAGGATCACTAACCAGTATGAGTCCTGTGGTCTCGAAGCTGAACCGCTTTAACTGAAACAGACTTGGGTTCTAAAACATGCATGAACTGAACGTCCACGGTCTGACTGTCTTCTGTAAAAGGAGGGTGTGGTGACTGCCGTGGTGACTGCCAAGGCGACCACAGACAGTTGCCCATCCCTGACCCATAGTCCAGTAGGGAAAGACTTCACTGCAGCCTCCATCCCTCACCCCCAGCCCTGGCTGGGGATTCCTCAGTCTGCAAAACCTTCTGTATGCAAAGCAGTGGAGATGAGGGACTGCGAGGTACTAACACAGACACGACACTAAAATGGAATTATCAGCTTCAATGGATTCGAGTAGGACTCAGAAACACTCCCGCTTCATAAGGCACCAAGAAAATAGGAGCTGATTTGTTCTCCACTGAAGAGGGAGAAAGAAACACTGGCTTTCATTTCCTCAGCGCCCTTCCCACAGCTCCTGGTTAGGAGTCCGGGTCCAATGCATCCATCGAGCTCTCTCTCTTCCAAGGGAAATAAAAAGCTCTTCATAGTGTAGGAGAATGAAGGGAAGAGAATTCGAACAATGAAGCAGATTCTGGTAAACCTCATATTCCTGTGTAAAGCAGGAGTCCTCATTTCTAAGCATCTAGCCTGGCGGCTTCTGTGAACCTGTGAGCTCCTCTCTGCGCAGGGCATCCTGCTGGCCGGCCGTGTCCCGGCGTCCCCATGCTGTGCAGGTGTAGTGACTGCAGATAGACAGCCGACCACAATGCTGACCACGATGCAGCGGCCCCTGTGCCCGGGCCACGGGCCCTCCAGTTCAGGCAGTGGTGACTCGGCCTGGGCTTTATTAGAAAAGGCACCCTGAATACACAGGGCTCCGTAGGGAAGGTGTCTGTACTGCGGAGGGTTCGGGAACACAAACACGATTTCCCAGGCAGAATGTCAGGAACGGCAGGTAGCTGGCAGGCAGGCTGCGATGGGCCCAGGGAAATGGGCAGAGGGCTCTGATTCGGATCACGTCCAGTGAAACCGGCCCTTACAGTCTGCCATCTGCACTGCCAGCCCCTACGCTGGCCCAAGAACCCCTGCTTTCAGGGAAAAGAGGGTCCGTGGAGGGCTGCACCACTGAGGTGTGCTCAGGAAGGGCTTAGGGATGGACCAGGCGTCCCGGGCCTGGCACAGAGAGTCTGCCGCTTCTCGCCCTTCAACAGCCAGACCCTGGGAATGGGTCAGGTTTCAACCCTGCATCCAACCCTCCAGGACAGAGGGCACCCCAAGTCTATCCTCTGGAGCTCCTATCAGGGCAGGTGCTGAGACCACGGAGGGGCCTCTGATGGCCCCTTCCTCTGTTTTCAGACACCAAAGCCTCTTAGGGTCCCCATTGCCCCCAACAGAGCTAACCCCTGCTACCTGGGTCAAAGAGCTAACTCAATGTCACAGGGAAGGTGTCTGTGCTCCTCCCTACCCCACCTGTCATCAAAGCTGATTGCTAGGGCCTCCCCACCTTCCCCCGTCCCCGAGCCGCCTCTGTCCCTCAGCACTGAACTCCTGCAGGCACTCATCCTTCCGGCCTGGTCTCCCCACCCCACGTGGCTGGCAGGTGGCAAGGCCTACATTTAGGCCAGGGACTCAGGTGCCAGAGTCTGTACTCTGAGCTGCAAACCTCTACATACTGTCAGAACTCTGGAGAGGCAATATTTGAAGATAGATGGCTGACAATTTTCCAGAACTGGTGGGAGACATGCATCTACAGACACAGAAAGCACAACGATGCATGAAAAAGCAGAATGGAATCAAGACAACTTCAAAGCGAAACAGCAGACCGCTGAGACAGAGTTCAGAAGACCCCGCAATATGGGCAACGTTATCCAACAAAGGAAATGCAGTCACAGAAGCCAGGACCAGTGAGCCTCTGAGAACTAAGAGAAAGCCACTGTCAAGCTAGAATCGCATTCACAGGGAAGCTATTCTGCAAGAAAGCTCAGGATATAAACATATACCAGGCTGAAAACTAAGAAAGTTTAAAAAACTCACCAGGAAGCAGTCAGGGGAGGATCAACAACATGGAGGTGGGCAGAGAAAGGGGGAGGGAAGAAAAGGTGAGCAAAGAACTGGGGGCTACGGAGAGAAATCTAAACAGACTTCATCTGAACAACACAGGAAGAAGAAGAAAGAAGAAGGAAGAGGAGGAGGAGGAGGAGGGGAGGACGAGGAGGGAGGGAGAAGAACAAAGAAGGAAGAAGGAAGAAGTTTACCTAACTTGTGGGGTTGAAGTGAAGGAAAATTTAAATAGTAGAGAACGGCAAGAGGTGAATGGGGAAGGGGTGCTCAGTGTTAAAGTGTCTGTAACCCACGTGTTGTAGAGGTCAGGGACATAAAATAGGGACTTTAGACATTTTAAGCTCATGCAGTAACGTTTCACCTTAACTGCCAGGAATAAAGCACATCACCTCCAAAGCAGCGGTCAGGTTGGGGCAGGATCCATCAGAAAGAATTTTAAGGAGAAGAAAGAAATAATTTGTTGGATAACGAATATGGCTGTTAGTTACACCCAGTGGCTTACGCCTGCAATCCCACACTTTGGGAGGCTGAGGCAGGTGGATCACTTGAGCCCAGGAGTTCAAGACCAGCCTGTGAGGCATAGCAAAACCCCATCTCTACAAAAGCTACAAAAAATAGCCAAGTGTGGTGGTGCATGCCTGTGGTTCCAGCTACTCAGGAGGCTGAGGCGGGAAGATGGCCTGAGCGTGGGAGGCAGAGGCTGCAGTGAGCTGAGATTGCACCACTGCACTCCAGCCTGGGCAAAAGAGCAAAAACCTGCCTCAAAAAAAAAGAAAGTAATTAAATAAATGTTTTAAAATACGGCTGTTATATACATGCACACATACGTGCACACACACACACACACACACACATGGGTATGGCTGGTTGCCTCCCAAAAGAGGTGCACCATTGCATCTATAAAGTCTTACCAAAAATAACCAAGCTTGAATCTGATCAAACCTCTAGATCTAACTGCCAATTTATAGGAAATCCAGGCAACAAAGGAACATTTTAAATGACATGACAGGGCTAAAATCAAGTAAAATTTAGAACCTAGGAAGGAAAACTCTGTGGGACAAACAATACAGTGTCTTCAACAGATAAATCTCAAGGACTGAAAAAAAAAAAAAAGGTAGGAAGAAGAAACCTAGAGATTAACTGAGGACTTCATGACAGGTGCCAATCACAGTGTATGAACACTGCTTGGACCCAGAGACTCCTGGTACCAAAAGTCAAACCACAAACTAAAAAAGTGATTTTAAACACCATCAGGGATATATCAACATTGGGTAAAAATCTGCTAATAATAAAGAATGGTTCATCTTGTCTAAATATGTACATCATCAATGCAGTAAAAGAGTCCCTATCTTTTAGAGAGCTAGGCACTAGAATGTTATTGATGAAATGACATGGTGACTGGGGTCTGATTCTGAAAGACTGAGAGGCTGGGGATGGGAGGGAGGCCTAAACGCAAGTACTGGAGGGACTGCCCTGGCCTAAGCCACCTGACCACGCCCCAGGGCTCACTCCACCTGCTCTCCCCACCGCTGGGTATGCCTGTAATTCTCTACAATAGAAAGTTCAATTTCAAAAAAAAAAAAATTTCTAAATATCTATGGGCCAAAGAAGAAGCCATAACAGTTAAAAAGAATAAGAATGAAAAAAATACATACAAAATCTTGTAAGATTCTGTTTACTATAATTAGAGGAAACTTGGTAGCCTTAAATACTTATTATGACAATAATAATACGAACTGAAAGACGAGATATATCTTTAAGAAATTAGAAAAGCAACAGTAGAACAAATCCAAAGAAAACAGATGAAAGCAGATAATACATAAATGAAATGAAATGTAATCATTACATACACTCATATACACCAAAATAATTTTAAAAAGTGATTCTCTCAAAAGACCAATACAAGACAAACTTCTGTTATGAGTGATTTAGAAAATAAAAAGAATAGGCACAAATTAAAAAACATTAGGAGTTTAATCACCTAGCCTCAGATATGGCAGAGATTTAAAAAATAAAAAAATACAAAGGAACAACTTGAGGCCAGTAAGTTTTAAAACTTACATGAAGTAGACACATTTCTAGAAAAACATTCCAAAGTTGACAAAAAATAAATAGAAAACAGAATTAACCCTATAATCATGAACTAAATTGAATTAATACTTTAAAATCTTTTCACAAAAATCATTTTAAAGGCAGCGACAGCCACGTTTCAACTAATGGATCATGCAACTTTAAACAAACTCTTCAAGAGAATGCAAAGGGCAGGCAGGATCCTGAGCCAATCCTATGAGGGGAGAATAAATATCCTTTTAAAAGAACTGGGCAAAGTATAAAAAAGACAGAAAAATTACAGTCTTGGTCATAAATACAGTCACAAAAATCTCAAATAAACTATGAGCAAGCTTAATCTAATAGTCTATAGAAAAGACAGCAGACCAATACACCTGGTGTTTTAACACAAGAAAACACAAGAAAAGGCCGGGCGCGGTGGCTCACGCCTGTAATCCCAGCACTTTGGGAGGCTGAGACAGGCGGATCACGAGGTCAGGAGATGGAGACCATCCTGGCTAACACGGTGAAACCCCGTCCCTACTAAAAATACAAAAAAAAAAAATAGCCGGGTGCGGTCGTGGGTGCCTGTAGTCCCAGCTACTCCGGAGGCCGAGGCAGGAGAATGGCGTGAACCCGGGAGGCGGAGCCTGCAGTGAGCCGAGATCGCGCCACTGCACTCCAGCCTGGGGGACAGAGCGAGACTCCGTCCCAAAAAAAAAAAAAAAAAAAAAAAAAGAAAACACAAGAAAAGCAACCTATGTACAAACCACCTATAAATCCAACTCACCGTTAATTATGATCATCTTCAGAATGAAAGTAAGTATATGTTAAAATCCAGCTATTCATTATAAAAGCTGTTAGCAAACTAGAAATAAAAGAGCGCTTCTTTAACCAAAAAAGAGTTATCTATTAAAAGGTCCCAGCAAATATTGCTTTTAATGGTGAATCCTGAAAAAGCTGATGTAATGATACAGGCACAAAGGGAGGGAACACAACTCCTGATCCAGACTCCAAGGCTACAGATACTGAGCTCCTCCCACCCCCACCACCTGCAAAGAGAAGAATGACAGGGAAGTCAATAGAGCTAATAAGGAAATGTAATACGGTGTTAGATAAGATCAACATAGAAATCCAATTCCACTTCAACATACTGCAACAAGCAGAAAACCTAACATAAGAAACAAAAAAAATACAAGGCACCTAGAAGTATTTCTAACAAAAAATGAGAACGACCTTTATGGATAAAAATTATAAAATATATTGAAAGACTTTTTTTCTTTGTTTGAGACAGGTTCTCACTCTGTCACCCAGGCTGGAGTGCAGTGGCACGATCATGGCTCATCGCAGTCTCCACCTCCTGGGCGATCCTCCCACCTTAGCCCCTCAAGTAGCTGAGACTACAGAGGCGCGCCATCACGCATGGCTAGTTTACGTATTATTATTTTTTAAAGAGGGGGTTTCGCCATGTTGCTCAGGCTGGTCTTGAACTCCTGAGCTCAAGCAATTCATTTGCCCCAGCCTCCCAAAGTGCTAGGATTACAGGTGTGATCAGGCCACTGTGCCTGGCCCTGAAAGACATTTTTAAATGGTCTAAATAAATGGCAAGATAGCTCGTATTCAAGGATAGGAAGACTTACTATTCTAAAGATAGTGATTCTCTCCAAACGGAACTACAGGTCCAGTGCAAGGTAGTTCATGATCTTAAAAGCTGAATATAAAACTACATGGAAGAAGAACTGAGAAGCAGTTGAGGTGGTCCCAAAGAGGGTAGATGCAGGTCCTTTGCAGATTACTGTGGAAAAAACAGGGTGTTCCACAAATGCAGCTGGGACAAACACTTATCCTACTATTCTACGGGGAACAAAAAGATGGGATTCGTCCCTATTCACACCACAGGCCAAAATGGATTCCATGTGGATTAAGACTCAAATGTGAAAGACAAAATGTTGAAATTTTTAGCAGACACTATTGGAAAATATCCTTGGAATAGAAAACTCAAGATGTGAAAAGTGCTTCTTACGACAAAATATGACGTTGTTACATCTGACTACATTTAAATTAAAATTTTCTGCTCACTAGACAGCCTTAAAAAGTGAAAGGCTGAATCTCAGAGGAGCTACTTTAACACAGCAACTGACAAAGGACCTGTATCCGTAACATGTAAGTAACTCCTATAAAGCCGCCAGAAGGAGAGAATTCCAAAGAACAGCAGAAGGTATGAATGGGTTGGTCACAGAAGACCCTGACAGCAGGGGAAACAAAGGATCAAACGCTGGACCATGTTAGTGAGGGCGGAAAGGCAAATCAGACCCCTGGAGACCCCACTTTACGCCCACCGACCCAACTACGGGTGGAGAGGCAGGGAGCGGGGGCGTGGGAGCAGCAGCAGCATGAATGAGACGGGGCCTTCTAGAACAGTGGGCTTTCTCATAGACAGCCGAATCTCGCTTTCGTGACCCAGCAACAAGCCCTCTCCTTAGGACAGCCACCCTTGAAAAATTCCTGCACGTCTACACAAGGAGAATGGTACAAGGATATTCATTATAGCAGCATTAACTACAAACCGCCCAAATATCAACAGAGCAACAGATAAACAGTGGAATATTGAGAGTGTAGAATTGTATCTGGCATGAAAGTGAACGAATCCCAGCCATGTGGAATGACGTAAATGAATCTTAGAAACAATGCTGAGTTAAAAAAACACAAAAAACAAAAACAAAAATAAACAAGCTGCAGAAAACGACGTCAGTATGATTTCGATTATTAAAAGCTCGGAAAAGCAAATCCAAACCGTATGCTGACTGAGGAAGCATACTTACACGGCAAAACTAGTTTTTTAAAGAAAGTAACTCAGTGCTAAACCCTATTCTCAGCGTTGTGTTTTGGGGAGTGGTGAATGGCTTTACTACAAACGTGTACATTTATTACCCGGCCTGTGAGCACAACGGCTTGGGGCTCCCTTGGAGGAGACCGGCCCTGCTTAAACCAGCACAGGGAAATGTCTTGCCCCACTTCCACCAAAAGTGACTCGCTTGTGACACAAGGTCCCCTTTATATTATCATAATAAAGGAGGAAACGCCAGTTTAGAGGACAGAGTGACGGCACAAAATCCTACCATCCTGAATTCCTGGTGACAGAGGACACTCAACAGGTGGGATAAGAACATTTATACAATGACCTGCTTGGGATCTGAGCCTGGAACGCGGCTGAGACCAGAACCCTCTCGAGTGAAAACCAACCAGCTCCTGCGGCACCTTCCACGGGACAAGGACGAAAAAGCACTATTCCTTCGCCGGCCAACTCTTAAAGGGGATTTATGGCATGAACCTGATCACAGAAAACACACTCCACAAACACTGAGGGTCCTTTACACATGCCATCCTAAAAGAAGGTGGATGCTGGCCTGTCCTGCTTTACTGGACAGTATTTGAAAGGCTGGATGAAGCAATCTTAAACGTTACAATACCTGCAGATCAGAAGCCTGACTGCAGGGTAAAATCACCTAGCTTTCATGCATCGAAAATCACTTTCTCACAAAAAGATTCACTTACATTCCATTTTAAATGGATCTATTCAAAAATTTAAACAAAAATGTCTGACAGAAGAAAATATATTATTTCTTTCATCCTATTTTTAATATTATAAACAGAATTGTTGCCCTCACAATACAAAATCACTAAGCAGTATAAAAGCCAGCTTCCAGAATGCTGGAAAGAATTGGGCTCTGCCCTTCCTGAGAGCCCTGCCCCGTGCTTCTCCTGGGGGCCGAAAGTCCTGGTTGCTAACGGTGATGGTCCCCAGGGTGGTCCGGGCCCCTGCACACATCTTGACTGGGTTTAGTCAAATGAGGATGAAGAAATCCCCAGCACTGAGTTTTATCTTGAGATAAAAGAAACATCAAAGGAATCTGCATTTGAAATTGCCATTCCGTTAGTTTCTCACCTCACTTGGCTTAACTTGAATGATATGGTTGCCAGCCAACACCAGACTCCAATTCTTGGGACTTTGTCTGAAGCAAGGGCTGTGGTTTCTAAACCCAATGATTCAAAAGCTGAAGCTGCAGACACACCTTTAAATCCCAGGCAGTGACTTTTCCACTTTGCTTTCACTGAGCTGTCAGATGTTCTTAAGCCATATAACATATTCCCCAGAATCCAGCATCTTAAACTGTCTTCAAGGACTGCTATAACTGATCATGCCTTTGCTTTCAAAAATAAGCCCCGAAAAAAAGGACAAAAACAAACAATCCAGAGGTAGTGGCACCACGCGCCACCGAGGAGCTTCCTCGAGAGCAGTCCCGTGCCCTGCAGACGCTGAATTTAGACTTCAGCGTGAAGGTACAAAGGGTTCCATTCTCCTTAGCTGACTATTTCATCAAAAGCACAGGGTCACTTTTTAGAAAACATCCCTTAAGTGAAAAATGCTCTTGAAGACTTTGCTCTAATGTGACCGATGGGAAGGTTGGGAAAACGATGTTCTGTCTCACTAAAATTTTAATCTGTAAGCCCAATGATAAGCATTTTTACAAAGAAACAGATAAAAGTGATGTGAACTGGGATGCTTTAGATTTCTAGAGTATTCTTAGGAGCCAAAATCATCTCTAACCTTAATTGTGAGACTTGGTTGAAAGGGTCTTTCTACCCACGGCCTCCTGGCTGAGCTGGGCGGGCAGGGGGCATTTCCCTCTTGACATTTAAAGAATTGCTTCCTGTAAAGAACACAGGCTAGGGCACTGACCCGACTCCCTCAACCCCATTCTAAAAGCAGTTTAAAAAAAAGAAGAAAAAAGGAAAAAAGATATAAATCTCTCCAAAAACACAGATCCCACAAGCAGACAGCAGCCATAGAATTCTGGAAGCCAGTCGGGGGCTGGCTGACCAGAGAGCTGAAGCCAGGCTGGTCTGAAGGCCAGAATGGCCCAGGGAAGGCTGAGCTATAAAGAGCATGTGACCCCTCATCCCTTCTGCCCCCCATACAGGGACCAACCCCATTCCCCCAGAATTCCCCAGGCTTGGTGCTATCAGGCTGAGGGCAGGAGCGCCAGCATGGGCAGTAAACAGGGGCAGTGAGAGCTGACATGCCAAGGGGTGAGGCTGTGTGAGCCAGGCCTGGACTCCAGGGAGGAGCTGGGAGGGTCCTCTCTGGGCTAAGAGAACAGGACAACAGGCAGTGGCATCCAGGACCACCAGGAAGTGATCAGGTCCCTGTCTGCCACCTGGCCAGGAAGATAAGCAGTCAACATGCCCCGCCCAGCTTGTTAGAGACTCACTCTTAGACGCTGGCCAGCCAGGATCACCAAACATTTGGGAAAGACTCTAATTTGAAAAACAGAAAAGCAGACCAAAACAAAGGCCCCCTCTAGCCTCTGTACCCACGTGGGTTCCAGTCTGTTGACTTGTTCACTTCTTTACTGTCTGCCCCTCCCTGCAATCGCCCAGGAAAACGCAAAGCTGGAGGAGGTGTGGCATCTGGGTTGCTCTCTCTGGTCCCGCCAGTACCCAGAGCTGTCCCCAGAATATGAGACGGCCACGATGCTGGAAGGAAGGACAAGAATGAGGAGGAGGAGGGCTTAGCACAGCTCATCAGTCCCATAACAGCAAAGTAGGGGCCAGGGAGGGGCGGGCGGGGCACAGCCACAAGGACAGATGCTGGGTAGCCAGGAGGAATGCTGAAGGGTGAGCCGTGGCGGATGCTGAAAAAGAACGCACTCAGCAACGGCCATGAGGTTTCTTTAAACCCAACAGCACAACTCAGCGGTGCCCGCGCCCCTCATTCCCTGCTCGCTGAAGACTGCTACTCAAGTTCAACCACTCACTGGAGGATTGAGCTCTCCACAAGAAACTTCTGGACCCTACACAAACAAGCCTGCTGCTGTTGCTACTGCATCTGGAATTCACTCGGGTTCTGGAGGCCCATCTATTGTCTATCCCCAAAAGCCTGCATCTGCATAGTCACACCAGCTTGTGTTTTTCCAGCTCGGAGAGTGGCCGGAGCCACTACCCAACTCCAGCAACAAAACTCCTGATGTGCTTACGCTGGAAAACCCAGCATCAGGGTTCCCAGGAGAAAAACCAAGGGGAGACGCACAGGACAGCCCACATTCAGCACACACTGAAATAAAAGCATGGAACACACACTGCCTGACAGGGACAGAGTGAGCCTTCATCTCCAGCTCCCTGGAGCGCTTGCAGTGCACAGGGCAGGGCCTGCCCTCCATGAGTACACAGCTGGATGAGGGGGACCCGCAAGAAAGCAGAAAGCTATGCAAAGCATGTGCCTAACCGCCTGCTAGTCCCCATTTCACAGATGTGGAAAACTGAGGCAGGGAGGTAGAGAAATCTGCCTAGGTCACATGGTTGGGAGTGAAAAGCTGAGTCTGGCTGACATAAAGTTGACAGGCTCACTCTGGGTGTTAGCTTCTTGTGCTTGATGTGTGTGACACGTTACTATAAACTCAATGGCTTGAAACAACGTATGTTTATTATCTTACAGTTCCGGAGGCCAGAGTCTGACATGGGGTTTACGGAGCGAAAGTCAGAAAGCCAGCAGGGCTGTGCTTCTTCTGCAGGCTCCAGGGGAGAATCTGCTCCTGGCCTTCTCTAGCTTCCGGAGGCTGCCATGTCCCCTGGCTCCTGGTCCCTTCTCTCCTCAACACCAGCACCTGCATGGCCCTGTCGACACTCTGTCTGCATACCTCCTCTGACTCCGATCCTCTTGATTTCTTCCTTAAAGAACCCTCGTGAAGACAAAGGGCCCACCCTGATGATCCAGGACAACCTCCTCATCTCCAGTGAGTAACAACCCCATCTGCAGAGCTCCTTTGGCCGGGTAAGGTTACACAGTCACAGGGGCTGAGGATTAGCTGAGGGACATTTCGGGGGTTCCATTATTCTGTCAACCGCACTCTGGCTCCTTGGCCGAGATCAGACTAGAGGGGCAAGAACAGAATTGGGGCCAGGTGAGGAGGCACCTGCAACAGCCACATGGGTGACACCTGTGGCTCGCCACGCGTGGCAATGCTGGAGCTGTGAGCAGCCGCCAGGCTCAGCACACGTGTTGATAGCTTTAAAGAGGTATATTTTACACTCTGCCCTTCTCAAATGTACAATCCAACAATCTTTTAGTAGATTTACCAAGATTTTAGAACATTTTCACATTTGACTGGGACCCTTCCCTCTGCACACACTTTAATGGGCAGCTGCCAGTGCTGGCTGACAGGCCATGCATGGGACTGGAGAGAAATAGGAGTCAAGGGGACTCTTGGGATCCTGAGCCCGGAGGTTGCCCTGAGTAGGAGAGGCCGCGGGAGAAGCAAGTTTGCAGGGGAAGATCAGGAGCCTGCTTTCAAACTTGCTGAGTCTGAGAACGCCCAGCTGGGGATCGACGGCAAGCAGGCTCTAGGATCTGGAAGGCAGGTGAGATCCAGGCGGGAGCAGACATTCGAGCGGCAGAATCAAGATGGTGTTGTGATCTATGATTTGACTGGATGAGGCCAGGATATCACCAAGGGAATGACTCAGTGGAAACAAGGAGTGGGCCGGAGACAAGCCCTGGGGCGCTTGGATGTGATGATGCTGGAGAGATAAGAAAAACCCACCAAGGCACCTGAGGACTGGTGGCCGGGGCGGGGGAAGGTACCAGGAGCATGTGGTGTGGTAAGGAGGTGCTTCCACCAAGTCAACACTGGTGAGAGGCCATGGGCTGAGGCCGGGCATGGAAGCTGGCAACAGGGAGTCACTGGTGACACGAAACCAGGGGCTGGCTGCTGGGAGCCCAGAGAAGCAGGGTCGACGCCCCAGAAACCTGGGCTCCCTGCAGGCCAAAGTGCCCTCCCTCATCTCACCTGAAATCAACAGGGAGGGCACCAAAGACCGTCGCCAACCTCCTCACATCTGGAGTGGGCAAGGGCTCAGGACGGGGCTGGCTCAAGGCGCAGGGAGATCGAGTTCTGCCCACCTGGACTCCATCTCTCTTCTCTGGTCAACAACATGAATGGCGGCAACACTAGGAGACATCCCCGCAGGAAATGCCACACCTCTCTCTAATCTCCAGACAGCAGACACCCCTTCCCCACTAACCAAAACAGAAACAAGACACAAAAACTTCAAAACAAGAAAGTGTGGACTGGCAAAGCTGTCTGCACCAGCGCCTCTGCACCGGGCTCCCTGGAGGACGCGGTCATCAGTTCCGCGCAGGCACTGGGGGTCTGCGAATCTTGGTTCATAAAAAATCACCCTGAATAAATAATGAACGGTGCAACCTCTCTGGAAGGCAATTTGATAATGTGTGTTAAAGTCCCCAAGTAAATATTTATGCCATTGGCTGGACTCATAAAAGTTATGATATATTCATAGAATGCACCCAAATTTATTTTAAAATAATAGGTACTTTTAACACATTAAACCCTAATTTGTTTAAAAAATCAAACATATATACTCTTCAGCATATATATGTACATGTGCTTACATTGTATATAGCTTTTACATTTTAATTAGGGCCATATTATGCATGCTTTTCCCCTAGTAATCACTGTGAGCACTTTCCACATCAATGAATATAAAAACGCACGTGTTTATATATATACACACACACACATAGATATTCACACATACTCACATATGTACATGTATATGTAGTATTTATGCGGAAGATTCCATTCAAGAACAAAAATGAAATGTTCTCACACATCTTCCCAGAGAAAAAAAAAAATAAAAGAAAAAGTCTCCAAAAAACCTTGGCACTAAGAGCTGATGTTCTCATGTTCTGACCTTAAAGACAACTGGCGATGAGGAGGAAGACGATGAGGAGGGCGCCCTACCAGCCCTGATCTTGCCCTCTCAGGACACCTGGGGACACAGGTGCTCACTGTCCACACCTGCTGCGCTGCAGACCACTAACAACCAAAACCTTCTGAAGAAGAGAAGGCTTTGTTTAACTGAGTTTTTAATTTTATGTGATGCTGAATATTTATGGTATGAACATCTGAGCCTTTGCTCTTGAACTGAATGTCCTTCCAGGAACACAGCCTCCTTCTCTGGGTGAAGCTCCACCTGCCAGACCCTCCGCCTTCACTCTGCCCTGCTGCACTCCTTCCTCCTGTGGGCTACTTGGGCCCCTGGGAACAGGACTGACCGGGAAGGGTGTGTGTCCTGCCCCTTCCCTGTGCCGGGATGGGAGTCTGGTGAGAAGGGGGTGCACAGGGGTTCCACCCGCCATACTCGGCATCTTTCTAGGCAAGTCAGAATGTGCACAGGAAGGAAGCTCTGACTAAGCTACCTCGAACTATTCTCAACAATTTCTAAATGACACAGTCCCTGGTTTGTCAGAAGAGAAGTAAGTAGCAAAAGACAGGTGACTGCATTCACGCCACTTTCCCTTCCCCCAGTGTAACCCCAAACCCCGAGCCCCCTTACAGCTCTCCTATAGAAAGGGAGCCTCCTTGGCAGACATTCTCACACCCTGGGCCATGGCAGGCTGCGGGCACTGGGCCTAAGGGTGGGCTCAGGAGGACACACCTCCGCAGGGCTCCAAAGGGGACCCGCTGGTGGCAGAGCCTGAACACAGCACAGGCGGTAGCAGGGTCTCCAGGAGCCGGCAGCATCGCTCCCGGAAGCTCTCCAAAAGCAAGAGGCCCGTCGACTCCCCTTCATGGTGGATAATCAAGCGACCAGATCTTCAAACCCAACTTTCCAAAACCTAGTGGTTAACCTAAAATTCCTCGCATTTTAAATGGAAATGGTAATGAAACTGAAATTTGGGGGAAGAAACTTAATGTATCTGTTTTCTCATTTTTCTCAGTGATAGAATCAGTAACCATTTTAAGGCTAATAACTTGATAAATGTCAGTCTAAATATATTATTTATATGTTATAAAGAGAATCACCAAAACTCAAAATAACACTGCAAGTAACAAAATCAGAAGGTTGGAGAAAAGAGACGGCAGAAAGTGTCTGTGCCGACGGGCTACTCTCTCACATCGTCTGAAGGTGCTGGAACAGGAAAGCACAGTTTAGGGAAAGCGTATGAGCTCATAAGAGTTCACACAATAAGAACTAAAAAGAGAGCACGGCCTTCCAAATCACCAGAAGGAAAAGAAACCACACACACCAGACCAAATAAAAGGTAAGAAAGCCCATATCCAAGAAGTCAAATAGGAAACAAAACAAGAAGCATTCACAACAGAAAACAGGGTCGGGCACAACAGCTCACGCCTGTAATCACGGTGCTTTGGGAGGCTAAGGCGGGAGGGGGATCGTTTGAGGCCAGAAGTTTGAGACCAACCTGGCCAACATCATAAGACCCCATCTTTCCAAAAAATTAAAAAGTCAGCCAGCAGTGGTGACACGTGCCTGTGGTTCCAGCTACTCGGAAGGCTGAGGCAGGAGCACTGCTTGAGCCTGGGAGGTAGAGGCTGCAGTGAGCCATGATCATGCCACTGTACTCCAGCCTGGGCGACAGAGTGAGGCCCCAGCTCAAAAAACAAAAACAGATAAACAGAATATAAAATTGGATGAAAATTTTAGGAGAAATATGTCCATTTTATCAACATTCATAAATAACACAGAGTCACATGAAAATTACCAGATTGGATAAAAAACAGGACTGAACAATCATTATATTAAAAACAAATCCATACTGGTACCAAAACAGAGATATAGATCAATGGAACAGAACAGAGCCCTCAGAAATAACACCGCATATCTACAACTATCTGATCTTTGACAAACCTGAGAAAAACAAGCAATGGGGAAAGGATTCCCTATTTAATAAATGGTGCTGGGAAAACTGGCTAGCCATATGTAGAAAGCTGAAACTGGATCCCTTCCTTACATCTTATATAAAAATTAATTCAAGATGGATTAAAGACTTAAACATTAGACCTAAAACCATAAAAACCCTAGAAGAAAACCTAGGCAATACCATTCAGGACATAGGCATGGGCAAGGACTTCATGTCTAAAACACCAAAAGCAATGGCAACAAAAGCCAAAATTGACATATGGGATCTAATTAAACTAAAGAGCTTCTGCACAGCAAAAGAAACTACCATCAGAGTGAACAGGCAACCTACAAAATGGGAGAAAATTTTCGCAACCTACTCATCTGACAAAGGGCTAATATCCAGAATCTACAATGAACTCAAACAAATTTACAAGAAAAAAACAAACAACCCCATCAAAAAGTGGGCGAAGGACATGAACAGACACTTCTCAAAAGAAGACATTTATGCAGCCAAAAAACACATGAAAAAATGCTCACCATCACCGGCCATCAGAGAAATGCAAATCAAAACCACAATGAGATACCATCTCACCCCAGTTAGAATGGCAATCATTAAAAAGTCAGGAAACAACAGGTGCTGGAGAGGATGTGGAGAAATAGGAACACTTTTACACTGTTGCTGGGACTGTAAACTAGTTCAACCATTGTGGAAATCAGTGTGGCGATTCCTCAGGGATCTAGAACTAGAAATACCATTTGACCCAGCCATCCCATTACTGGGTATATACCCAAAGGACTATAAATCATGCTGCTATAAAGACACATGCACACGTATGTTTATTGCGGCACTATTCACAATAGCAAAGACTTGGAACCAACCCAAAAGTCCAACAATGATAGACTGGATTAAGAAAATGTGGCACATATACACCATGGAATACTATGCAGCCATAAAAAATGATGACTTCATGTCCTTTGTAGGGACATGGATGAAATTGGAAATCATCATTCTCAGTAAACTATCACAAGGACAAAAAACCAAACACAGCATGTTCTCACTCATAGGTAGGAATTGAACATTGAGAACACGTGGACACAGGAAGGGGAACATCACACACCGGGGACTGTTGTGGGGTGGGGGGAGGAGGGAGGGATAGCATTAAGAGATATACCTAATGTAAATGACGAGTTAATGGGTGCAGCACACCAGCATGGCACATGTATACATATGTAACTAACCTGCACATTGTGCACATGTACCCTAAAACTTAAAGTATAATAATAATAAAATAAAATAAAATAAAATAAATAAAATAAAAACAAATCCAGTGTAAGGCTCAGATTAGACGGGTAAAAAGCCCCAAAAGGCAAATAGAAACAAATTGAAATGTGCAATCGAGATATCGGTATCACAAAGATTGAATCCAACACTAAATATCAAACATATTTGACCATTTCCTAAGTATAAAGCATGCAATCTACAAAGATGACGGAACTGTCTGAGGCACACACTGTGGGTACCTTCGAGTAAAAACACAGAACACACAGAATGAAGACACACATGGTCAGCACTAGATATGAACTTGCTCTTGTACACTCACGGCAGAGCAAACACACAGGAGGTGTGCATACAGAGGATGGGAATAGTACAATTCTTACTTCAGCCAACAGATAGGCCTCGAACCTCTTATCATTAAGCCATGTATGCCTTTTGCTGCAAGCCTCCATGAAACATTTACAAAAACCAATGCCACATAAAGAACACAGTTTCCAAATACACACAGTGTAGACTAAACACTGGAACACACTGCAACAGAACCAGAAATAAAACCAGGAGAAACAAAAATCCAACCATGGGAAAAATGAGTCTCTTTCTCTTAAACGCTTCAAATTCTAGTGAAAGTGGTAAAAATTTATAAAGTAATGAACACATCACATATCGAAAATTGTAGGAATTGCCTAAAATTGAGCTCAGAGAACAATGAATAGCTGCCTACATGTAAGTAACTACAAAAGGAACCCAAACAAATAAAAACATTAGACTCAAAAAGTTAGAAAAATAACTAGAAAATTAAAGCATACACTGTGCACTGAAAAAGAGGAAGAAGATAATAAAGATGAAAGAAATCTGACAGATTGCGGATCTAGGCAGAAGCGATAAAGCCTATGGTGGGGACAGTTTGTGCTTGGTAGGGGAAGACAGTGACCTCGGAGAAGATGGTGCCAGAAGACTCTTAGGAACTGGTCAGCGGCCTTTCATCATGAAAATCTTCAACGACACACAGAGTTAGCGAGAGGAATATAATAAACACCCACGTATCCGGCTACCACAATGATCAACCTTAGTCATTCAGCTTCATCTACGAACATCCATCTTTTTTTCTTTATTTCTAATCCCATGGAATGACACATCTCAACTTTAAATGGATAACAGATGGGAAACGAGCCATATATTTTATTAAAGGTTTCTCACACTAATATTGTGAATTTAAAAGATAATTATAGATTCACAGGAAGTTGCCAAGAAAGTCCAGAGAGGTTGCAGGTACCCTTCCGCCAGGTTTCCCCCACTGGTTCCACCTTCTGTAGCCAAAAAAAGCCAGGGACCGACCTTGGTACCGTGTTGTCATCATGACCAAGGCGAGGTACTCCCTCACCACGAAGACCTCCCTCCCACCAGCCCTTGGACTCAGCTCATTCTGCGGGCGGTGGCGTGTGACCCGCTGAGTGAGGCACAGAGGCCTCACCGCCCTGTCTCTCTTTACCTTCCCCGTTTACAGGCGCCTTAAATGATTCCTCTACATGAAGGAGAACCCTGTCAGATGGTATTAGTGTTCTTGCGAATACCATTTAGAAGAATAAAAGAGAAGCGAAGGGGATGGAGCGGACATCGGCCCGTTCTCTGACATAAACCGCTGAGGAAAGCCAAGGTCTGTGCACAGGAGCGGGGGACACCATGGTGCCACCTGACACCACATCAGGGGAGGAGATGGGAGCATTCTGGGAAACCCTCTGGAAAAAAAAATCACAGCTCCAACCAACAAAGCTAAGAGCATCTGGTTACCCCACAGGGACTACTGAATTGCAAAGCAAAACAAAAAAGACAGGAGTGTGGCAGGAGCTTCGGAGACCCTGTGCCCCTCCCCAGGGGTTAAGAGTGGCCAGCTGGGAAGGACGGCCCATGCCCATCTCTGTGTCCTCAGCACTCACCGCAAGGCCTGGACTCAACTGTGTCACCTCGAGTTGCGCCTCAAAGTGCGCTGAGAGTGGGACACACACACACACACACACACACACACACACACACACACACAGCCTTCAACTGAAGAACAGCTACTTCCACATCTGTCCACATTCTTAAGGGTCCCCTAAATGTATGACAAACTCAAAAATCTCATTTTTCAGCCAGTCATCGTGGACGAGAGCCATTTTTATAATGCACACACAACTTGAAGTGATTCTTTTCTGGTGAATATTTCTTTCAAAAGGTCCTATTAAATGACAAGCCGAAACTATTGAAGCTATCACGAACTTTGAGGAAATAAAACTTTCCTTAACAGGTCACTTAAAAGGCTTTTTTTCTTCTGAGTAATAAGCTGTATCAACAACGCAGCAAGCTTTACTCAAAAACGTATTCCAAATTTGATTCGAACAGAAAATAAAGTCCTTCCTTGCCAGCATTAAATCCAAATGCGGCTGTAAACTTGCTGCCATAAGGGGCTCCAAAGACCCTTCCCACCCAAGGGATGACACCCTGTGCCAGCGCAAGGCCAGAAACAGATCAGAAACGCCTCCCTTCGCTTCCCTGGCTTTTACGGCAGCCCGTGATGTTATTCTCGTGGAATTCCGTGTGCAGAGTCCCTGGGTGCTGGCCGTACCAGCCAGGGCTGTATCTGGAGGGAGCAAGACCATCTGTGTGCTTCTGTTCCACAATTTAATGAAAACGCAAGTGTTAGATTTTTTCCCTGCTCCCTATTTCAGAACTATCCTTAAAGCTCTTTAGAAAATCCTTTTAATGTTTCTAATTTGTTCTATATCCCCAGGAAGAAAAAAACATCTTTTGGAAATATTTGCAAGCTCAAATTGAGCAAGAGCTGAAAATAAAAACCTGGCATGCAGTTGGTAAGTTGGCTTTCAAGAAGTGCACAAATGTACTTCCTGGAAACTATAAATAGAACCAGGCCTTACCCCATACCAAAAAAAAAAAAAAAAAAAATGGTGAAATGTGCTTTAAGTTCTCATACAGAAGCGCAGCCATGAAAGACAAGCATGACCCCCAGAAATAACAGACAGAACCATCCGTCTGAGATGCTGCTACAATCACGTTATGGACAAAGCATTCCTGGAAAATCTTTCTAAGACTCTACAATTCCAATGCAAAAGCAATTGAATAGAAACAATAACAAAAAACTAATGTTTCAGGACTGAGCACGAATTTAAAGTATTTTTGCTTTGTGATCTCCTTTCGTCCTCACAGCCCCCTGAAGCAGGTCCCAGCGGGGACCTGGGTATCACAGACGGGAGATGCAGCCAGTAAGCATTGTCACCTGGATTCAAAACTGGCCACACCTCCTGGAACACCACCACCTCCCTGAAACCACTGCAGCCCATCTCTCCAGCCTGCTCACACCAGCACAAGTTACACGTTACTCCTGAAAGCTATCCAAATACCCTAAACCCAATGGATAAAAATATATTGTCTGAAAATTAAAAATAGTTTCAGTGGTCTAGGAAGCCTACAAATCCCACTGCAGTTGCTCTTGCCTTCTCAGTTACGTAAGATCAAGTTTACATAAGAACGCATTTCAGAATTTCCTTCTTAGCAACCTCCAAACGTTTGGTTATGTGTTTCACCTAACAGCTGGGCCGAAGTAGGAACCACTATTACTTAACAGTAACAGTTGAAATATTTAAAAATAGAAACCATTGGAGAAGAAGAGAGGGCACCAAGGACGAGGCCTGAAGGAGGTAGCCCCTCTCTCTGGGGCGAGCCGGCCTCTTCCAGGCAGCAACGTACATTCCGCCGGGGCTTTCTGGAGACCGGCGTGGGCTGCAGCATCTTTCAAGGGCGCTGCGGGTCACTGGGGGTGGAATAATCCAGCAGGCAGGTGGAAATGCAGAAGGCAGGGGGCTGGTTCAGACTTCTGTCCAGAAAAATCACCTGGGCAGCTTGATAAAAAGTGACTTACGCCTCCCAGCCTCAGTTCCTGAACCAGTAACTACTGTGTGATGTCCCCAGGGGCATTAAATGCCAATGAACACACGGTACGTAGCTGAGTGACAGATGGGTGGCCTTGGTAAGGGGACCTGTGGCCATCAGTGTCCTCATCATTGCTGTAATTAGGAGCAACCACGAGTCCCACTTTGAGCAGGACCTTGCTGCTGGCTGTGGAGGCTGTGCGCTCACACTCTCTGCCCAGCAAAGATCCCGGAGCCAGTAACTCTCTTGCCAGCAGGAACACTTTACAAAGTAGGATTTGGTAGAAGATGCATGCCAGCACTAAGCAAACATTGTTTAAAAAAAAAAAAAAGGGAAAAGAAACAAAGTCTACTTTGTGGACCTTGCACGGAGGAGATCCACTGCCCGGGAGAGTTCATGTCCATGTATCTTTCTGCTATGAATGCCCAGCGCAGGCCCCTCCCACGTTCAGCGCAGGCTCGCCAACGCCTACCACTCAGTGTTCCAAACTGGGTGCCTTTGAAAGCACTGCACAGATCCATACTAATCCTCATCCCAGCGCAGGGTCTGCTCCACCCACATTCCCCATGAATTCATGCAACTCCATCAGCAGTGCTTAAAGCCAAAAATCCTGAGGTCACCCTCGACTCTTCTGTTTCCTGCACAGCCCATCTGCAGGCTAAGGAAATCCCATCTACGTCAGATATCTCTAGAATTTGTACCATTTTCTACATTCCCACTCCACCTACCCGGACTGAGCCCCATCCACTGCCTGGGTTGCTCCCAGACCCTGGTGGGTCTCCCTGCTCCTCCGATGCCTGTCCCACGTGGCCACTGCATTCTCTGTGGCATACGTCACGTGGTGTCGCTTCTCTGCTCAGAACCTCCAGGAGCCTCCATGTCACTCAAAGCCATGCCTAATTGATTAACCCGGCCTTTTATGTCTCCCGCACCGCCCACTCCCTCTTCTCCTGACCAGGTCTTCGGCCTGCAAATGTCTGCTCACCTTCTAAGGAGGCCTGCCCTCACCAGCGGGTGTAAAATCGCAGCCCCTCCACTCCCGAGCCCTGCTCTGCCTTCCCTGCTCTACTGTTTACTCATTGCCTTTACTAGTTTCCTCTCTTCCTCCCAGGGTAACATGAGTACCATGAAATAGGGGTCTCTGTGTCAATCATAAATACATGTATTCCATATGCCAAGGGCAGGGGATGGCATTAGAAGGCCCAATCAATATGAATGAGTGAATGAATGAATGAGTTGAACGCAGAAATCCACCCTCCTGAATCCCCAGTCCTTGACTGCTCACTCTCCTCCACAGCGATTCTCGCCTCTCACATGTTCTAATATTGTAGGTAATTTACAATCAATAAGCTGGAATTAATGAGCATATTTAGAATCCAGCACCCAATTACTAGAGAATTCAAAATCTTCTCACACATATATTAAAGATTCATAAAAATTGACCACAAAGCAAGTCTCAGTAAAATTCAACAGCTGGGTAATTTCTAACCATAATGGAGTAAATTAGAAATGAATAACAAAAAAGATGACTTGGAAAATTCAGACTTTCGGGAAACAAAAAACACTTCTAAATATTTCATTTTTTCAAATAAAAAAGGAACCAAAAAGCAAATTTCAAAATAACTCTCTTGAGAAACACCAAGACTTTATGAAGTGTTAATGTAATATGCTTTACAAATTAAATAATACAAATTAGAACTTATCCAAAGCAGCCCCATTTGAACCCCAAGGGAAGCACAGCACAGAACCCTGAATGCCTCCATCCGAAAGGAAGAAGGGCTAAAAATTAACAAGTGAAATGTTCAACCTAAAAGAACAAGCATATCCGAATAAATGCAGAGAAAGGAGAACAGCTATTAAAACAGGAATTAATAAAACAGAGAACACACCCACAAGAGCAGATCCACGAAGGCAGAAGTCGGTCTGCGGGAGAGTAAAGCATAGCTGGACTCCCACCACCTGCAGGGTGCCCCCACCCCAGGGGGGGATGAGAAACACCTGGATGGAGGGGTGGAGCCTGGCTGGGCTCAAGAGCAGGAGAGGGAAGCCAGGAAGGCGGGGAAGGCAGGTCGGCAGGGGAGGGCAGGCCCGCCCAGGAAGGCCCACGCAGGGCTGGGTGCTGTAGAACTGAAAGAAGTGCCAGCCCCTTCCTCAGGCGCCTGACTAAACCGCCTTCAATTTCTTCCCCTCGCCCGTGGCCACGTACTGCTACCCAAGGGACACCTCCAGTCCTCCCTCACCTGGTCAGACACCTGGCTCTGATGGCCCCTCGGAGCCCCTCATTGGAAACACAGAGGGCCTGAGTTTGGTTCTGCATCACGTGTGACAGTGTGTGCATCTTGCTGTGAGGTCCAGAAATGGAAACCTTCCTTAAAAGATGGGCAGGTTCCTCTGGTAGGGGACATGGTGTTGGTACGGCGAAAACATGACATTAGGGTCAAATGTGGCTGCTGAGAAGGAACTCCCTTTCAGCTGCACCGCGACACCCTAACACAGACAAGGGTCGGCAAAGAGCCATCTCCCTCGTCCTGGCGGCACAGGCTTCCAGATGCCACTGAGGGGCTCCGCAGGCCCTCTGGATACATTTTACAGTCCACAGCCTTAAAGCACACAAAGCTGGTAATAAAAGAAAAAAGATAAAAAGCCCTTTAACCAGAAATGATGTCATGATGCAAAAATTCATTCCTGGATAATACTTTTGGCCACCAGTGACACTCCGAATACACAAACCAAACCAAATTCTCAGTGGAAAAAAAAAATCCTTTCTTCCAACCAATCATCACTTAGAACTGTGGAATCCTCCCTGAGAGATACTCAGTGAGATTTCTCTGTATTCTGTATCAACACGGTTGAGGGGCACTGCTGGGACTGCCACATAGCTTTCTCTCTCCCTCTAAAGTAGAGAAACAACCAGTCACCAGCTCCACCCCATCCAGATTTGCTGTGGATGTGTGGACGGTTTTAGAAGCACCCAGAGGATATTTCTCAGACAGCACCCCCAATTCTCCACGACGCCCCAACCAATAACCGTCTGCTTTCTTACCACCCATGTTCCTTGCTAAGGGCAGACAGTAAGCTCTTCAGAAATCTTTGGGTCGACAGCAACAACAACAATGTAACATGTAATGGGGGGGGTGATAAATGTAGATAACCCAAACAATCTAATGTCCACCCAGGATGGAGAAACTTTCTATCTTTCTGCCTCAGGCACTGCGGACAGGGAAAGAACCAGTTGGAAAGTGAGGCCGGCAGGCTCACGGGTGGGGCTGGCAGGCAGCAGTGTCCTGGGCCGCGTGGGGAGGCACGGTCCCACCTGCCAGCCACAGGGTGGCATTTCAGAGCCACAGGGCATTTCTGGTCAAAAATAACAGAGTGAACACAATCACGTTGTCAGGATCCCTCCAAGATTCTGCTGAAACAGTGTGTGGATTGTTTAGAAAGACACACCAACACAACACACACACAGGAGATGAGAGAGCAGCCACAAAATGCTGGAAGTCAGAAAGGATCTGGGTGAATAAGGTATCAGAGACAGCAAAGCTGACCCATCAGCCAGGGTGGGCCAAGGGAGGGGCAGACCAGTCTCGGTCACACAGCCCTCCGGGGCACAGGGGCTGGTGGGACCAGGACTGGAGGTGAAGGAGAATGAAATATCTGCTCAGGGAATGCAGGGCCCCAACCACCGCTTACCCCACGTGGCTGGCAGAGCCCAGGGACTACTACCCTCTGGAGAGGGAGATGGAACAGCACTGAAAACTGCGGACCAGTGGAAGCTGGCCAGCTACACGTGAGGTGTCCTGGTCTTCCTGCCCCAGCATGGGGGCAGGGCAGGCAGCATTGGGCCCTCCCAGTGAGGTCACAGGGGCTAAGCAGCCTGCTGGACACCATGCCAAGTGGGACCGGGCAGCCCCCAGCGGCCAGCACCCTGCATGCCCCTGCAGGTCCCGCCAGCCTCAGTGCCCTCTGCTACAGATGGCAGATACCGTGCTCACCAGAAAGGCCAGGAAGACTGTCATCACAGAAGGCAGAGCCTGGACAGACAGACAAGCACCTTGGGGAAATGCAGACAGAGAGAAGGGAAGACAGGCCCTCCAAAGACAAGCGGAAGGAGCGGGAGGCAGCCCTGGAGTTCCAGGACAGGAGGGCATGCCTCGGGTGCGGAGGAACATAGTCTCTGCCCGGTGAAATGAGCAAGCAAGCCTCAGAGGGCTAACACCATTAAAAGCCAGAAGGGCCCTCTGAAGGCAAATGTGACTGACTCAGCAGCTTCACGAGAGTCATCGCCCTGCAGATCAGGTCCAGCGGACTGCAGGTCCAGCAGCTGCCACTGCAGGGTGGCCCGGGCCCTCTGCTAGGTCTCCCAGCTGCTTCCATCCACCAGGCATCTTCTCAAGACACATTTTCAACGCAATTCAAGCCCTCCTGTTGTTATGCTTCCCAGCATCAGCTGGGCTGGGTTTCACTTGAGACAGTTGCTCCTAGGGACATTGCCACAAAGGGATGGGAAGGTGGAAGGGACGGTGGTTGAGCTGCAGGAAGGGCAGAGCCACGAACCTGGGGCCAGGCACACCAGAGGGCACCAGGAAGCAAGAGTGCAAGAGAACACAGACCCCTCCTGTGTGCCAGACGCTACGCCAGACACTTGCCCTTGCTGCCTGCGCCCTGGCCCAGGACCAAGCAGCCCCGGGACACCAGGTGAGGAGCAGCCTGCTGGAGGCCATGTGGCCAAAGGGAGACAGGAAGACTGTGCTGCCCCCATGTCTGCCAGGCTCCCAGGCCTTGGAGCAACTCAGCTGAGCCCAGGACCTGATCCTTCACTGGCCTCTGTCAATACTGAGCCGGAACGGGATGGCAGGAGGGAGCTGTCACTGTGAGAGTTAGGAGGAAAGTGAATGGGGTGCAAATACAGGCTGTGTACGCCACGTGAAAGGTGGTGTTCTTGGCCCCGCAGTGTTTCCAGAGAAACCTGATGTTACTGCTCATGGGAGTTCACAGATCTGAGGGGAAGGAGAGCAGAAATCAGAAGTGACTTGTCTCCAGGTGGCAAAAAGCAAACAGCATCAGAGAAAAACAGAACGATCTGAAGGTTTAGGGGCGGATAGGGATGAGATATTGGGAAGGACTGGAGAAGGGGGCATGGGTATGAACAGACCTTGAAAAATAACACCTTTTGAAATTCTTAAGAGGTAATATGCCTTCAGCCATCGAAGGGGAATTGGAACTTGAGGATTACTCGACACCACATCTAGTGAACAAGGTAGTGACCAAGCAGGAGGGCGCAGCTTCTGGTCCAAAACTATTCTCTACTATAAAGTAACAAGGGCTGGGCACAGTCGTTCACACCTGTAATCCCAGCACTTTGGGAGGCTGAGGTAGGCAGATCACTTGAGGTCAGGAGTTCGAGACCAGCCTGGCCAATGTGGTGAAACCTCGTCTCTACTAAAAATACAAAAACTAGCCGGGCGTGGTGGCGGGCGCCTGTAATCCCAGCTATTCAGGAGGCTGAGGCAGGAGAATCGCTTGAACCTGGGAGGCAGAGGTGGCAGTGAGCCGAGATCCTGCCACTGCACTCCAGCCCTGCACTCCAGTCAACACAGTGAGACTCTATGTCTCAAAAAATAAATAAAAATAAAAATAAAATGAATAAAGTAATGGGGCCAATTCGCCTAATTGCCAAAAGTGACTCTTAAAGCATTTCTAAATTGCTCATAATTGTACACGACACACACATGGCCTCCAGGAGTAACGCTATATTGCAGTCAGCTTCTAAAGCCATGTGGGGGGCAGACTCCTGCGTCTGGCCTTTGAGTCATGGCTATTCATACCGGCCCTCAGGTTAACTTGATGGAGGGCAGTCAACAAACTCTCAACATTAGTTTGAACTAAGAGAATCAAACCATGGGAATTCTTTTCAGATTTTTCAAATGTTGACGAAAAAGGCCAAACTCTGTAAAATAGTTGAAGAGGTTTATTTTAAGCCAAATACGAGTGACCATGGCCCAGGACACAGCCTCAGGAAGTCTGTGCCTGAGGTTGTCACGTTACAGGTTGGCTTTATGCGTTTTAGGGAGACAGAAATTACAGGCAACACATGTAAGGTATATATTGGTTTGGCCCAGAACATCTTGAAGAAGTAGGGTGAGGACCTCACAGATCCTAGGCAGACTGAAAGGTTTTCTGACTGAAGAGTTGATGTCAGCATAAAAAAATGTTTGAGTTAAGATAAGCGGAGATTCTCGTTATGTGGATGAGGCCTCCAGGAAGCAGGCTTCAGAGAGAATAGATGGTAAATGTCTCCTATGGGACTTTAAAAGGTGACTTGTAGTTAAATCTCTCCTGGATCAGGAAAAAGAGACCTGGAAAGGGCATGGGATTCTCTCCAGAATGCAAATTTCCCCCCCAAGAGGCAGTTTTCTATAGCCACTCAAAATAGGTGGAAGGAATATATTCTGGGGTAAAATACTTTTATTTCCTGCAGGGCCTGCTCTCTGTCGCCTGCTGCTATCCCAGAGTCAGGGTGGAACCGGGAATCTTACTGCTGTGTCTGTTTTATCAGTCGTGAGATCGCTGTTTTGATGTTAACGCTGGTCAGCTGGGCCTGAACGCCAAAAGGAGGGGGCGTCTAAGGAGGCCTGTCCAACCCCCCATTCCCATCAGGGCCTGAACTCATTTTTCAAGTTTCTTTGGGACCCCTTGGTCAAGAAGGGGGTCCATTCATTGGGTTGGGGGACTTAGAATTTTATTTTTGGTTTACACAAACAGTTTTACTTTGATGTCTTTACATTCTACACTTCATTTTACCTCTAAAAATTAAAACAAAGCAAGCAAGCAAAAAAAAAAAAAAAAAAAAAAGCAAAGCAGGTGACATGTTCCGTGGCGGACATGACCGTCCTGGCCAATCCTTGCCCGTGGCTGGCAAGCTGCCGAGTCCGTGGGCCGGAGGGCATTGATTCCTCAAAGACACTTCCCTGATCGGAGGAAAATAACCCAAGCAGTCACGGCAGGCGCCGCCAGGACGAGGCCGCCACGGCCTCTCTTCTTCCTGCCACTCCTGCCCAGTCCTTCCGTGGGGGCCACTCGAGGAACCACCAGAGATGGCCGTGGGTCCTTCACTGGACCCTATCCAAACCCCAGAAATGCCAGCTTTATGATGAAAACTCACAAAGGGGCACCACGCAGGAATATTACAACCAAGGACTTTGTTACCACGGGCTCTGTGTATGAAGGTAATTAACAGCTTCCGGTGCCAATAAAGGGAGACTTTCGAAGCTTCCCCTGAGGTCACACGTCCTTGCAGATTTGTACCAGATTCCACTTTCTTCTCACCAAACGAAACAATGCAACAACCGCCACAAAACACATCTAGGAGGCAGCATGAGCTCCAGGCACCAGCCAACCTCAAATACTTCCTGTTCCAAAATGTAAGAGCAGTGTCTGGAAATACAGCTCCTTTGACAGTGTGCTGGTCAAACACCCCTTAGATGTGGGAATCCAACGCTGAAGCCAAACGTGAATTTTGCGTTATTTTGGAGAGTTTCTCTACAGTTTCTAGTTAATCCCCTTTAAGGTTCCAGAGTTTTCTTTTAAAAATGGTGCTTTTGAAACATAACCTTAAAAAGAGCCTCCCTAACTCTGACAGATACACGTTTCCCAGGACACAGGTACAGAGGGTGATGAAACCGCCACCCCTATGCCTCAGGAAACCGTGGAACGTGCTTCTCTTTAGTCCAGCATCCCGGTCTTAACATCGGCCTCTACTTCCCCTTTTGGCCGATGGAAGGGCATCGCATTTTCTGAGGATGTCTTTCTCCCCAGTAGCACAGCCCTCAGGGCAGTCATGTGTCCTGCCCTGTAATGTATATGCTGAGCGACCCTGGGACAGCGGCCACGGGATCTGAGGCTCTGGCTTTCCTTCTGTAGGAGCAGTGGGGGGCACAGGAGCCAGGGCACTCGGTCACGGTGGAGAGCAGCGCCATGAGGGCCGTAAGCCCTCAGCATGCCGTCTGTTTAACAGTAAGTCCTTCATCCACACTTCCTGTTGCTACTGACTTTTTTTGTTTGCCTCCGGTTTGCTCCCGGATGCCTGAGGTAGGTGTCCTCCCCGAAGCACCCCTCTCCTCAACCGAGGCTGCTGAGCACCTGCTCCCGGATGCCTGAGGTAGGCGTCCTCCCCAAAGCGCCCCTGTCCTCAACCGAGGTTGCTGAGCACCTGCTCCCGGATGCCTGAGGTAGGTGTCCTCCCCGAAGCGCCCCTGTCCTCAACCGAGGCTGCTGAGCACCTGCTCCCGGATGCCTGAGGTAGGCGTCCTCCCCGAAGCGCCCCTGTCCTCAACCGAGGTTGCTGAGCACCTGCTCCCGGATGCCTGAGGTAGGTGTCCTCCCCGAAGCGCCCCTCTCCTCAATCGAGGCTGCTGAGCACCTGCTCCCGGATGCCTGAGGTAGGCGTCCTCCCCGAAG